>NC_000003.12:59403939-59706969 GCF_000001405.40 Homo sapiens
AGCTAATGTGTGTAAAAGGTTCAGGACCTTTACTAGCAAGCACATAGTGGGTGCATAATAGCTGCTATCTATCTATCATCATCTTTGTTGCCTACTTTAGAACAGAAATTCTCAGAGCTAGAAAGCAGTTGCATTTTATGGATGGCAAATAACCGCCAACACTTGATAACAAATGATACATGTCAATAATGAACACATATGAATAAATAAAGTACTAACAGATATACTTAAGTGTTCTAAACCTCTCCCTCATGCCTCTGCCTATAAGGAAGACTAGATCTCATGAGCTGCAATATTCTTTATAGCACTGAATCTGGGCCAGGTAAATAGGGGAGAGTGAAGGAGGCAAGAGGCCAAGTGGAGCTATGGGATAACACACGGAGATGGAGTCATATAGAGAAAGACTAGGTAGGTTTCTGCAGAACTGGCTTGGGAAAGAATGTGGGGGACACTTGGAAGAAGGAGAGGACAGATACTTGAGGTAGCCCCCTTGTGTCTGAGAGAGAGAGAGAGAGAGAGGATGCTGGTGATGAGATAGAAGCCCAGGGCACCACTGGTTTCCTGGGCATGCACCCTGTGCAATCACACAGGGCCCAGCCTCCAAAGGGCTCTGCACCTTGTTTAATGCTCTGCTGTTGCTCTCTGGAAATTCTTATAATTTTTAAATAAAGGGCTCTGCATTTTCACTTTGCACTGGGCTCCGCAAATTATGTAGCTGGTCCTCCTTAGGGAGAGATTTGTGTAAGCTTTGCTCTGAGAAATGAATGCAATCCCCTTTTAGTGTTTTCTTGAGCCTTAAACAGCTTTCAACTATTTGGGGGATTATCCAACCACAGATCCTTTGACTAAGGCTCAAGACTAGGCTCGGCCACGGTTGTTCAGCTTTACCCAGATGGCGGAGCGGAAGAGCAGCTCTTCACTCCATTCTGGCTGGAGGAGCCACCCTGCACCCCTCCCAGCCCAATTCATTTGTAGAAGGGATGGGAAACCCACAGGCAACCTCCGGCATGTGCTCACTCCATCAGCGTCAGAAGAAATCCAACACAACACTCTACTCTCCATTCCATTATTCTGGCAGGTTGTTCCCCGCTGAGAGAAAAGGCTCGAGGTGCTCCTCGGGGGCTGAGATAAAGGAAGCAGTGTTCCTCGAAATGTTGTGTAGGACATGGAGAATTTCTCACTGAAGAAGTTCAAGCTTGGGAAGAGGCACACTTCCGCTTCTGGGTGGATTTTGTGCAGATCCCCTTTCTTTTCCTGCCGCTTACATTGCAACAGAAAGGCACCATGTAGAGAGAGCAACAAAGTGCTCTGAGTTCAGCCCATTATCAAACGGTTTCAAGGGTCATTTTGATCTTGTCAGGATCAGCAGGCTCTCTTTCAGCAGTCCTAAAAAGGCTGACAGAAACAATAAATGGACAATTTTGAAACTCTTTGTCAGAATTATACTTTGGGGGCAAACTCGGCCATAAATACCAATTTCTAGTCCCCCTCGCCATTTACCAATCCAACGTCTTCAGATCTGATTGCCCCCCTTCTCTGGCCGCTGCCCGGCCATCAGTTTATCTCGCCAACATTGTGTTAGCCAGTGATTCGCAGGCGCTTCTGTGTCTGCTCCGTGATGCTTACACTACAAAGGGCCTGATGTGATGTATACCTCGGAGCCTGCATTCGTCTCTAATTCAGTGCCTACACATATCTGTAATAGCTGTATTGAACTGGAGCTGAGAAAAATCACCCTTGCCACCCTCTGTTTTTAGGGAGTCTGTGATAGGTTTGAGGATTACCCTATCGATCACTAGTCAGCAATGATTACCTCTCACCCTCCTTCTGCCTCGTCAATAAATGGCACCAAATATCAATCCCAGGAGACACATTCAAAACCGGGGTGTCGCGAGCTGTGAATAGAATTATAAATACAGTGCAATTTAAAGGAAAGCATTCAAGCCCAAGAGACACATCAGAAGAGATGCCACATTCTGTAAAGGATTTAGACTTTAAGAGTATTAACATTTCTTTTATAACAGATTGTTCCGCTCATGGAAATTACAATTACTGTCATTTTTTTGATACTGACAATGCAAATTACATATATTTTCTCCAGACATGGTATTTAAACTAAGTAGTGAAAGATGGCAGCAAGTAGTTCTAAATTAATTTCGAAAAGTGGGTTGCCTTAACTTTGTAGATCTGAATGTCTTCATGAAAAAGTTTCTTGGTGACTTGTTGAAATGCCCCAGCTCTAGATTGAAGCCAGCTGATTTCAAACCCCTAAGGAAGAGGTTATTTTGGCATGAAGAACTGGAAGTAAAGAGCACTTTATAAAACAGTTAAAAAAATCTATACTCCAAGTATTTTAATGAGACTGACAGATGTCCAATTAAAGTGGGGGCCTGCGAAATCCACGCACCTCTCATTTGAACCAGACAGTGATGGGGGCCAGCATTTTCTATATTCAGTAGAATGCTCACTTCACAAGGTCTTCATAGATATTATGTCAGGGCATGGTGGCGCATGCCTGTAATCCCAGGTACTCCAGAGGCTGAGGCAGGAGAATTGCTTGAACCCTGGAGGTGGAGGTTGTGTTGAGCCAAGATCATGCCATTACACTCCAGCCCTGGGCAACAGGAGCAAAACTCCCTCTCAAAAATAAATAAATAAATCAATAAATCAATAAATCAATAAAGCTCTATGATAAGATACACTTAAGATTCTCTGAGCTGAACAAAGTCAAAAGAGCTATCTTATTGTAGGAATTTTCAGTGCTTTGAATTTGCTAAACTGCCTGTGAATGTCAAAGAGTGGAGGGAGAACACAGTACAGAACACTTCTCAAACTTGTTGGACCTTGGGAAATTTTTCTGAGGAACATTTCAGGGGATTAGAGTTCTGAAACCCACTTTGAGAAAGTCCTGTCTTGGTTCGGGGGGCATGGATAAGATGGTGAATGAGACAATGCTGGTTGTACAGTGCTGTAATTCTTGTAAAAGCACTCAGTGGTCTCAGGCCCTGTGACCATCTGGGCTGGTGTTTGGAGGCATCACGATTTTCTCCTTCTCTTGTGGGGCTTCTTTATGAAGTTCAGAGAACAGTCCACAGTGATTGGGCAGGAGGAAGCATAGGCTGCAGCTCCAAAATACCAGGTTAATTTGCTTGTGTGTAAGTGATCTTCGAAGTTTCATTTTCTCTTGAGAGTTGAGGATGAGAGAACAAATGTCAAGTGTGTTTATACCCTGTGAAAGGAAAGTACAATTGAGAACCATGTGGTACTCCCCAGATGCCTCAGCCAGAGTGCTGGAGTTCTAGTGTCAGCAAACTTTGACTCTGCTGGGGTTTCAGTGGGATAAGTTCTGTGGAACACAGGAATGCCTGAATCCTCCCTAGCTTATAAGAATCTTTATAATCTGCTTAATCACCCTCCCTCTTCCCTCCTGTATGAAGTTTTGGAGAGTGTTATATATCTAAGGAAGAAGAATATGCTTGAAGCTATCACTTTGTTTACAGCTAGATTATATAAATCAGCTGCCAGCCTGGAGAATGCTGGAAAAAGTGGAAAAGCAAGAGGTGGACAGGTAAGCATCAGGTCTGTAAAGAAAAGGCCCTGACAACAAGCCTCGTCCCATCTGACGTTGTAACTAAGGGGCAGGGCAACTAAGGGAGAAAGAAGAGTCAACAGGTGAGGCCCTGGTCTCAGCCTGCCTGATTGGATGTTGTACTGACACTTGACTCCACCCCTGGCTTCCCCTTTTCATGAAAGCATCTGAAACCCTAGGAAGGGCCGAACCACATCTCTACACTAACATCACACTAACCACCAGGTCCTATCTGTCTGAAGAGAGGACGTCTGATCCATAAACACATCCTGACCCGGGACCAAGACTGGATGATGAAAGGAGACAGGGTTTGGGCTACTTCTTCACCTGCTGAACAAACCCATATACACACGCCTCTTTTCCTCTAAAGGAGTTAAGTGTACAATTTGATTGACCAGCAAATGGGTCAGAGATGATAAGATTAAGCCATATCCCTCATGACTTTCTTTCTCTGGGTAACTTGAGTCTCATCTGGAAGGGCTGGTTTTTCATTTCAAGCCTGGTTTGTTCTAATCCTGGCCCTGGGATCCTAGACTCTGTACTGAAGAGGCTTCCGAAGGACCAGCTGGTCTGCTTATCCACACTCAGGTACATTGGGACTGCCTCAGAGATACAGAGCTTCTCTATGTTTTAAAACTTGTTTTCCTAATAAGAAATGTTTCCTTCTATGTAACCTCATGGTCTTGTACTGCTCTTTGTCGAGACAGAAAACAGCTGGAGGTATTGTCTGTGGGCATCTTCTGTATGCTTCAAGATTCTCAGTTTTACTTTCTGCAAGCTGAAAAATCTAGTCTCCTTAACCTCTTTTTACAAGTATTCTTTTTCTTCCTGTATACTATGTTTGTGAGTGTTCCAAGATAAAGTTTCCTTAAGTTTGTTAATCATTGTTAACATCTGGAACCTTTCTAAACATACCAAATTGCACATTACTCTCCAGACTTCCTGTACAAGAATTACAGGAGCAGAGGTTGTTTGGAGCCTGAGCAGGAATTATCATTCTTAAACAGGACAAATAAATCATTGTGATCTTTTTGAAGCCCAACTTAAAGTTCTCCCTTTCTCAGGGAATGGAACCTATTTTTCAGAGGGATCCCTGGCAGGTCGGTTGGCACTAGCATCCTGAAGGGACACCTGGTCTGAAGACGGCCAGGCAGAATCTTTTCCCCAGAATTTAGAAATGGACCTTATTACCAGGAGATCAATCTCTGAGGGTGACTAGAAGTATGATATGAAGTAAAAGGAGACAAAATTATGGTATGAAGATAGAGAAGCAGGGAAAGATGGTTTGCAGAGAAGGGGTAGAATGAAGCAGAAGAATGAAGCAGATGCTCTCTAAGAGATTCAAGAGGAAAATGGCAAAGCATTCCAGTGACTTTCCAGGCTTTGGTTCCAGTCTCTGCATTCCTACTCTGGAGTTCTTGTCTATGTTGTTTTTGCCCATCCTAGTGTTATAGACTGAATTGTGTCTCCCCAAAATTCTGATGTTGAAACTCTACCGCACAATGTGACTTTTGAAGATCGGGCCTTCAGAGAGGTAATTAAGATCAAATGAAGTTATAAGTGCAGGGTCCTAATCTGAAAACAAAACAAAACAAAACAAAACAGAACAACAACAACAACAACAACAAAACTGACATTCTTATAAGAAGAGGAAGGGACACCGGAGCTCTCTCTCTACCATGTGAGGACATTGTGAGGAGCTGGCTGTCTGCAACCCAGGAAGAGAGACCTCACCAGGAACCAACCCTGACAATACCTTGATCTTGCACTTCCATTCTCCAGAAGAGTGAGAAAATAAATTTCTGTTGTTTAAGCCACCCAGTCTGTGATAGTTTGGTAAGGCAACCCAAGCAGACTAATATGCCTGGCTAAAGTGGATTCTCATTACCAACCACCAAAATGGCTTAACCAAATATAGAACTAACAGCTCTACCGGGACAGGTAAATAAGGTCACAGCCAATGTCTTCTGTCTCCATGGACTCACCCTGGCACTTTTCTATTTGCTTTTCTGAGACACATTGTGCGGTAGAGTTTCAATGTCAGAATTTTAGGGAGACAGCATTTAGTCTATAATACTAGGGTGGGCAAAAACACATACCTCCTTGACTTGAATATTTTGTTGACAACATATAACTAGACAATGTTAATATGCTCTAAACTCAGAATGAGTGCTGGTCATTTTTTTCATGGTCTGCCATCAAAAAAATTCTACCAATTTATTCTCCTAGTAGGAAAGAAAAACAATTAATGTTTACTAACTGATATATTCACCCAACAGCCTGTGACATCAGTTCTATTATTTACCTATTTTACAGGTGAGGAAACTAAGGCATTTGAGATGGTAAATAACTTTCCTTAGGTCACAGAACTCATAAATGATGAGACCAAAACTTGAACCCAGGTATGACTACAGAGCCCAAGATTTCAACCAAGTTGCTACATTTGGGATGAAAGCAAAGCTCAATTGTTAAAAGCAAAACTCTCTTGATGCTACATGAAAAGTAATGTGCAATAACCCATTTCTGTACTAACAGAGCAGTCCAGTTAGGACTCTACAGGAAAAAGCAAACAAGGTAGGCTAGGGGCCTCCAGTAGGCTTGTATATGACCCAGGACTTGAATTGAGTCCAGATAACAGTGGGGTTGAAAGATGTTGCCATTGTAACATCCGTCTCCCCCGTTAAAGAGATATCTAATTTTACTGAGATATTCACTTCTTCCCTAAGTAGCTCACATGCAAGGCAAAGCTGACTTCACCCCTCCCGGCTTTAGGAAAATTTCTTATTTTTCTAAGCATAAACCCATCCTCCTTGCCAGTGATTGGGCACGTGATCTGGTTTAGGTTAATACGATGCAAGAGATTCTCTCTTCTGATCTGGATATTACTATTACTGGATGTTACCAGATGTTAGTTACTGCCACTAAAACGCAGCATAGCAAAACCCCACAAGAGCATTTAGTTAGCTGGTCTAGGCCTTGCTAGTTGGGCCAGCTCAGTTCTCTTGATCGTCTCTTGGCTCAACAGTGAGTTTAGGGGGTCAGCTCATCTAGCTTAGGTTCTACACTAAGTCTCCCATGCCTTCTCATGACCAGAAGGCTAGAGTGTGCATGTTCTTCTCAAGGTGATGGCAGAGATATAAGAATACCAGTGGAAATACACAGGCATATCTCAAGCCTAGCCTCTGTTACATCTGCTAACATCCCATTGGCCAAAAAACAGTCAAATGGCCAAGCTTAGTATCAAGCCCACCTGCTAAATAGCCAAACTAGATCACGTGGCCAAGCCTGCCATCAGTGGAGTAGGAAAGCATACACTTCCCTGGGAGTGATCGGGAGGAAGTGATATTCTGAGTAATAATCTAATCTACTACAGGGCCATGCATGGATGTGAAGCCGAGAACCATAACAGCCTTCTCCCTTTCAACCTAAAATGAAGCCAACACACAGAGAGAAGAGGGGATTCACAAGAACCCCAGGAAAAGAGATGGAGCTGCTGGATCAAATCAACTCGAAGTTCTACCCAATCTCTGCATTGGCCAATGTTGACATTACGCGATGCTGAAACTCTCATTCAGAGAACACTCCTTGGAACACTTAGGAACAAAGGTCCAGAGATGTGAATAAATGTGTTGCATTGGGGGAAAGAAAAACAATGCAGAGAGCCTAGAGAGATCATTTTTTCCCAAGTGTTTTGTCCTTGGAAACCCAATCAAGCCTTCCCTTTATCATCCACTCACCTTGCAGCAGATCTATTTCTTCTTGATTTTGTGTAATTTGATTCATTCTCAGATGTTTGTTCATCTGATCTTACAGTTGGTATGGTAACGGCCTGACTGAACTGTGGTGTTTATTTTTCACCACAAGCTCTTGTCAAGTCAGGAAGAATCACCTTTGCCTTCTTTCAAGCAGTACAGGGGACTGAGATATTGAGGAGGAGGCATGGCCTTGTACCCCTACTGGGGTCGATGCTGGAAAATCTCCTGTTAAAACTCTACCATTTTCCTTCCTCTGTTCACATTGATTGAGGTGGTTCCTTCCTTTCTGTAGAGCTCTTGTCTCCTTGCCATGGAAGGCAACATTTATTTCTATCCCCCACCCCCTCTCATGTGACATTAATAACAGGACACAAATTGGGTGGGCAATAGGTCAAAGAATTTGTGAAAGTCACATTCAAAAAAATACTGTAAAGAAGCAAAAGGAGATATCTTAGAATCAGAATTAATCATTGAAAATAATACTTATAAGTATTTACTAACTTTGTAACTCAGTTAAGAAGTTCTTCACACCCTAGATGTTCAAACATTGAGGGAGAACATGGCTAATATTTATTAGATACTACCATGAGCTAAGCACTATGTGTGGCCTACCATACACGTGACTCATTCAGTCTCACAATGACCTGGGGAAACAACTATAATCATCTCCACTTTATGGAGAAAAAGAACTTTTCCAAGGTCTTGCAGCTAGCATGTAGAGGGTCTAGGATTTGAATTTGGAACTTGCACCTTCATTTTATTTCTACCACACTATACTCTTTTGAACAGAAGATACATAGCACACTTGTTCTGAGAGTAGACTTGCCTATAAGAATAGTAAAATCTGGCCCTACCATGTACTAATTGTGTAATTTTGACCAAATTACTTAACCTTTCTCTGCCTCAGTTTCCTCATTTGGAAAATGGGAATAATCCAAACTCTGCCCTGTCATTTTAGGAAAGTCCCTTATCCCCCTGGGCCTTACTTTCATGTCTCTGTAATGAGGGACCTGCACTAGTGATTTCTAAGGGAGCTTTTGTGCAAACATTCAGCCATATTCTGGGCTTAGGGTCATGATTTTATATCAGTGCAGGGCAGTGAAAAGAGAAGAAAAGAGAAGCTTCAAGAAATATCTTACAAACATAAGACTTGGTGGCTGATTTCATGGAAAAGGCAAAGAAGGAGCTTGAGTAAAAGATGGCTCTGAGCTTTAGAGCCTGGAGGAAAGATATATTTATTTTTAAATCATCCAAAAGCCACTCTTGCTATTGTGTTAGTTATTGTCTCCATTTGACCAATGAATCAAGGTTTTAAAATATCCATTTGCTGTCCCTTATTCGTTATTCTTCTGTGAACAAGCTTAGTCCATAACGGTCTAAAACCATCAGCAGCTCATTAGTCATCAGAAGATTTGTAACTAAGTGGTAATAGAGATTCCTGTAATCTGGACTTCAGAGCTAAAGGAACGGGTATCCAGTGATGAATCGTCCAGGCAGGGCTCTGAAAGGTGTCCTAATGGATGCAGCAAGTGAAGATCTGTTCCAGATGGACATATCTGCTGCTGCTTTTCTGTTCCTCACGCACAACACACCTTGGCTCAGCCATCCTCCCTTCTTGCAAAGGCTCCTAGACTACCCTCTGGCAGGAAGAATCTAATCCATCCTTCAAAGAAAAGCTCAAGCTGTTCATGGAATAGACACGTATGGAGCCAGGCTCTGTGCTAGGTGCCAGCAATGCAAAGATGAAAGACACCTGTCTCAAAGAGCTCCCACCAGCTGGGCCTGGGGCATCATCCCCAAGCTCACACCTTGTCATTCATTTTGCTTGTCTATTCATGGTGGTTAATTCCTGAGGACAAGGACTTTTTTCATACTCTTCATGATACTTATGTGCTGAGAGTGGGTGTTGAAATGTATTTGTACTTTGTTTTATTTGGGAGAAAGGCCTTATTGTGTAGCAGCTAAGAGAGAAGGCCATAGGGTTATATGGATTGGGTTCAAATTCCCCTCCAAACCTATAGCTCTGTGGCTTATTAGGAGGATGACTAGGACAAGTTATTTAGCCTTTATATACCTCAGTTTTCTCGTCTGTAAAATAGGTGATAGGTAATAATAGCATCTTTTATTTGAAATTTAAACAAAATATTGAACTTGGCACATAGTGTGGTCTCAGTTTACATGGTTACTGTGTTTTAATGATTATAGACTTTCGAAGATTCAGTGTATAATTTACAGTGACTGAGGACAGATGCCTGCCTGTCTCTTTTCCTTCCTTCCTGCCTGCCTGCCTGCCTGCCTGCCTGCCTTCCTTCCTTCCTTCCTTCCTTCCTTCCTTCCTTCCTTCCTTCCTTCCTTCCTTCCTTCCTTCCTTCCCTCCCTCCCCCCCCGTTCTCTCCCTCCCTTCTTTTCTTTTCCCTCTTCTTTTCTTTTTTATCTTTTTCCTCTTTGTCTCTCTGTGCTTGTCTCTCTCTCCCATTCTCTCTCTCTCTCTCATCTCTCATCCCGTCTTTATCACAGCAAGGGTAGTTATTACTTAGAAATTATATTTATAGATAAAAATATCGAACAGGCAGTCTCCATGAGTTAAATCCAGACTGATTCCTCTTTGCTGAAAAGACAGGCCTTATTGTTGTTCTTCTTATTTGCTTGCGCAAGGATTTCTTATGCAGCCAATTCACTCAGAATTTGCCACCAGCACAGATCCACTTAGGAACCTGACCAAAAAGCAGTAGAAAAAAACAAAACATCGATGCATTTTTCCCTCTAGAACCTCTGCCTGACTTTCTAGTAGTGGTATGCTGGCTCTCCAGAAAGAAAAGAACAAGAGAGGAAGGGGAAAAAGCCCTGAGTTCTTGCCAATTTCTGTGGTGTGTTACCACCATGGTCAATTTCAAGCTACCAATATAACACCACAGAATGTGAGTTGGGAGAGGGGTGCACAGTCAGTTCTTAAGAACCCTATGCACCTGCTTCTGCACACCACTGTTCCAGGAATATGCAGACCCACCCTCAGCTCTCACCCTGTCCACGCCTCTCTCCTATATCCAGAGGGCTTGTCCCAGCCCTCATCACCACTGTCCCAGATTCTCTCTCTTCCTTCTTCTATTCTCAGTCCTCCCCTCCGTCTCCCAAAATAATCTGCTAAAACCCAGATCAGAATATGCTACTTCCCTGCTGTATAATCTCCAGTGGCTTCCCTTTGTTGCCCCAGGCCCTTAACCCCCTTCTTCACCCTTCCCCAGAGTTACTCCAGGCCTCTCATCTTGACGCAAGCCCTTCTACATCTCCACATCACTGCCCACGCCTAACCTACTGCCTGGAACACCATTCCCAGTGCAACCAGCCCTGGCTTTTTTGTGTCCCTGGTGAATTTCTACTTACCTCTAAGTTTCAGCTCAAATGCCCTGTCCTGCATAACGTTTATGACCTTCTATCCTGCTCTAGCTGTCATTGTTTCCTTCCCTCTCTAGGTTTCTTTGATACCCTTCTCTCATATTCTCTGGCATATGTAACTAGTTTTCTGGTATCTCCAGATAGTAAGACAGTGAGGCAGCCATGGGTCCAGGATTGATGGATCATTCATTCTTCACATATTGCATCCAACAGATATTTATGGAGTTCTGGGTATGTGCCAATTAACATGCTGGGTAAGACTAGGGGTAGAGTGGAGAGCACGATAGACTGTCCTCTGATGGAGCTCACAGTATGCTGAAGAATATGGGCATTGAACAAATAGGAAAAATAAAAATATAATGGCAAATAGGTTCTATGAAGGAAAAAAAAACCCACAAGACAGCATGAGAGAAATTCCAAAACTAGTGAAAGGTTTTTAAATTTTCAGAAGCATAGAATATATACTTTTAAAGTCATGAGGGCCTCACTCAGGGCACTGAACACCATAGCATGAATTGTATTGTGCAGCAGGAACCCTGCCTCACCAGCTTAGAAATAAGAGCAAGAGTCATGCAGTTCTTTCACTGAGTTGATGACTTGGGGGGAGATGTATTATATCTTTGTATCTCTATTAATTAAATTTTTTGGTCTCCAGTGACAGCAAATTCAAGTAAAATAGACTTAAGGTGGAAAAGAAGAGGTGGATGAATTGGCTCACGTAATTAGAAAATCCATAGTTATACTCAGTGCCCTGATCTTGGTTTCCAATACCATTCTGCAATGAAAAGAACCAGGGCTCTTTGGAGAAATGGCTGATTCTAGAACTGGTGTAGAGGATATACAATAGTGAGCCTGGAACATCTGATAGTATCAGAAAGTAAGAAAGTGTTCAGCTTTTACACTGTTGGTGGGAGTGTAAACTAGTTCAACCATTGTGGAAGACAGTGTGGCGATTCCTTAAGCGTCTAGAACTAGAAATACCATTTGATCCAGGGATCCAATTACTGGGTATATACCCAAAAGATTATAAATCATGCTACTATAAAGACACATGCACACGTATGTTTATTGCGGTATTATTCACAATAGCAAAGACTTGGAACCAACCCAAATATCCATCAATGATAGACTGGATTAAGAAAATGTGGCACATATACACCATGGAATACTATGCAGTCATAAAAAAGGATGAGTTCATGTCATTTGTAGGGACATGGATGAAGCTGGAAAACATCATTCTGAGCAAACTGTCACAAGGACAGAAAACCAAACACCGCATGTTCTCACTCATAGGTGGGAATTGAACAATCAGAACATTTGGACACAGGGCAGAAAACATCACACACCGAGGCCTGTTGTGGGGTGGGGCGGGGAGAGATAGCATTAGGAGAAATACCTAACGTAAATGACGAATTAACGGGTGCAGCAAACCAACACGGCACATGTATACATATGTAACAAACCTGCACATTGTGCATATGTACCCTAGAACTTAAAGTATAATAAAAAAAAAGAAAGTGTTCAAAACACAGCACACACGCCTGCACACAGACACAGATATGGCACATCAAAGGGACACAGAAACCAATTAACAGAGCTCACAATGGCCAAAGCTGAGATAATGTAAAATAAATAAATAAGTATAAATTATAAGCCAAAGTATGAAGTGAGTCCATACTGACAGAAATGATTGAATAAGTAAATAAGTGGGGGAGAATAGACAAATCTCTCTCTCTCTTTCATTTTTGTTTCTCAGAGTTAGGGTCTCACTCTGTTGCCCAGGCTGGAGTGCTGTGGCACGATCACAGCTCATTGCAGCCTTGAACTCCTGGGCTCAAGTAATCCTTCCACCTCAGCCTCCCAAGTAGCAGGGACTACAGGCATGTTCCACCATGCCCAGCTAATTAAAAAATTGTTTTTTGTAGAAACAAGGTTTCTCTATGTTACCTAGCCAGGTCTCAAACTCCTGGACTCAAGAAATCCTCCCGCCTCAGCCTTCAAAGTATCGGGATTACAGGCATGAGCCACTGCACCCAGCCAAGAATAGACAAATCTCTTGTGTAGAAGAATTTCAAATAATTTGTATAGACCTTCTGTCCTCAAAAGGGAGGAGCGTAACTCCCTAAGTTTGGGGTGCACAAAATGACTTCTTTCCAAAGAGAACAATAGGGAAAAGGGGAAAAAGAGTGATTTAACAGAGGAGCCACCTATAAATAATACCTCAGCCAAGTGATCAAAATTAGCATGATATGGTGTGATAACAATGGCATTTTGCCATGTGGTCTAACTCCCCCCAAACCCATATCCCAGGCTAATCATGAGAAAAACATGAGAAACCTCCACTGAAGAATACTCAATAAAACTGATCAGTATTCCTCAAGACTGTCAAGGTCACCCAAAACAAGGTGAGTCTGAGAAACTGTTACCATCTAGAGGAGCCTAAGGTGACATGATGACTAAATGTAATGAGGTCCCCTGGATGGGATCCTGGAAAAGAAGAAAGACATTAGATGAAAACTAAGGAAATCTGGGTAAAGTATAGACTTCAGTTAATAACATAACAATATTGCCTTACTAGTGGTAATGTACAATGCTATAAAATGTTAACAATAGGAGAAACCAGGTATGGAGTCTATGACAACCCTCTACACTACCCTCACACTTATCTGTAAATCTAGAGCCATTATAAAATAAAACATTAATTTAAAAAACTTGTTTAAGTCCAGAGCTCAACAAGCTTCAGATATGGCTGGAGCCGGGATCCCAAATGATGTGAACCTGAATCCATCTCTCTGTATTTCAATGGTGTTGGTTTAGCTTTTAGGTAAGCTCCCTTCACTTACTGGAACCCCAGCCACCCTAGACTTATATTATGCTAGTGGAAGAGAAGTTCATTTCCTAATAGTTTTAACCACAGCCTCAAACTTGGGTCATGTGTCCATTCCGGAAGCAATCAGTGTGGCCAGTGGTATGTGGGACTCTGATTGGCCAGATCTCCATCACATGCCCACCTTTGGAGCTAGGGTGCAGTGTGCCCCACCCCAACCAGAGAGCTGAGAGTGAAGAAGTGTTGTGACTTGAACAAAGGGAAATGGATGCTATTCAGGAAAAGCAACAGATGTCAACTACAAAACACATCCTTCAAGTGAACTCAAATAATTGGGTGATGTGGTTGGGGTGAGAATTCATGTTAACTGTGAAGATAGACATGGGAAACCCAGGGAAATGCAGACAATAGGAACTCTGGGAAGTAAGGATCTTATAAGAGTGGAAACAGCTGTCCATTGTCCATTCAGGACCCAAGGGAGCTCTAGGGACCTGGGCAATGGGGGTGTGGATATTCTTTCTGCTATTCTGCTTCTAAGGGGACACAGCTTCTTCCCCCACCACCCACCATCCATTTTCCGGGCTTCTGTGAATTTTCTAGTTCCTATCCAAGATGGAAGCAGCCCCTTGACTAAAGGGCCACCTGGGTGGTCTCTGGCCAACCTGTAAATGGGCCAGCCTTGGGTCAGTGGTCACCTCTGCTCCAGCCAGTGGCCCCAGGGACTGGTGCTGCTTACCTGAGCTGAAGCTGTGGACTGGGTACTTTCACCATGAGGAGGAAGTTGAGGCAGGACACATGCCATCACTGAAAAATCCTCAATATCGCTTCAAATTTTTGTTGGGAAATTTATTTTCTGCATGTCCTCATTTGCACAAGCTTGGGGAACATCCAATTCATCTAATCATTTTATTCTAAAGATAATGCTATTTGGTATACACATTTTTTCCTTTATTACCTTGGCACAAAAGTGCTGCCTTTAGCTTCTTGCTGCTTTCTGAAGGTTCTCTCACTCAGTTTTAGGCTCCATACTTTAACCAGAGCTTGCATAAAGTAGAGCACAAAAGCCTTTTGTGAAGCACTGTCACCAACATGTCAGCCTGGAGTCAAACTGGCTCCAGGGAGAAAGATGGAAACAGAGTAGTTCCATCAATGAGCTCCAGGAGCATACATTCAAACTTCTCATTATTAATCTCTGTAAAATATTTCTTCAAGAAGTTGTGCATCACAAAATGCAATATAACATTCATATCAAGTGATACAGAGATAGCTTTAAGCAAGACTTGTTGTACTCTGTATAATGAATAATGCAATAAAAATACATATTCATTTCCAGATCACAAATCATAGCAATTTAAGCCATCTTCTGCCTTGCAGTAGTATTTTGAGGGGAAAATGTGTGTGTGGGCCCCCTCTGCCTTGCTCAGAGGCTCATTCTTCTCCGGGAGGAAGCCTCTCTGCATGCTGTGTTGCACAGAGCTCGTTTATTTCCAGGGCTCTCTTATCAGGGCTCTGGGGGTGGTGGTGAGGCCATCATTTGAAACACAACCAAGGAAGCACTGCTGTGCTCATGGCACAGTAGGAAATCCGTCTATTTTTAAAATATGAGTTTGTCCAAGTTCTCTTGAAACATGTTACCCTGAATACATCATTTCAGCCCTGAGCGGAACAGATGGAAAAAGTCAAAGTTGTTTCACTTTTTAAAGTGAGAAAGCTCATTTTTTGGGTCTTGAAATACTGTTTAAGTGACTTGATGGTGGGTATCAAATAAGAAGATTTCCTGGGTCACCCCAGGGTTGGGGGGCAGTGAGGAACCCTGAATCTTTTTCTGTTTACCAGGGGAGAAAGTACATGCCAGTGGCCTCTGTCTGTGACTATTATGCCTTATGGCCAGACTTTAGAGGACTCAGATAATCTTTGAGTCTTCATTGGTGTTACCATTAGAAGTGTTCAAAGGATGTCTTCCTCATCCCCATGGTTCCCATTCACCTGGTATTTCAGGCTCTGTTCTTTTTTTCTTCTCAGATTTGGGAGAAACTCTGCTAAGGATGTGACACGTGTTTGCTCAGTTCCTTCTTCCTGGGCTTCAGTACAGGATCTGGTATATAGTTGGTGCTCAATAAATGTCTGTTAAACTGGCAAGTGAAATGAACAGCCCTATGAGGTTAGTATTATTACTTTGGTTTACAGAGGAGTGGTCAGAGACTCAGCGAGGTGATGTCACTTCCAGGGCGTCTGTGTGGTTCAAGTCCTTGGCTCTTACACCCTCCGTATGCCACCTCTAATGGATTCTCCCATTTGACTCTCACGTGTCATGGAAGTGGTTTGCAGGCTGAAACTCTTGAGTGCACAGACTTAGAAGTAATGTAAAACACTTTGAATTTTACAACAGTGATTGGTCCATTACTGTTGGCAGCTTGGGAGTTGTGAGCATTTCAACATTCTGAGTTGAAATTCAACCTGAGAAGCGAGGTTTCTGGGTGCAAACAATATATAGTGCTTGCCCAGAATACCTGTTTACTCAGTGGAGTTGGGTTGTTTTCTCTACAGAAGACCTAAGAGATAAACTAGGTGTGAACTGGTTTTCTTGCCCCAGTTGGTTCCAGAACTGCCTCCAGAGTTATTTCTAATATGTGAATCTTTGCCTGTAAGTGACTTCTTGTTGTCCACGGTGTAAACTCCAAACTATGTCATGGCCTACAAGTCTTCTGGGATGAACCATATGATAGGCCTTCCTATATCCATCCCATTCCTCTCCCTTTGTGTAGCAGCCACATGGTTTACAAAGACAAGCCCTCCAGCTTCAAAGGTAGCTCAGATTGGTCTAAGCCAAAAAAAAAAAAAAAGAAAAAAAAAAAACCCTTCCTGTTGTGGTAGTCATTCATTGGGATATCCCAGACCTAAGTCAACTAGTCCATGTCTTTCTCTAGCCATAGCGATTGGCTTATAATATAAAGCCCAGGGCTCTCATTAGATGGTCTCAGGGTCAGGCATTCTTTCTTTCCTGGATGTTGTTTGGGAAGCATGTAACCTTGGTAGTTGGCAGCCACCCTGTGAGCATGAGGACCATCCAGTATTAGGATGAAGAAGACATACAAATGAGGAAAGAGTAGAAATGTAAAGAAACCAGCTTTTGGTGATATGATTGAGTCATGGGACCAAACCAGTGCTAAACCTGACCATGCGGGTATTTATATTTTTAAAAGTTGTAAATTTACCTGGGTCCAAAACAATAAAACATTTTTATTGTTTGGGCCAATTCAAGCTGCGTTTCTTGTTATTATCAACTGAAAGCCTTCTGATTAATATGTTACTGATAATGTAGCCCTGGGAGTCCTTTCTAGATTTATCTCTGCCATTACCTGCATGTGCCAGTGGTGTAGCTTAAAACACTACTGGCCATTCTTAGAAATAAACTCTGTGCATTTTCACATAGGCCTTCAGCATTCTACCTCTCTTTCTATGTTGTAAATTCCAACTCATCCTACAAAATCCAACCCAGTATCACCTCCTCTAAAACGATGCCTGCTCTCCTTTAGTCTATTCCAGGAAGAACTAATGGCTTCCTTCTTAGTGTCCCCCAAGTATTATCTATATACCCATAATAGAGCAATTTAAAGACATTTGACAATAATAATTTAGCAGCTCTAATAGGGATTGTTCTGCTGTTCAATGTACTTTGCAGGTATTATCTTGTTTAACCTTTATAGCTGTCCTATTATACTGACATTAGTATGTCTTTTAAATATAAAGACATCTTAGAGACATAAAGAGACTTATCCAAAGGTCCACAGCTTCTAAGAAGGAGAAGCTGAGACTTAGGTCATCTAACTTCACAATCTGTGCTCTTAAGGTCTGTGCAGTGTTCTCTTCCCTGCTTGTGAGTTTTTTGAAGTCAAACACTATCTTTCATTCATGGGTGCCTGAACAAATGCCCTAGGCACTCTGAAAATGCTAGTAGTATACATGAATGAATGAATGAATGAATGAATGAATGAATGAATGAATAGATGGATGGATGGATGGATGGATGGATGGATGGATGGATGGATTTAAGCCCTTCACATCACAGATGAGAAAACCAGGACTCAATTTAAGTGACATGTGTTGTAGGCAAAAGTGCAGATGACCACTGAAATTTTTCTACAATATCTTGCCACCTTTGGAAGAAAATTATATGTTCTCTACAAGAAATTCCCGAAAGCAAGAGGGTAAAAATAAAGCTCAAAGATGTCTGGACTTTTTCTTTCTCACCCTGGAACCAGAGCATGTCCCTCTTAGGGTTAGGGTTAGGGTTAGGGTGGTAACCTGAATGAAGCAGAACATTCTCATCCCCTTCTCCAGAGTTCAGGGCGTATCTTCATTTTTTAACTCTTTTCAAATTGCTACTGACACCTAAACTAACTTGGTATTAAAAGAAAATAGAGCCAAATCACATTCAAAGTGTTCTGGATTGGGAGTCTTATTTATAACTACTTAGACATCAGGTTTCTAAAGAGGAAAGGGGGGGTGTTGAGCACAAAATTCAGAAGAACATTTGAAATTAAGAAATAGAATCACACGTCATCCTAATTAGCCAGGAGTGGAGTAAAAATTCTGCACTTCTGTCATGTTGCCACCATGCAAGAGCAAACTGTGACATTAGTTTAATTACATAAATTTATGAGATGAAAAGAACAACTTTTATAATCATTCAGACAATACTCCTATTCAGTTTGCTGTGCAATATCTTTATTTAATCCTTCTTAAAGTATGTATTAGATTCATTTTTCAGGAAGCCTCAAACGTATCTGTATTTTAATGACTTGAGGGGGCACTTTTCATTTCCCTCCTCTGATTTCTTTAAATGGGTGTCCTCATCGAATGTCCATGCTCCATAAGCTTGTCCACCTGTGTATATTTGACACCAATGCAATCAGCATCACCGAAAGAAAGAGCATGAGAAAAGTCCCCCAGAAGTGATTCTCTTGGGGTTGACTCACGTCATGAGTCATAATTCTTCTTCACCATTATCATAGTAGCTCCCATTTATTGACTATGAACTTGGTTTCATCATTGCATTTACTAAGTACAGTCATCTATCAGTATCTGTGGGGGATTGGTTCCAGGACCTTCCTCAGATACCAGAATCAGCAGATGCTCAAGTTCCTGACATAAAACGATGTAGTAGGTGCATGTAACCTATGCACATCCTTCCATATACTTTAAATCATCTCTGGACTACTTCTAATCCCAAATACAACCCTACATATTATTTCATTCTCATGGATTCAGTGGAGTACCTGGTGTGCAGCAAAATCAAGTTTTGCTTTTGGAGTTTTGTGGGATTATTTTTCTGAATATTTTCCGTCTGTGGTTGGTTGAATTCATGGATGAGAAGCCTACTGATACAGAGAGTTGCCTGTAGCTTCCTCAATCATCTCTAAAACTCCTTGGAGAGTCACAGTGCCTGTCCTGCTCACACCTCCATCTAAAGGAAACTGCCCCAGCCCCACTGCCCAGGGACCACCTTTGAGGTCACACGTGCCTGCTTCTTTTTTTTTGTTTTTTTTGTGACCGAGTCTCGCTCTGTTGCCCAGACTGGAGTGCAGTGGTGCAATCTCGGCTCACTGCAAGCTCCACCTCCTGGGTTCACACCATTCTCTCGCCTCAGCCTCCCGAGTAGCTGGGACTACAGGTCCCGCCACCAAGACAGGCTAATTTTTTGTATTTTTAGTAGAGACGGGGTTTCACCGCGTTAACCAGGATGGTCTCGATCTCCTGACCTCATGATCCGCCCGTCTCGGCCTCCCAAAGTGCTGGGATTACAGGCGTGAGCCACCGTGCCCGGCCCACACGTGCCTGCTTCTAGGGTTGCAAGCTTGACCTACTAACAGCTGACCCACAGACCAGCCAGGCTGGGATTTTGGTGACCTAATTAAAATATTAGCTTGGCCAATTACTTTCTCTTGGGGATTTTACCTAAGTGCAAAAAGGCCCCGCTAATTTTCAGTGACAGCTGAAGCAGAAAGGATAGATTATTAAACTGAGATTTTTAGCCTGGGGTCCACAAACCCATTTCAAATCTTTGTGAGATTTGGGGTTTGTATGTATAAATGGTATGAGCAGATTCACAAATTTGAGGTGCAAGTCGGGTCACACAGCTTATTCACTGATTACTTGCTCCACTCCTTAGCACAAGTTTCACTATCACCCTTTCAGGACCCCCTTACCCATGAGTAATCCAAGAACTCTGAGGTTCCGCGGTGCTAAGGGGCTCCCTCCAGTTCCCATACTCAAGCCAAGAAAACTGGAAACCGATCAATCCACCGCTACTGACGCTCCCTGGTGCCATGCTGCGTCTAGGTCAAAGCCTGGTCTCCTCAGTCAACAGCAGATGTCATCGCTGTCCTGATGGAATGAGGCCTGTGTGGTTCCTGGACGGAGAACTGAAATAGTGTCTTAGAGCTGGCACAAGATCTCAGTGCTCCAGGGCACCACAGGGGCTGGGTCGGTGCTCGTCCTGGTGTCTGGTGTAATGTGGACCTGGAGTCCCGTCCTTTTATCTTCCAGGGGACAGGATCTCAAAATGCAAAGCATGCTATCTTCCTTCTCCTTGTCCCCATCGCAGGAATACCTGTGCTTCACATACCCTTTTGAGTAAAACCCAAAGTGGTAACAGGGTTTTCTCTCTCCCCCGCTTTCTTTTTTTACGTGAGTCAAAGCTTTGTGAATTCAAGGTGGATTTCTGAAGCTTCACTCACCAACGCAGGGAGAAAAAAATGTTAAATCAACAACAAAGCTTGATCTTTAGATAAGCATTTCACTACCTATGCATTTATCTGAGAAGTGGGTCCCTCGTTCTGATGGGATTTCCAGGGGCATTCATGGTTCAGCAATAGATGATTAAGAGAGAGAAAGAATCAAGAACCGCTACTGTAGAGAGAGGGCCCAAGGGCATCCCCGAGGCTGTAAGGGACAGTGTCAGGAGGTGCCTGAGAGTGAATGAGGGGAGCAAGCCAGCATGCTGGACAGAGAGGAGAAAATGCCTGGCCTGTAACTGAGTTGCATGAAGGGGGTACTTGAGAGAGTGCCACGCAATGTGGCTGCGTCTCACAGACACGTCGTGGAGAGAATAAGGAATAAGAACTATAACATTCCATTTATACAAAGCTTGAAAACAAGCAAAATTAACCTACAATAACATAGGTGAAAAGAGTTATCTGGGAGGGTACCAGCTGGGTAGAGAAGGCAGTGCTGGGCAGGCTGTCTATCAGGGAGAGGGTTACTGTTTCTTAAAGGGCTAGCTGCTGATGATTTTAGGCTTGGAAACTGCCAGGTCTCTGGGGCAACTACTCACACAGTCATAGACAAGACATAAACAATAGGCGTGGTGGTGTTCTGATGAAACCACAAAACCAGTAGCAGACCAGATTTAGCCTGTAGGCCTGAGTTTGCTGACTCCTGATCTATATATCTATTAATATCTTGGTGTGGGGTGGTCGTTACGTTTTGTATTCATATATAAAAATTCACTGAACTTGTGAATTTCATGATTTAGATACTTTATTGTATGTAAATTATATCTCAGTTTTAAAAAATCTATTAAGAGATTAAGTTTAAAACAAAACAACAAAAATCTTTGTGGATTCCATGTAGGTATTTCCTAGAATGAACCAGGTTCTGCAATCCAGAACTCATCAGAGCCTCTGCTCTTGGGTTTTATGAGGTTGTCAGTGTATCCTCACACCACTCTGTCTTTACTTGAGCCAGCTGGAGTGGGCTTTGTGGCAGAGAAGCCCTCCCAGAGCTCCTTACCACCATTCTGTAGGGCAGCTTTTACCACCCGCCATGAACGATGGACCAGGCTCCTGGGGTTAAATAACCTGCCCAGGATCACATAGCTCACACAGAGAATACACAGCTCCCACAGCTCAGTCCTTCCATATAACTTTAAAACTCTCTGGACACAAGTCCATCTTCCCCTGGGCAGTTACAGAGAAGCTGCATTTTCTAGGATTCGATTCAGCCTCACGTCGGAGTTACCTCATTGCTGCCTAGCCTTTGCATTCTCATGTTCCAGCTCATCGGTGATTGTTTGTTCTTGGTGCTGAACTTGACAGGAGATGAAGAAAAACACACAGCCAAGGTCAGAGAGCAGCAAACTCTCTCCTCCATTCAGTCTGTTTTCATGTTTAAACTGCACCGATTAAAGAAAATCATCTGGACGTTTTGTCCAAGCACTTGGCCGGGCTGGTGAGGGTCATCCCTGAGCTCCGTCCTCCCATGTCTGTAAGCCTTTGCTTACCCACATCCAATCTCACTGATCCCAGGATGAAGACAGAAGAGAGAAAAGGGATTCTGACATTAGCCATCACCATTAGGGTTTTTCAACATCTGACCATTAGGCAAGGTGAAAAAGAAGAAAAGCTGTTTTTCTGGGCACTTTGGGCCTGAAGAACTTCAGCTACTTAAATCAGAAGCAGAGGCTTTGTTGTTTTGGTTTTGTCTCTGTCATTTAGAGGGCTCAACCTGTGTCATGAAATGCAGCACTCTTACCTTTGTATTTTGCAGTTAAGTTGTGAGAAAAGCCCTCAAGTGGCCGAGAAGGTTGCTTGAAAGACGCACGCACCTGGGTGTCTCCAGTCATACTCACACAGGAAGGAGTGAGCAATGAGGGTTAAAACCATCCCCAGACGGGACCACCCCCATGTCTCTTTGCCTCCCCATCCCCTGTGTTGGTTTCCCATGGCTGCTGAAACACATTATCTGAGACTTCGTGGCTTAAAACTGCAGACATTTATTATCTTATAGTCTTGGAGTCTGATGTGAGTGAGTCTCACTGTGCTAAAATCAAGGTGTTGGCAGGGCTACCTTCCTTTCTGGAGGCCATTTCTTACCTTTTCTGGCTTCTAGCAGCTGCCTGCCTTTTCCTGGGCTTACAGCCCCTTTCTCCATCTTTGAAGACAGCAATGTTGGATCTCTGCATGCCTTTCTTCCGCAGTCACATCTCCCTTGGACCGACACTCCTTTCTCTTCCATTTTTAAGGACTCTTGTGATTACGTCGGGCCCATACGCATAATCCAGGATAATAAAGCCAACCAATTAACTTCAATTCCATCTCCAAGCTGATTCCCTGTGCCATGTAGCCTAATGTATTCACAGGTCCAGGGATTAGGACATGGACATATTGTTTGCCTCCTGTCCCTCATGCCCCGACTCACCAGGGCTGGTACCCAGCCTATCCAAGACACACTCATTTTCCCTGAACATATATGTGCCAAACATAAACAACAACAAAAAGTTGCGTGGACTCCAGATAGGTAGTTCCTAGAATGAACCAGGTTCTGCAATCCGGAACCCAACAGAGCCTCTGCTGCTGGGTTTCATGAGGTTCTCAGTGTATTCTCACATCACCCTCTGTTTACTTAAGCCAGCTTGAGTGGGCTTTGCTGCAGAGATGGCATGTATGATGAGTTTCCTGCCTATTTCAGAATCAGGATTGACTAAAATGTTTACTTACTTTCATTCAGCGAACCAAACAACACCAGAGTTTAAGGAGCTCAGGTTGCCACATTGCCCTTATTGCAGGGAGACGGCGTCTTTTGCCTGTAGTCATTCTCACAGTTCCTGCTTGTGTCTCACCCAGAACCCTGCCTTTACTGACCACAAATTGTCCCCAAATGCATTCGAGAAATTTCTCCAATCCTATATCTAAATTTATGGTTCACTAAAGGGGAATGTGCACATCGCATATGAAATATTTGAAATGCTTATTAATTAACATATCACAGCCTGTGCAAATAACACATTACATTCCTTGCTATTTCTTCAATGACATTTGGAGTATTGGTGGACAGAGCTACAAATATTTTTGTCTGGTCTCGCGGAGACATTCTATCATGGTTTAAGTACGATGGATGATTTACACAATAAAACCACAAAACCAGTAAGGAAATGAATAGGCTGACACACATGTGGGCACTCGTAGCATATTGAGAAATTTAGCAAAGTGATTCATGGTTAAGAGTTTGAAATCAAACTGCCTGGGTTCAAATTGTAGCTCTTCCACCTACTAGCTGTGTGCCTTAAGCAAGTTTGCTTACCTTTCTGTGCTTCATATTTCTCCTCTGCAGAATGAAGATAACAATACCACCTAAGTCATGGGCTTCTTATAAAAGTGAAATTAACTAATACATGTAAAGTGCTTAGAACCATGTGTGACACATAGTAATTACTCAAGGAATGTCAATTCTTGTTGGTGTTATCATTAACATCATTACTATGTGGTAGACACAGGAGGCTCACTTGGTTCAGGTCCCCTGTCCTCCTGGAGCCTACAGGAGGAAAAAGACAGATAAGTAGGTAGGGAGGAAGTAGCCAAGGGAGGAAAGAACAAGTGCACAGAAATTGAAATGGGGATCAGGGAAGGTTTCTTAGAAGAGGCAGAATTTAAGCTGAGGCTGACGGGATACAAAGAACTTAGCCAGTGTAGCTAGAGCCAGAGGTGGAGGTGGGAGTGTTGTAGGAGTTGGGCACAAGGTCTGGAGGCCTCAGTAGGATGCTACCTGTGAGTTCCTACTGTGAGTACCAGTGTTGGGTGTTGTCAGGGCCTCCTGGGCCCACGGGAGCTCCTGTGGGGGCAGTTGCCACCTATTTCTCCCTTCCTCATCGGGTCTTCCCTGTATTCTTTGTCCACCTTTTTTTCTTTCCCTTCTTTGTTCCTAAAGCCTTGGCCCTGACAGCAATCTCAGGGGGGACAGGTTAATGGCCTCTAGTCTAGATACAGTCCCTTGGGGGTAGGAGGTGTGCACGGGCTAGATTGTCATCCTTCTGGTCTGGGGACTCTATGATCCCAGATCTTAAACACCAGACTCATCTTTCTCTGCGATATCGTTTCCAGTAGAGCAGTTCTGAACCATCAGTCACATGGAGGCTGTGCTGGTCTCTCTCCCATGCATCCAGCATCCTGGCACCACTTGTCCCAGAACATGAATAAAAACTAACTTATGTGAGTCCTGAAACTCTGGCCTCAGCTTGCAAGAAGAGGGTGTGTTAGAGAATTTTAGGAGCATTATAGACAGCACTAGCCTTTCTCTGGTCATCCTGACAAAGACCTCAACTCTCCTGCTTTTTTGTTTCTGCTCTAGGTTTGATCTGGCTTTGGCCATTCACTTGGGTAGGGGCTGTCTGGAGTGCTGGAAGCACATGGGCTAGAATCTTGTCCGTTGTATAAGTTGAACAAATCTTAGCAGGCTTAGTGTCAACTCTCAGAGCACTCCTTTTTCTCATTTGGAAAACGGGAAAATAATACTGCCTTCACACAATGGGATGAATCCAAAGCCCCGTGGCCAGCGCCCAGCATAGTCAGTGGTGGTGGTCTGCATCTCGTCATGTCCTCCAGGCTCTGTACATCTCATCTGCCCTCCCTTCTCACCCTCTCTTCTCTTACCCACTAGCAGAGCCCTTGCAGCTAAGCTGAGCTACACTTTTCCTGCTTTCTGATTAGGTGGCAGCTGTCTGATCTTTAACTGGAACAATCTTGCTTATAGAATCTTTGTAAATTAGAAAACAACCAAGCAGTGCATAGCAGAACATTGAGCCACAGGACCTTGAGCCAAAGATCTCTGTGTCTTCGGTCGAGCAATATGACTGTTCGGTCTCTAAATTTGTGATAGGACCTAAGAGGACTTTTGTGAAGACTAAAGTGAGCTGGTATGAAAGCTTCATGTACAGTGTATTGTTATTTTATCATTACACATGTTATATATCATTACATACAATGATAATGTATTTTATCATTAATAACTACTGGCTGGTTTCTAGATGTTGCAGAGGAAGATGATTAAGTGTCCTCACTGCTGCTTCACTCCCAGGAGCACAGCTGTGATCGTGAAACAACTCTGTCATCAATCGGCATCCTCAGATCTGTGCTGTCCATGGTGGTAGCCACCAGCCATATGTGGCTGTAAAATTTAATTATATTAAAATTCTGCTTCCTCAGTCATACCAGCCACTACATGGCCCATAGGTACAAATGGCTAGTGGGTACTCTATTGCTCAGTACAAATATGGAACACTTCCATTATCACAGAGCATTCTATTGGACAGCTTTGGACCAAAGTATAAGTCCCCTCCCCTCATCTCTTTGAAGAGTTCCAGGAATGCCTGCAGTAAATTTTGGGGATGCTACAGAGCCCACAAAGTATATATTTTAGGTTAGATCATCCCAAATACATCCTTCAAATTTACTATAAATAAAAAGATAAACATCGTTGCTTTGAAAACTGTTGTTAGAATGATGAAGGCAGGGGCCGGGGGCAGTGGCTCATGCCTGTAATCCCAACACTTTGGGAGGCTGAGTCGGGCAGATCACCTGAGGTCAGGAGTTTGAGACCAGCCTGGCCAACATGGCAAAACCCCGTTTCTACTAAAAATACAAAAATTAGCTAGACATGGTGCATGCCTGTAATCCCAGCTACTCAGGAGGCTGAGACATGAGAATTGCTTGAACCGGTGAGGCAGAAGTTGCAGTGAGCTGAGATTACACCACTGCCCTCTAGCCTGGATGACTGAGCGAGGCTCTATCTTAAAAAAACAATTATAGGTGTACGTGTATATATATAATAAAAATAAAAAATAAATTTAGAAAAGAATGACAGAGGCTATTGACCTAAAGGAATGCTCATTACTTCTTACATATATGCCCTTTTTGAGACACCAGCAGGAATTTGGCACAGGGAGATAGTGTTATAGAAAATTATTCAATTTAAAGCAGAGATCATCTGGAAACCAGAACATGACATTTTTGGCTGAAAGGGTGGGGAGTCTTGGGGGTGGAAGGGGGTGGGAATGGAGTCAACCAGCAACCCAGAAGCGCGCTTGGGGAAGACGGTAATTGGCCAGCTCTTACAGAAGTTATCAAAGAGAACATGAGATTTGCTGTAGCCTCTCTGCATAAGTCTAGGACCCCAAGAGGAGTTGGAGAATTACTGTGTGTCACCACGGGGTGTCCTTCAGGAGGAAAGGGCAGGCCTCAAGTCAGATGCCAGATGCTATAACCATCATTATCTGCAGAGGAAAATTGGGTCTGAAATGTCCCCCTGGGGAGCATGCTCCCTCCTCGTCTTCTGGCTAGACGTTCCTCCTGCAGGGAGGCGAGGCTGAGGACTGGGACAAAAATATTGCAGTTCAGTGCTGTTTCCCACTAGAAAGGTCATGGGTGCAAAACAATGAGTCCAATTTAAGTTTGCTGGTCTTTAAGTATATATATTGTTATTATCATTATTATTGTATTGCCATAGATTGTACTGGTAGTATAGATTGCTTAAAAGAAAATGAACTTTGATAATCTTCTGTAATGACAATAATACCTACCTAATACTACTAATAATAATTAATTATAAGGGTTAATTGAGGGATGTATAATAAGCTCAGGCACTGAGTATGGCATGAACTGAACACATATAAAAATGTTAGCTTGAATAATAAACACTATGCATATTTATTAGAAGTAAATATTAATGTCTTTTAGCAATCTTCATAATTAATTTTAATGTTTTGTTAATAAATTACCAATAATTCAATTTTCTAATAAAATATTCATATTAATAATAAAACAATAATGTGATTAAATACGAGTTAAATATTAGTAGTATTTTGTTATTCCATAAATGTCTATGAGGTGTTACTTGCTGTCAGACTGTGTTCTAAGCCCTGGGGTAACAGGTGCATGAGACAACGCCCTGATCTCAGGAAGCTTATGCTTGAGCAAGGGGAAACTGCCTAGTAAAAGAATTACAGATAGTGATACATGCTAATGAGAGTAACTAAGGGGGTGGGGGGGTGCCACAGGCTATTTCCTTAGTGGAAGCAGGGAAGGCTTCTCTGAGGAGGGGACATTTACATGGCCCTCTATGATGAGAAGGAGCCATGAGATGTTGTGAGGTGATTTCAATGCTTTGGACGATAAGCATCAGAAAACTCTAGATTCAAATAATTTAAATGATAATAACATTTACTGTTTCACATTACAAGAAGTCCCAAGGTAGGAAGGTTCTAGGGTTGTCTAACTCGGGTCCCATCCACAGCACGAGGACGCAGTTTCTTCCATCTTTCTGCCTGCCCGTCTGCAGGGCACCCTGCAGCCTGTAGCCGGGCCTCAGCCTGGCTTCCCTCATGGCTGTCAATAGTTGCCAACATCCCATCTGAAACAACATCCAGAGGAAGAAGGGAGAATTTCCAGAAGTGTCCAGCACATTGACTCTCGCATCTCACTGGTCAGAACCGGGCCAAACACCCACCTTTAAAATCACAAGCAAGAGAATAGAATCACCATGATTGGCAAGCTTTTTCTGTAGATTGTTAAATAGGAAATATTTTAGACTTCACAGGTCAAGAGGCAAGATTGAAGGTATTATGTAGGTACTTAAATAATAAGAGAGAAAATAGATTTCCACAAAGTTTTTATTGATGAAATTCAAAATAGAATAGTTGAATATAATTTTTTTAAATGCGGGCCTATTAAGAAGAAGAATGAGTTTCTTTTGGAGGGAATAGCATTTTTTTAATCAGGAAAATAAAATTTTGCCTAATTGGAGGTAAAAGTGTTCTAACATTTTATCTTTTTTTTTTTTTTTTTTTTTTGAGACAAAGTCTTACTCCGTCGCACATGCTGGAGTCCAGTGGCATGATCTTGGCTCACTGCAACGTCTGCCTCCTGGGTTCAAGTGATTCTTATGCCTCAGCCGCCTGAGTAGCTGGGATTACAGGTGCATGCCACCACACCTGGCTAATTTTTGTATTTTTAGTAGAGATGGTCTCTCACCATGTTGGCAAGGCTGGTCTTGAACTCCTGTCTTGAACTCCTGACTTTAGATGATCTGCCCCTCTCAGCCTCCCAAAGTACTGGGATTACTGACAAGAGCCACTGTGTCCAGCCCTAACTTTTTATCTAACTGGGGGGTCAAAGTTATTTTCCTATCATTAAAAATAGATTGCAACTGTTCATATATTAATGCTGATCTATGATGAGATTTTACGTTTCATTTTTGAAAATGTATTTACACAGAAAGATACATGTGGCACCACTACTCATTTCTACTGTTGCAGTGTGAAAGCAGCCAGAGGCAAAAAGTAAATAAATAGGCATAATTGTCTTCCAATAAAGCTTTATTTATGGACACTAAAATTTGCAATTCATATCGTTTTCATGCACAAAATATTATTCTTTTGGATTTTAAAAAATGCATTTAAAAATGTAATATGCCAGGTTTGTCCCTAGGGCCATAGTTTGCAGACTCCTGCTCTAGACTAATCAGGATTTCCCCTGAGTCATGAGAAGAAACTTTGCCTGTAAGGATCAGGCTGGAAAAAGCATGTGAGTAAGCATGCAACAGTGTCTACTTCAAGGGAAAAGAAGTCTCCAGGCTGAGGGAACAGCCAGCGCAAAGATCCCGAGGCAGTGATAAGCCTAGAAAGTATGATCCTTAGCCATGAGCCGGGAGGAGGAGGAGCCGAGAGGCCCGAGATAAGGGTGGGGATCAGGTGCTAACTTCCAGAATGTGGTGTGAGGAGCACCATAGACCCTCTCCCTGGCAAAATAGTAATAACTGGTGAAGATTATTGTAAAGAACAAAAACCAACCACTGAAATCCTCTGAAAATTGTCCTAAGGATACGCAGCAAATAAGGAGGTATTTGAGAAAAATCTATTAAATCCTGGTAAGAACAATAAGAGTCTGTGGCACTTAAGCCAGTACCTACTCTCCCCTTCTTTCCCCCCGATCCCCCTCAGCTCTGTATTGCAGGGACTACCTTCTAGGCAAATATTGCCAAGATGCCCCGGCTCCCTTCCTCCACCCATCCCCCACTCATAGCACAGAGATGCTACTTCAAGTGTGGCAGCCTGAGAATACTGGGGCCTGATTACCTTTCACCCAGCTTGCTTATGGGGAGAAGTTCCATGCCAGGAGAGAAGTTTCATGCCCAAAAGACCAGACGCCACCACCCCAGTCCAATGCCCTTCTCATAAAGCCGACGTGCTGCTCCGGAAGAAGTGGACCACTGTCTCTGCCCCCAGCTCTGGGCAAAGGACTCAGAAAGTTTGCCCAAGAGGAGAGGCAGGTCATAAGGAAAGAGCTCAGGAGTTCTCTGCAGATGAACTAACTTTATTTGAAAAAGAATGTGTGGGTGTTAAAGCTAAGAATGTTATATTTCCTAGGGTTACAATAACAAATTACCACAACTTTGGCTTAAAGGAGCATAGGTTTATTCTCACTGGCTTCTTGATATGGTTTGGCTCCGCGTTCACACCCAAATCTCATCTTGAATTGCAGTTCCCTAATCCCCATGTGTCATGGGAAGGACCCGGTAGGAGGTAATTGAATCATGGGGGCAGTTACCTCCATGCTGTTCTCATGATAGTGAGTGAGTTCTCATGAGATCCGAGGGTTTTATAAGGGGCTTTTCCCCCTTTTACTCAGCACTTCTCCTTCCTGCCATGATGTGAAGAAGGACATGTTTGCTTCCCTTTCAGCCACAATTGTAAGTTTCCTGAGCCCTCCCCAGCTATATACAACTGTGAGTCAATTGAACCTCTTTCCTTTATAAATTACCTAGTCTCAGGCAGTCCTTTATAGCAGCATGAGAAGGGACGAATACACTTCTGGAGGCCAGAGGTCTGAAATCAAGGTGTCAGCAGGGTGTGCTCCTTGGAGGCTCTGAGGGAGAATCTGTTCCTGGCCACTTCTAGCTTCCAGTGGCTGCTCAGAATTTCTTGGCATTGCTTGGCTTGTGGCCCTGTCACTCCAGTCTCTGCCCCAATTTTCATATGTTCTCTGTGTGTCTGTGGCTAATCACTCTCTGCCTGTCTTTCTTTGTGGTGTGAATCTCTTCTACTTTATCCTACTTAGAGTTCCTTGAGTATCTTGTATGAATAAATTCATGTTTTTCATCAATCTGGAGAATTTTTCAGCCATTATTCTTCAAACATTCTTTCTTCCCCTTTATCTGTTCCCCTCTGAGACTTCCAATATGCATCTGTATAGATAAATCAGACTTCATAAAAATTAAAAATATTTATGCTCAAAGGATATTATTATATCAAGAAACTAAAAAGACAGCCCACAGAATGGAAGAGACATTTTTAAATCATATATCTGGTAAAGAATGTGTATCTAGAATATATAAAGAACTTTTACTACTTAATGATAACAAGATAAATAATTCAATTTAAATATGGGCAAAAGATCTGATTAGATGTTTATCCAAGGAAGATGATTTACAAATGGCCAATTAGAACATTAAAAAATGCTCAATATCATTAGGTATTGGAAATAGAAATCAAAGCCATGGCATTTCACACCAAATAGGATGGTTATAACCAAAAAGCAAAATGAAGGTGAGAACGTGAAGAAATCGTAACCCTCCTACACTGTTGATGGGAGTATAAAATGGTGCAGCCACTTTGGAAAAACAGCCTGAATGTTCTTCAAAAAGTTAAACATAGAGTTACCATATGACCCAGCAATTTCCCTTCTAGGTTTACACTACAGAGAAATGAAAACATGTCCACACAAAAACTTGTTCACAAACGTTTCTAGCAGCATTGTTAATAATTGCCAACAGGGGGAAACAACCCAAATGTCCATCAGCTTGTGTATGGAGAGACAAAACATGGTGTATCCATACCATGGAATATTATGAAGTATTGATATGTATTAAAACATGGCTGAAACTTGAAAACATGACACTAACTGAAAGAAGCCAGTCACAAAAAACTAATGTATAATTCAATTTATATGAAATGTCTGCAATAGGCAAGTCTATAGAGACAGAAAGTAGATTAGTCAAGGGCTGTGAGATTTGAGGAAATGAGGAGTGCATGCCGATAGGTGCAGGGTTTCTTTTAGGGTGACAGAAATGTATTAAAATTAATTGTGATGGTGATTCCATAACTCTGCGTACATACTAAAACCAATTGAATTGAATGCTTTAAATGGGTAAATTGGATAACATGTGAATTGTATCTCAATAAGGCTGTTGTTATTAAAAAAAAACAAAAAACTGGGCATGGTGGCTCACGCCTGTAATCCCAGCACTTTGGGAGGCCAAAGCAGGAGGATCACCTGAGGTCGGGAGTTTGAGACCAGCCTGGCCAACGTAATGAAACCCTGTCTCTACTAAAAATACAAAATTAGCCGGGTGTGGTGATGCATACCTGTAATCCCAGTTACTTGGGAGCTGAAGCAAGAGAATCACTTGAGCCTGGGAGGTGGAGGTTTCAGTGAGCTGAGACTGCGCCACTGCCTGGGCAACAAGAGTGAAACTCCGTCTTAAAAAAAGCAAAAACCAAAAAAGATGAGACTGGAAAACTCATCAGAGAAGGGCCAGCCAGGTCCTCAGGGGAGTGTGGTTTTACTTTAGGTAGAGCGAAAGACATCAGGTAGAGCGAAAGACATTAGAGTATCCATAACTTCAGCCAGCCTGACCTCTGCCATTTGCTTTTTTGTCTAACCTTGATCATGGAAGAGAAAACCTTCTGCTCTCATCAGAGCTATTCCCCAAGTCAGGTTACCCCACAACATAGAGCAGCCTCATCCTTTGCGACTAGATTTCTCTCATAAGCTCCTGTACGTCCTCAAAGAATCCTGGTTCCTCAATAATGGAAGTTAGCAGTTATTCTCAAAATGAGGGAGTGTTTCTAAATGAGAATTTCCTCTGTGTGTGTGTAAATAGTCTCAAACAGCTTTTATATATGAGGTCTGGCAGCTGCCAGCAAGGAAGGAAGCAAACATCTCATTTTGCAGTTAACCTGTCTCATTACGTCATTCGTTGGCAGCCTTTGATGACATTTGTTCTGGGAACTAGACATATGTTTTTGAAAAGGTAAAGACTCTTCCTCCAGATATATTGATGGCAATGAGATCATGACATCAGAAGCTGGGGTTGTAATAGTAAAACCCAGCATCAAAAGTTTAGGCCAAAGGTCAGATGCTCAAAAGCCTTCAGGGCCAGAAATAAAAATAGCATGTAGCTGCTTTCTATCAAGGCAGGAGAGAGCTGTGGTTACTGAGAGGTTGTGGCTCAAATGCATTCAATGAAAACTTTTTAGATAGTATGTTAGTTAAGCCTAACCCAATTGGTAGACCCATTGGCCTCCAACTGGTAAGTCATATGATGGGCTTACTGAATCACTTTTAACCTTGAGACTATTTTTCAGAACACAGAATTCCCCAGGTCTACTCTCCTAGTCAGAGTAAACCTGGGCAGTTTCCTCAGGCAGAGCTCTCTCTATGGATGTTGACTTATTTTGTTTAATTAAAAGTAATAAACCCTCCTGATCCCTAGATTGTCTCTATATGGCAACAGGCAATAAAGATGGTGATGGTCCTGTGTTTACTATGCATCAGGCACTGGGCTAAGCACTTTATATGCTTACTTCTTTTAATGCTCACAAAACAGCTACCACAAGAAACTTGTATTTAACTGATGAGGTAACTGAAAGTCAGAGAAGTTAAGTAACTTGTCTAAAATCACACAGCTCTATAGCTTTCAAAATCCTCCGAAGAAAAATTATTATTTAAGAAAAAGAAAACCTAATCCTTTAGTATCAACTTATTTTGTGGGTTTTAGAATGTGCCCCAAGCATTTGCATGAATTTCAGTTTAAATTTTCAATGTATGCCCATATATATAAACATTATTTTATTTTATTTTATTTTATTTTATTTTATTTTATTTTATTTTATTTTATTTTATTTTAGACAGTATCTTGCTCTGTTGCCCAAGGCTGGAGTGCAGTGGCATGATCTTGGCTCACTGCAACCTCTGTCTCTTGGGTTAAAACAATTCTCCTGCCTCAGCCTCCCGAGTAGCTGGGACTACAGTGATATGCCACCATACCTGGCTAATTTTTGTATTTTTAGTAGAGACAGGGATTCACAATGTTGGCAAGGCTGGTCGTGAACTCCTGGTCTCAAGTGATCCACACGCCTCAGCTTCCCAAAGTGCTGGGATTACAGGCGTGAGCCGCCACACCTGGCCAAACATTTATTGAAATGTGCTTTTAGGCAGGGCACAGTGGCTCACTCTTGTAATCCCAGCACTTTGGGAGGCGGAGGTGGAAGGATCACTTGAGATCAGGAGTTTGAGACCAGCCTGGTCAGCGTAGTGAAGCCCCCGTCTCTACTAAAAATACAAAAAAATTAGCCAGACTTGGTGGCGGGCACCTGTAGTCCCAGCTACTTGGGAGGCTGAGGCAGGAGAATCACTTGAACCCAGGAGACGGAGGCTGCAGTGAGCCAAGATCATGCCACTGCACTCCAGCCTGGGTGACGGAGTGAGATTTCGTCTCAAAACAAAAACAAAAGCAAACACACACACACACACACACACACACACACACACACACACACACACACACAGAAGTGTGCTTTTTAGGATGGTAAGGATAGTAAAACAACCAAAAAACAATGAAAGATGGGGCAGAATAGGAATTCTATCACTAGAACTAAACCAGAATTTTCTAGATGCTGGTCTAAAACAGGGGTTACGAACTATGGCATGTGGCCAAATCCAGCCTGCCACCTGCTTTTGTAAATAAGGTTTTAAGAAAACACCTTAAATGATGTATTATCTATGGCAGCTTTCCCATTACAATGGCAGAGTTGGGAGGTTGTGAGAAAGAATGTATGTTCCCCAAAGCCAAAAATATTTACTACTGGGCCCTTTACAAAAAAAAGTGTATTAACCTTTGATCTATAACAACTCATACTATAAACATAATGCACATATCATTTCCACAAATTCTATAATCTCGCCTGCTGTGTTTCCCCAGGTTTTGGCCATGAAGCAAACCACCAAGGCCTTAATGTAATTCTCATGTTACCCCCTGAAATGGGTAAAGGTCTTCCTCTTTTCTTCTAACCGGGTAGAGTGAACCTGCATTTAGAGGGCCCAACCTGCTTGCCAGGGCACAGAGCCAGAAGGGAAACATGGAATCATAATGATGCCAGTGATCCCCAAACGGCTCACCTTCCCTGGGCTTAAGCTTTAGCACTGTGCTCAGAGCCTTGCAGAAAGCATCTCTGGGAATCCTTGAAACTGCCTTCGGGGTAATTACTGTTATTATTCCCATCTGATAGATGAGAAACTGGGGCCTCAAGGAGGAAATTGCCCAAGATCACACAACCTTCGGCTGACCCCAAAGAGAGTGGTGTTCATGACTATATAATGTCATGGCATCTTGAGCGAGAACTTTGCCTTAGGGCCTTCCTCAGGGAAGTGTTGGGCTAGAAACAACAGGCCTGGCTGCTGTGAAGAAAGGAGTCTCTTGTGGCCACAAAGGAAGAAGAAGGAGGGGTCTGGAGAGCCTCTGGATCCAGGGTTATTTGCTAAGGCTGAAGTCCGAGATCCCTCTTGGACCACTCGTACCTGAATTGCTCCCGGCCTGCTGGGTGCCAGGTGGCATGGAGCTTCCCAGCCTTCACTCAGTTTGTTGACTACCAGGTGAACTCAGTTTCCAACTGCAGGACATCAGAACAAGATTCTGAATGAAAACGTGTTCCCCCAGGTGAGCCATATGCAGACGAATGCTTGGGATGCTGGGTAGATGTTGAAAAAAAGTTTTGCCCGAAGAATACCAAGTAGACACAGGCTGCGTTTCGTGGCCAACGAGAGCAGTCTTGCAACCAGGCCGTCTTTCTGAAAATGGGAATATGGTGAGTGGCCAAACTTTGCTCTCAAAGTAGACAATGGAAGTGTTGGGAAGGAGATAGGAAAGGAAAGGAAGGAGACGGCCAGGTTTCCCTGGTTCTTCCGTCTTTAGCGGTAGCCCACCTAGTATGAGCACTGTTCTTATGTGGTAGGCTAGGTAATTCCACTCCCTTTCCCCCACATCCCCCAAAAGAGATGCCATACCCTAAACCCTGGGACCTAGGACGATGTTACCTACAGGGCAAAGGGCATTTTGCAGCTATGGTTAAGGTTATGGGTCTGAAAGTGGAGGAGATTACCCTGGATTATCTAGGTGGACCCAATCTAATCAGATAAAACCTTGAAGGCAGAAAATCTTCCCTGGCTAAATTTAGAGAGAGGCCATCAGGTAAGGAGAGGCAGGAGAGATTGGGGGCTTGAGAGGGACTCGGCTGTCTGTGGCCGGTTTTCAGAACTAGGGGCCAGGAGCTTAGAAGTGCAGGTGGCCTCTAGCAGCTGGGAATAGGCTGCAGCTGACAGCGAGGAAACAAGGAGTTCAGCCCTAAAATTATAAGGAACTGAATTCTGCCAGCAACGTGAATGAGCAAGGGAACAGGGTCTCCTCTAGAGCCTCCAGAAATGAGTGCAGACAGCCCTGCTAACACGTTGATTTTAGCCTAGTGAGACCTGCGTTGTGCCTCTGCCCTATAGAACTGTGAGATAATATGTTTGTGGTGTTTTTAGCCACTAAGTTTGTAGCCATTTGTTATGATAGCAATAGGTAACGAATACATCTTATGAATGAAAATGTGCTGGTTAGTAGCTGGTTAGAAAGTGGCCTAGGTGGGAGGAATTCTGGGAGGAAGAAGCTGGAAGAGCAGCTTCATTTTGAGCCCCTTGGGAAGAACAGGAATATACAGGTTGTATTATCTAATCTCATGACAGAGTTTTGCCCAGAGAAAACCAAGTAGACACATAATCTTGAGACATGTTCCCTGTTTTCATTTTATCTTGCTTACTCTGTACCTACCCCTAAAACAGGAAACAGAGGACACTCCAAGGGGAGCTTTCCTTGACTTGCTCTCAAAATGTATGTGAAATAGCGGGACGCCTCCCTGACTGTAGAGAATCAGTGCCAGGACCCTAGAGCTTTCTACTTGTGGGCATCAAACTTTTTAGCTACAGTAGTGTCAGACTGGGAATAAGCAGTGGACTGTTTTTGCCCTGTGGTACAATCCAGGCATCTCCATTTCACAAGGTACAGCTCAAGCCACTAAGGGTCTGAGTGCACCATGTGCGCAAACCAGAAATTCTGCAGCAGTGCTGGAGGGAGGGAGTGGAGGCTGTGGGTGACTTGCTTCTGTCTTCAAATTTTTGTTCTCTTCTCCTGTCTAGTCCTCTTGAGTTATTAATTAGAATCATTGCCTTTGTTTCTTCTCTGTACTGTGCTTGTCAGGCAGTGTTCCTTTTCCAAGAAGGGGAATAAATGTATTGTTTAATTTATGAGGATATAATACTATAATAGTATATTCCTTTGCCTGAAATGTATTCTTAAGTATTACCTTGGTCTGTGCTTTAACTGAGTTGGATAGAGACGGCACACTGCAATTGTTAAGGTTAATGACCCAGTGATTTACAAGACAAGGCACATTTACTGGCAAATAGATTTTAGTAATTGTTCCGCTCCACAGTGAGAATAACGGTTTGTGTATTGATTCATCATGTCTTGGAGTTGGGGCTCACTCAGAGAAGACAGAGCCCAGGGTCTTGTGGCAGAGGCTGCCTAGGATCGATGAGATTAGCAGACCCCACAAGCTCAGCTTGCTAAGAGAAATTTTGCTCAGGAAAACCCTCAGGTGCCCTCAGGTGGAGTGAATAATAATTGTAAGACAAAGATGGCTTACAAGTGCTGCAGGTGCCAGAATTAAAAAAAAAAAAAATAAATAAACACACAAACCCCACGAAACTAATACAGGCTTATTTTTTTCCGCTTTTATTGAGATATTATTAGTAAATAAAAATGGTATAATTTATGATGTTTAACGTGATGTTTTGATATACATATACATTGTAAAATTACCACAATCAAGCTAATTAACACATCTATTACCTCTCATAGCTGCCATTTATGTGTGTGTGATTAGAACAGTTGAGATCTCAGCAAATTTCAAATATACAATATGTTATTATTAACTATAGTCGTCAAGCTTATAACTTGTAAATGAAAGTTTATACTTCTTGACCAACATCTCCCCTTTCCTCTCATTCTAGTCCCTAGTAACCACAATTCTACTCTGTTACCATGAGTTCTACTTTTTATTTTATTTTTTTAAGCTTCTACATATGAGTAAGATCAGGCAGTATTTGCCTTTCTGTGCCTGGCTTATTTCACTTAGCATGACGTCCTCCAGGTTCATCCTTGTTGCAAATGTGGCAGGTTTTCCTTCTTTTCAAAGGCTGAATCGTATTCAATTGTGTAAATGTACCATATTTATCCATCATCTGCCAATGGACGCTTAGGTTGTTTCCATATCTTGGCTATTGTGAATAATGCTGCAATGAACATGAGAGCACAAATATCAATATAGGTTTATTTTTGTTCTATGAGAGATGAGCACACTTGATACTCAGAACATTTCCACTGGGGGATTCAGTTCGGCATTTTTAAGGGGAAGGGATAAATAAAACTTGGGGAAAATATCCTCTAGAATGGTTTGATCTCTTTTAAAGAAATATAATTGTGTTCGGACCCAGGATGTAGGTCCAGTTATCAGGTTGATTAAACTTATTTTTCTGATGCCTTGCCTCAGTATGGATTGAGAGCCACAGAATCATCTATGAGAACCTGGCCACTCCAAGCATATGTCAGTAAGTCTGTGCCCTTTTATTTTCTTGTGCTTCTCTAAGACTACGGGCAAGAGGCTGCAATTCTTTTTCAAGGGCGTCTCCAATTACCGCTCATTAACTCTGAGAAAAGCTCAAATAGGGAAGACAAAGAGGATTGGACTGAGGACGCTGGAGAGTGAAGACAAGACACTGAGCTCCCCCACCTCATGCACTGCACAGGGCTTCTAATCTCGGCGACCACATGGGAATGAGGCCCTGCTTCCCTTAGGTCTCTGCTGTCCCCAGGGAAAGTGAGTGAGATGAGTCAAGGCACAAGAACAGCAAGCCTCCTTGTATTGCTTTTCCAAGTATGCTGTTTATATTGTGCATGTGTATATATGTAGATGTGATATATGAATCTGGAGATCTCATCTGATGGGATATGAGAAAAAAGCCCAGTTGTAGAAGACAGACCAGCACTGAGAGATGTCATTATTAAAAGATGAATGAAAGGCAACTTTTCTGGCGGAATGTAATATCACACAAATAGACAACACAGTTTTGTTTTTCTTTTTTAAACTCTTTAAATTGTGAAATATCATACTTTAAAACAAGCATTTACAGTTTATATTTACAGTTTAATTTAGAAAAAAACGTTTACCTATGTAACAAACCTGCACATCCTACACATGTATCCCAGAACTTAAAATCAGATAAATTAATTAAAAAAAATACAAGCACCTGTGGACCCACCACCCAGTTTAAGAACTAGAACATGACCCGTGCGTTCTGTTCCCAGGGATTCTGTTCTGATATCCTTCCCCAGGCATGCTGTCTCCCTCCCTCCCCAGCAAGGAGTACCTCTGAATTTTATGTAGTCATTTTGTTTTAAGAGATACATATCTTTACATAGCTCTAAAATTGTAGAGCTGTGTGTAGCGCCAGTTCATTCTTTTTTAACATTCTGTATAGCTTTTCATCATATAAATATACCACAGTTGGGTTACCCACACTATTGTTGGTGGAAACCAGGGTCATTTCCAGTTTTCAGCAGTGCTGTGCATGTCTTGTGTCATACATGTACAAGAGTTCTCTCAGGTAGATATCTAGGATTGAGCTTGCCAGCTCACAGTTTGTATATATGTTCAGTTTTTACTGCCCAATGCCAAATTGTTTCCTGAAGTGGTTGTACCGATTTTTACTCCCACCAGCAGTGAGTGAGAGTTCCCACTGCTTCATACTCTTGCCAATATTGGATATTGTTGGATTTATTATGGTTTACTAACTGATGGTACAAAGGATATTTTATTACAATGTTAGTTTGCAAATAAATTGGTCATAAGCTTGAACACCTTCTCGTGTTGGATATATATGTTTCTTTTTCTGTAGAAAGCCTTTCTATGAACTTTTTCCTTTTTTCTTATATTGTGTTTTATTCTTTGTTATTCACTAATAGGAGCTCTTCACATATTCTAGATCCTTGCTGTCCAACAGAAATATAACGCAAGCCACATATAATTTAAAATTTCCTAGTAGCTACATTAAAGAAGTAAAAATAAACTAATAAAACTGGTTTTAATAATTCATTATTTTATGTCACTAAACTTTATCCAAATGTACCTAAAATTATCAATATAAAATTATTAATGAAGTCTTTGAAATTTAATGTGTATGTTATACTCATGGCAGATCTTATTCTGTGCCAGTCACATTTCAGTTGCTCACCAGCCACATGACGACTGTATTGATCAATACATGTCTAGAGGCTTCTCCTTTGACAATTAGATTTTCTTCTAAATTGTAGCTTATGCTCTCACTTTTTTGTGGCTTCTTTTTATGTGCAGGAGTGCTTCACTTGAACATAGCCCCATTTGATTAATCTTTCTTAGTGCTTTTTTGCATTGTGCTTAAAACCTTCTCTACACTGAGGTGATGAAAGTGTTGTCTTTTGTCCAGAAGTTTGAAAGTTTTGTCTTTTATGCTTACAGTCTTGATCCATATGGACTTGAACTTTGGGTTTCGTTTGAGGAAATTTCAACTATCTATATGGATAACACACTGCTGAACTGCTCCTTCTTGGTCCACAGCTCTGCACGTAGCCCTGTCGTGAGTCAGGTTTCCACGACAGGCACGGGTGTGTTTTCAGACTCTGTCTTCTGTTCCATTTGTCTCTTTGTTTGCCTCTTTCCAAATACCACACTGTCTTCATTATTATAGCTTTAAAATAAGCCCTGTTACCTGCTGAGGCAAGTCTCCTGGCTTGTTTCTCTCTTGGAGTTTCTTGGTATATTTCAGCCTTTGCTTTCAGATATAAATTTTAAAATCAGTTTGTCAGGGTCTGTGAAAATCCTTTTGTGGCCGTTCTATTCTGTTAGATGAGCTGTGTGAACTCAAATAAGTCACTTTGCCTCTTGGGCCTATCTTTTCATCTGTAAAATGACAGTTTCATTTTGATAGGAGTGAGTGTTTCATTATTAAATGATGTAATGCATGTAAAGTTCCCAGCACAGTGCCTGGCACCCAGGAAATAGTCAACAAGTAAAGGAGTGGTTTTATTGCTGTTAAAGCTGAGATGTGGGGGCCTGTTGTGGAGAGTGCTAGAATCTCAAAAGACAGGCTGGTTTTTAGTTGTACAGAACTGCAGTCTAGGAACTGTAGACTTATTATCACCTTTGTCTTCACATTTTAGTGCAGGCTTTTGTGATTAATATTAACAATGCACGTGTATAGAACTTTATACCTCAAAATATTTTCACTCATTTGATCATATTTGGACTGCTAAGGAGCATTGAGAAGCAAGTAAGCATGCACGTATTTGGAAATACCTGACAAGCTTCAGCCAAGCCTTGGAAGCTATATTAGGACAATGGGGTAAGAGGTTATAAGGATCAGACAACCACTCAGCTGCCTAGATGCCATCCATCTGCCAAGACAATTTGAAGGTGGAAGGGAGGGTAGGATTGCCAGAGAAAAACAGGACATTCATCTAAATTTGGATCTCCAATAAACAGTCATTTTTTAGGATAAATATGTCCCACATATTGCAGGTATACTTACACTGTGACATTCATTTCTCTGAAATTCAGATTTAACTGGGCATCTGTGTTTTCACTGGACACCTAAATCTGGCAGAAGGTATTGCTGTTACTTCTTCAAATTGGAACTGTGCTCCAGAGTCTTAATGCATAAATTGCCCTGAGATCTCATGCAGTCCAGCTCCTTCTTTTAGCAAATGTGGAAATTGAGATCCAGAGGCTGAGTGGTTACGTGTGGAATCGGATGATTCCTGATTCTGCATTCCTTTTTATGCTTCTGAACGTGCAAAAATACACAGCCACCTTTTCATTGTCTTCTTTATCTTGGAGAGGTAGGGACGTCTACCACATTGACCACAACTCTTCATTGAGCCTTGGTTATGGGCAGTTTACATGGCAGGCCCTAGCCACCAGGCAAGTATCTGGTCACTCAGGGGATTAGCTAGGTCTCAAATTCTCAGGGTTCTGGAAGTATCATTCTGGACTGTAGCTGAAGGCCATGAGGCCACATAGCCAGGCTTTAGCACCTCCATTGAAATGCAGCCTTGTCAGAGCCGTCAGCTCCTGTGCTGATAGGGAACAATCACAGAGAAGCAGGCAAAAGCACAAAACTCTTCAGATGAAAAAGAATAAAAAATGATGAAGGGGAAGGAAAGAGTAACTGATGAGAAAAGATACTGCCACTTCTGACAACTGGAGGGGCTGAAGGGCCTAAATGCAGGGAAAAAGAGGGGTTCCACTGGGAGAGGCAAGTGGTACAACAAGATTTCATATCAGAATATTTTTTCTAAAATGAGGACTCTTAGACTGAGAAAGGACTCCCATGGGCCTCTTAGATTGATGAAGAGTCCCGTTGCTGGAGTCATTTTAAACCAGAACTGAACAAAGTGATTGAAAATAAACTGCAGGGAACACTTGCTTGGATATCTTCTGGGACAGACTTGATCATCTGATCAGTTTCTTCCTTCCCTCAATGCCTGTGAATCACTGGTTCATTTGAAAACATGATAGTTAAAACTCTCGTGGAACCAGAACTTGAGCATTTAATTGAAAGTAATTTTCATACAAGTGAGGCATGGTCTAGAAATTCATTTGTTGTGTGTGTATGTAATTTTTTTTTAAGTCCGAGATAAGGCGAGCAACTAGTTTCAGAATCCTTACTGGGCCAAAGCTTTGTTTCAATCTTGTTATGCTCTTACTATTTCTAACCTCTAGTTGCAAATTATTTTTATGTGACACTTATGTCCATTTGACTTCATTTTTCTAACTAAATAGCTTTTCAGGAAATAGATCTCCTGACTTATTTCAGAGCTCTAAATAAATATCCAGAGTATCTGTGTACTATAAAAACATTATAAAAACTCCTCTATGGTGCTGATCCAAGGCATGAAAATTGCCCTCCTGGTGTTCTATGCCAAGCCTGGTTGACCTTCCCAATTTTTCTGCTACAAATCTGAAAAACAAGCTCAGCTGTCTGGAGAAACATCAGGCATAGGCATACATTAGATAAATGTTTGTGTTTTCCTTTCATCACGGACGACCTCGTAGGAGATGAATGACATAAACACTCTACCTGTTAGTAGACTTGGATTGCTGTCACATTATTTCCTGCATCAGTTCTAATACTCCTGGAAATAGATGTTTTTAAAGGCAATTTGGGCAGCAGTTATTATCTTTTGCTTTGCATCTTGCTTACCCTCCATGCAATGACTGACTAAATATTGTTGATTTTACTCTTTCTCCCGTAATCCTCTCCCCTGCATCCCCACCTCTCTAGCCCCACTGGCACTGCCTACGGCCTCCCTACCTCCCATCTCCCTGCTGTCTATTGTATATGCTGCAGCTACGTTTAGCTTCCCAGAGCAGAGCCTTGATCCTATCGCTCTCCTGCTCAAAACCTGTCCATAGCTCCCTGTTTTCTATGAGGCTTTCCCAAACATTAGTCATACCACCTCCATTATCTTTGCTATTTTCCCTTTCCATCTGTGCTGTGGTTTACTTCATATTTATCTTTAAATAGGCTCACTTAAAAAAAAATCTTAAATGTATTCTAAAGGGAAACTTTATCTCTAAGTAAATGGAAAACCAGTACCATCTATCATAATAGAAACTATAAAAATAAATGCAATGAAAACAAAAGTATTATCTTCCAGCAAGATAGTGTTGCCTGAGGCTCAAAGCCTGAAGCCTGATTTCTCTGTGTTTACAAAGGTGGGTGATGATTCAGTGACTGTTTGTCCCTCCAGATCTATTTTTCTCTCTTCTTCTTGTTGTCTGCCCAGGAGGCTGAGCCCGAGGACAGGTCAGTGAGTTCCCTTACTTTCTGGTTTCCAGCTGGCCTCAGCCTATGGCAGCCCAGCAGAGTCTAGGAAGGAGGGAACGATGGGTCCAGGGCTTTGTTCCCTGCCTCTCTCCCTGCAGGGTCACCACAGCCTGGCAGTATCCCCTGACAAAAGATTGCTGCCCATTTTAACATGGCTTGTTCTTAAACCCTCCCCTTGTCCCTTCAAGCCTGGAAATGGTGACAGCTCTCCCTTTACAAGCCCTGGGTCAGTGTGTTGCCCTTGTGGTTCCCCTGTACCCATACTTAGCTGATTGTCCCTTTATGACACCCACTTGGATTATCCTGCTTTGATAGGTCATACCTCTCCTGTGGAGACCCTGACTAGTATAATTATCATGGATTAGTTGTTATAGATAGACCCACATCAACTGAGACTTTCTCCTTGGCTTCATCAAAGATTGAAGGGGAATTGATAGGTAGGCGGTCTCTGTACCACCTTGCACCATGCATGTACACCAGTGAGTAACACGTGTGTTCCCCAATCTGGAGAATATCTTTCTATGGAATAAACCCCACCATTCTTTGTGTAGGATTCAAGCTGGACTGGAGTGCCACTCAACTTTCCCATCCTATTTCCTTCCACACACTCTTGCTTACCGACAAATAACCATGCTATTTCCTGTTCTTGCCCCGTAATTTCCCAACTTTCGTCTGTATTTAGACCATTTATTCTGCTTAGAAAGAATACCTCCTCCATCTCCTCATTAAATCTGGTCACGGTTCTGATGTTGCCTTCTCCCTGAAGCCAACACTAATATGCTTGGCACTCTTAATATTGTCTTGACCTCCCCCAAACTCTGGGTATCATTCCCTCCATGTCTCCCATGGGGTGCAGGGTGGCAGAGGGTCAGACTTGCCCAGGCCCCTGGCTGAGCCTCACCTTGGAACCTTGCACATAGACCTTTGGCCTCTTTCTTTTTGAGATGGAGTCTTGCTCTGTTGCCAGGAGTGCAATGGCACAATCTTGGGTCACTGCAACTACAGCCTCCTGGGTTTGAGTGATTCCCCTGCCTCAGCCTCCCAAGTAGCTGGGACTACAGGTGCGTGCCACCACACCTGGCTAATTTTCTTGTATTTTTAGTAGAGACGAGGTTTCACCACGGTGGCCAGGATGGTCTCGATCTCCTGACCTTGTGATCCGCCCCCCTTGGCCTCCCAAAGTGCTGGGATTACAGGCATGAGCCACTGTGCCCAGTGACCTTTGGCCTCTTTAATCCATCTCTGACACCCCATGGCCCTTACTCTGTGGAGGTCATCCTGTTCTAGCTTGTTTTATAATCGTGACTTTTCTCTTGGATTATACCAAAGCCCCACGCATTCATTTATTCATTTAACACATAATGATTAAACCTACAAAGTACTGGGTGCATGCTAGGTGCTGAATAGATAGTGATACACGAAATAACCTGATTCCTAGGCCCAGGGAGCTTACTACCTGAAGAAAACTATAGAAACCCTTTGAGACTACACCCTTTTCAAGAGAGGTATGAGCTCGAGAGTCCCCATCAATAATTTACTTGCACACACACATAATTGTATAGCAGCCACTGGTTTACAGTTTGTGATGAAAGTGCCCTAGTTGTTAAGAACATCCTTCCCTGGGAGATGGCCTCCGTGAGGGGCAGTAGAGGAGAATGGTTAAAAGGCAAGTCAGGCTGTACTCACAGCTCTGATCATTCACTTTCAGCAAACACAGCACTTCTGAGCCTTAATTTCCTTAGCTGTAAAATGGGTTTGTTCTCTCCATATACTTTTCTCAGAGGTTTGTGAGGAGTCAAAATACTGCCTACAAAGGTTTGTAATGGTGCCCATCACAAAATAAGTGCTCAGTATGTATCAGTGGTGGTTGTGAGGGGAGTGGCTATCAGCTTATGGAAGTCTAGACATTGGATCTCTAAATACAGGCAAGATTCGTATTTGCTTGGGACCATCTAGGTTCAACTCACACGGAAAATCTTCCAGGTGCCAGGGCTGTGATTGTAAACAAGCTGGAAGGAAAATACACAGTAAACACACCAGAGGAGGAGCTGTGGAAGGAGCTGGAAGGGGTTCCGAGCAAACAGGGACTGCCACAGCCTGAGGACAAGTCCACCCCAGAAACTCATATGTACGCTCTACTAAGATTCTGTTCTTGAAACATTTTCTTGTCTAGAAACACAGAGGATTATGTAGGTTCTCAACAGATGTTTACTGCATTGAGTCCATTGTGTGTGCATAACACCACAGACCCAATTTAGGGATGGTGGTTGTTGTAAGCTTTATTAAAAATAGGCTATCATTCCTGCCTTAAGACAATTTCCAGCAGGCACATTAATGTGACTCATCTTTTTATCTTGATCAAAGGCAGGTAATTTATAACCCAGGGGACATTGTAGAAGTAACTACTATTTTTAAAATTACCAGAGGGCAGAAAAGTATTAGTTGGTGGGATTGCTTTGGGTCTTTCATCTTGGGTGACTAGATATACCTTCATTTCAAGGGGAGGAGGGTGGAGAGGACAAGAAGAGTCCCTATTCTGGCTTTCCAGAAAGAGCCTGTCTTCATGGAAGCCCATGGCTATACTTTGTGCTGCCCCTTTGTAAGAGGGAGAGACTGAATTTCCTCAATAAAAATCACAGCTGCCTCTTTAAACATCTACTTTGTGTGAGCAGAATTGAACAGATAGTATATGACTTATTAGCTCTTTCTGACAAGAACCATCTGATGTAGGTACAGTTTTCCCCTTTAACACCCTAAGACCCTGAGGCCTAGAGAGTTCAAGTTCTTTGCCCAAGGTCACCCAACGGATGAATAGTGCAGGTGGAATCCAGATCCAGGTCTACTTGCCACCCAAGCTCACTTTTTATGCTATCTCACCTGCCTCTCCAGACACTTCTATGGAAGGTATTTGGTTAGGTTGATTTGACATTGTAAGTATCTAATCACATATTCCCTGGAATTCTCTATTCACTGCCACTTAGAACAATGACTATTATTCTCAAGATACTTGAGGCCCCCTGCTGTACCCTAAAGAGTCCTATAAAACATTAACAAGCAATCAATGAGAAAATTTGCATGTTTCAGTACAAGAAAGGGCTCTGAATCTCTTGTCATCACTCTGCTGTATCTCAGCACTGTCCATGTTTGTTTTTATATTTGTTCGTCTGTTCACCAACCACCTCTCCAACTAGACGGTAAACTCCATGAGGCAGGAACCAAAACTGTGGTGTTCACCTGTCTATACTGGGTGTGCCTAGCAATAAACATTTTCTGAATAAATAAATTCTCTCTGAATGGGTAATCCCCACGTAATGCGCATGGTTTAAGTCTATTTACCAGAATTTTTGAGCAAATAGTTCTATCCTTTTTGACACATTTTCCACAGTTTGTATAATTTATTCATAGAATCCTTCTTAGACTACTAATAAATTCCTATGGGACATAGTCCTTTTATATGCGGAGGAATCCACCACCATGAAATGTTCACAAGAAATGACTTTTAAAATTTTATTTGTGGCCATGCTGATTATGAATTTCTGAATTATGTCTGGGCTGCTCTTTTTCTCGGAATATGCAAAGTGGGATACTGGCATCTCTGTATCTGGAGAGTTACAGCTTCTGAGTTAAAAGATGAATGGGAAGTAGCAGGAGAGGGAGAGATCAGAAATCTCCACTCCCTGAAACACAGACACTTCACATACCCAGGAGGTAAATTCCTGGCATGAATTGTAACAAGTATACACAGGCATTTGTACATTGTTTGCTTATGTGCTAGATGACATGGCAGTCTATGAACAGGGGCCCCACATCTGCAGGCAGGACATTCAGCCCTGTATCTTGCCACTACCATGAAATCTGAGGTTCTTTCATTTTTGTTTTTCTATTCTGATGAGATTGAGGTACACTGACTCACTGGTAAAGAAGACAATTTATTTGTGAACTTGTAGTCACTCCATTTGACGGCCTCCCTCTACTCACTGAGGCACAGCACGTGTGGAACAGGAAAAAGGCCTCTGGAGAGCTTGTGTTCCACTGGTTTCTTTGACTTTTGCCAACCAACTTTGCAAATGTTCTCAAAAGGCATTCATTACCTCTGCAGGTGTGAAATAACTCTGCAGTTCAAGGGTTTGTGAAATCACGTGAAACAGCTGAAAGCTGTTCTGGCAAAGCGACCAGAGTCAGAGTTAGCTGTCACCAAGCCACATCCTGGCTTAAACGATGTTATTTATATCTAACTGCACTCGACTCCTCCCAAAGCCTTCTGTTGAGCACCAAAACCTCACCACAGTTTCACTCTTAGCCTTTCTTTTGTGTGAAGACAAAAAAGGTTGCTTTTATAAATCTCTGTTTGAGCCCAGATGGAGTGCATTTCATGCAGGAAAATGTTGCTTATAGTGAAGTGGATGAAATAATTGCTGGGATTTCTGGGCATGCTCCACAAACCCAGAAGACTGGAGGTGAACGGGCAGGGAGAAGAGATTCCGTTGCTTTCTCATTCCTTTATTTGTGACTCTCCCTGGAAAGAGGAAAATGTAGGCATATGTAGATCAATGTGTCATTACAAAGGCTCAGTGTTCTTAGTCATAAAATGGGAGGAAGAACAGTACCCACTTCCCAGAATTGGTGAGGACCCCTGAACGGGTGCATGCCAGCTTCTCGCACAGCCCTACCAGGTAATGAGCTCCACTGTGTAGCCATCACTACTCAGAGTTAATCCGTGAAAGAGTGTGTGGGAGGAGGATAGGCCTTAGATTCCAAAGGGTGGAAATCAGTGGAAAGAGGCAGGATCTGATCATGCCTAGACCAGATGCTTCCAAGCCAGGCAGGCAATAGATGGTTAAAAGCCAAAATGCCTGCCCCTTTGGTGAAGGTTCTCATTGGTCTAAGGCATCCTGGCCAACTGACACATGATATCATGTAACGTGTTTTCCTGGGGCCCAGAAGCTTCTATGTGCAGCTTCTTTAAAGACCAAAACTGCAAGACTTTGAGTTTTGATATCTCAATATGATTTTGAAAAAATCATGGTAAAATATATATAACATAAAATTTACCATTTCTAAGTGTACAGTTCAGGGGTGTTAAGTATGTTTGCATTGTTGTGTACCCAACCACCTGAACTCTTCATCATGTAAAACTAAAGCTCTGTATCCATTACGTAAGTCCTTATTTCCCCTGGTTGCCAGGGAGCCCCTGACAACCACATCAGTTTGCTTTTTGATGACCTTATTATTTGTTTTATATATTTTTGTGATTTGTGTTTGTGGGAGTTTTTAAACAGGGGTGGGGTGGAGGTAGATCTAGAACTTATGTATTTTAGTGACCTAAATATGAAATCTTTCTAGAGTGGCAAATAGAGATATTTATTTCTCATGTCTGCCCTGGAAATAGAATTAATTTGCCATTTCAGAAATGAACCACACTGCTTTTGTCAGACTTTTCAACCTCATTCCCACATTGGAAGGCTATATGGCTTGCTGGTGAGATAACAGCCATGGTTCGGCTGAATCACTGCATTAATGATTCTAAAATATTCCCATCTAATCCCCTGTAGCTGAAGAGGATAAACACATACTGGCAAGGACTTGACAGTATGGGGACTAGCAATAGGCAGTTTGTCAAATGCAAAAATGGTTTGGAAGGGTCAAGGTTTAGCTAAAAAAAAATTCGGGCAAACTTTTCATTTATCCATGTTTCCTTTAATATTTATATTAAAATTGTTTAGTTACCCTTCAAACACATAAAACTTGTAAGTAAAATGGAGTCTGTAAGACGATCTATATTGTCCACATTTTCACTGACTCCCAGTATACCAATATAAAATATAACATATTTGAAATCTTAAATTATTAATCACCTTTTTACCCATGTTCAGATTAACTGGGTAATCTAAAAATAGGAGGGAGTACCTTATGTGCAATTTTTGGGGAAGTTCAGGAGCATGCTCTTGAAGAATTGCTGATAAAGTGTGTAATTGTCCCATGACCACCATCACATCCCAGGGGAGAGCCTTATGTTTGGTTAATAAAAGAAGGCAGGATCTGGTCTCTTTTTAAAAAGACTCCAGCCTTAATTATGATTCATTTATTTAAAGATAGCCCCTGCCACCTAGTCTTATCTTGGCTCTGAAAATAAACAAATATCACATGCTTCCAACAGGAAAAGGTTTGAATGACCTTTATAAGGCAATTTACCTTTGACTAGATAAGAAGAGATGTGCATTGTACTTTCCAACCACAGAGGTAAATTTCCAGCCCTCCTCCAGTGTACAGGATGAAGTAACACTAATTCTACCTAAGATAACATTCTTCATTGAACACATATATACAGATGTCCTACTATATATTAGGTGCTAGGACTATAGCACTATCAACAAACTATTCTATCAAGGCCTTGGTCTGATAAGATTCACATTCTTGGGTGGGAAAAATATGGCAAAAAAGTGAATACATAAAATAATTTTAAAGACTGATATGTGCAACAAAGAAAATATATCCCAAGGGTATGACTGAGTTTGCCTGCTTTAATTGGGTGGTCAAGGATAGCCTTTCTGAGGCGGTGACATTTAAATGATCTTTACAACAAGAAGAAGCCATCATGTGAATATGAGGGAGAAAAGATTTCTAGACAGAGGGAACTACTCATGCAAAGGCCTTGAAATAGAACCAGCTTGTTTTGTTGTTTTGTTTTGAGAAGCCAAGAGAGTGGCAATACAGTTAAATCTTGAAGAGGAAGGGCTTGTGAACTCAGGGCAGAAGAGAGATAGACAGAGGCCGGAACATGTGGGATCCCAAGGCAAAAAGTTTGGCATTCATACCAACAGCAATGGGAAACCCTTAACGGAGTTTGAGCAAGAGAGGCATGATGTGAAGTCTTTGAGATGACCATACTGCTAGCTCTGTAAAAACAGACTTCGGGAGTCATTTGGAAGACTCTTACACTTGTCCAGGTGTAAGAAATCCTGGCTTAGACTAAGGTGGCCACAGTGAGAAGGGAAGGAAATGGCAGAGCTCAGGATTTAACAGTAGAACTATGATGGTTAATTTCATGTTAACTTGGGTGGGCCACAGTGCCAAGATATTTGGCCATCCATTATCTGAGATGATTCTGTGAAAGTGGTTTTTTGGATGAGATTTATTTTTAAATGGGTAGGCTTTAAGCAAAGTAGATTATCCTCCATAACGTGGGTGGGTGTCATCCAATCAGTTGGTTTCCTTATTAGAGCAAAAACTGACCGACCTCCTCTGAGCAAAAAGAAATTCTGCCAGCAAACTGCCTTTGGATTTGAGCTACAACTCTATCCTGGGGCTCCAGCCTGCTGGCCTAACCTGCCTTGCACCTTTAGAATTGCATGAACCAATTAATTAAATTATCTCTCTCTCGTTCTCTTTCTCCTCTCCCTGTCCCATCTCCCCCTGCCCCTCTGTATGCACATACATCCTGTTGGTTCTGTTTCTCTGGAGAACCTTGGGATTCACTGATGGATCAGAAAGAGAGGAATCAAGTAATGCCCAGGGCACTGTCCAGTAGAAACAGAATACAAGCGATATATATATATGTATAAAAAGAACTTTAAGTCTTTTTAGCAGCCACATTAAAAACTGTACAAATAAACAGGTAAAGTTTTTATAACATACAGTATTTTACTACACCAATATATCTAAAAATGTTATTTCAGTATATAATCCATAGGAAAATTATTCCTAAGACTTTTACATTCTTTTTATCATACTAAGTCTTTGAAACTCAGTGTATATTTTACACTTAAAGCCTTTCTCAATTCAGGCCAGCCCCATTCTGAAGCGCTCACTAGCCAATGTTTTGGGCGGTACAGGTCTGGTTGGCCTCCTAGCTGAGCATACAAGAACCTAGCAGGTGTTCTGACCAGGCTTGAACCCTTTTATGCAGCAGTTTCCCTCTGAACAGGCAGGAAGGCTGTTCTTTTTGTCTCAAAAGGCAGAACTGTGAAAACTGCTATTCTCCCTTTGGTGACCTCCATATAAAAAGTTTCATGACTGTCTGTGAAGCCGGTGGGCCCATAGCTATGACTCTGCCCTTACAAGGGCTAGGCTTCCTCACTCAGAAGGTCATTCAGAAGATGAGGTCTTGGAGTCTCTTTCATCTATGTCTTCTCTGGAGTCTCGGTGTTTGTGAGACATCTCTTGCCCCAGAGCCGGTAGCGGGCAACCAGTATCAATATAAAAAGAAACACAAGTAGACTATGTTTTTAAGCCAAACGAAGGCAAATGACTCCATAGGATTTTGTAAACAGAGAGTTGGTTTGAACATGCCAAACTCACTAGAACAGACAAGTAGTAGGCATTCACAGTGCGAGTGGCTATTTCATTTAACAAAACATCATGTTTCATTAATTAATGTTAATTACATTGGTTTGGTAGGTTTGCTAATTTCTAATTTGTGTTCTTTGTGATGATATAACAGCAGATAATATCATTATATTTTTATATTATCTAGGTCTCTGTAAAATTAGCTGACATTGGGAGTCCATGAGACAGTTCTTCCTTTTAAAGGGGGTCTTTAAATGTACCCACTCAACTAACTTTACCAACGGTTCAAAGTGGAAAATAGTTCCCAGAAGCTGAATGGGTAGATGCCCATTGTACCACCTACCATTGCTTGACCCCCGCCCATGAGCTGTTCCTTCATACTCATAACTAAAATGCCAAATGTGTGACTTGAGTAATTAACTAGAGACCTCCAGAAGGCTTTCCTTCTTATTCTGGGTACATTGATATTTACTTTAGTATTTGTTTTGCCTTTAAAGTCATGTTCCCTTTTGATTCTTTAATATCATATCCAAAACGAAGTCCTTTTAACCTATAACAATGCAAATCAAAAGTGCTGTCTTTCAGCTACCTCAAGGATTTAGCAAGCGTTCCTGGAAATCTAACCAACCTTTTAAAAAGTATTTCTATGGGAATGTATTTCTGAGCCCTAAATTATGGATTTTGAAACTAAAATAGAAGAATACTGTAAGTGCAAAACTTCCAGTAGATAACAGAATTTGCAAAATCTCTAATCTCTTGTATGTGCCCCAAGTAGTACTCTCTATAGGCCATTGGAACAGAACATCTGGCTTAAAATAATCTCAGCACCAAAAACGGTCTAACTATGGTCTCCACAACATAACCCGATGGTTCTCATATTTTAGATGCTTGATGCACAAGTTGAACTGGCTAACAATTCAGACTTCAGGACTTGACTCCCCTGGGAATCTGCAGTTGTTTCCCTCCCCTTGAGTGAGACTGACTGTTGGGAGTAGAATAACCGCATGCTCTGGGTCAGAATGCCTGGCCCTTCAGAGTAACGGCAGCCATGATCGCTGAGCTCCTACTGTGAGGCACATACTTCGCCACACTAACACATGGAATCCTTGCAAGCTCCTTACATAATCAGTATTTTATGCACTTTGCAAATGAGAATACTAAGGCTCAGAAGAGGCAAGCTCCTCTCCCACTGTTAAACAGCTAGTGATGAACAGAGCTGGGACCTAAACTTGTCTGATTTCCCACACTGCTGCTCCATCAGATTGTTTGCCAGGTTAAGGATTCATGCCAGGACCTTAAATCCCTCTGAATCGACAGAGCTAACCTAAAGGGCACCTTGATTTCAGGTTTTGTTCCCAAACCTATGACTGTGGCCTGGCCACGTAATGAAGACCCGGTTGGTTCTAGCTTCACAATGAGCTCATTGGCATTGTCCCCACAACCACCACCCCCTCTCCACCTCTGATCATCCACTATCATTTCTATATGGCCTTTGCCAGGCTTGTCCTCATATCAAAGCTTCTGCCCTCTATGTTTAAATGCATAAGCTTGACAAATGTTTTCATTTGAGAAGGCAAGCTGCCTCCCCGTGCTTGGTCTAATGTGAGCTTGGTAGAGTGACACTGCTGGATTCAGTTTTAGTCATCAACACTTCCAGCTGATGCTGATCTGAGTAATTGTCCTATTTAGACTCTGACAGGTGAAAGTCATAGATTCAGGAAACGGAGACTCCCCTCACCCTGCTATGAAGGGGAGTTTGAGAGGGTTGGGCAGCTCTTCCCGGCAGTGGCAGGCAGTGTGGGGACACACGTATGGATAAATTGTTAATGCTCTTGAAATTACCCCTATTAGATGAGACCTAAAGAAGCCTAACTAGGCATCACTCTAGTGCTGCTAGGAATCATGTTATCTGGTCTGCTGGCAACTCACATTGAATAATAAGTGGATGTGTCTCAAGATGCCTATCTGTAAATAAGATGAACATCCAACCATGAATATAAGCCATAAAGATCTAGAGGCAAATTTACAAAATACACTCATCTAAAATTAAGCCAATGACAGGGAGGTATCTTTGAGAAGTGTCCCATGTTGTGATGGTTAACTTTGTATGTCAAGTTGACTGGGCCACAGGGTGCCCAGATTAAACATTATTTCTAGGTGTGTCTGTGAGGATGTTTCCAGATAAGATTAGCATTTGAATTGGTAGACTCAATAAAATAGATGATCTTCCCCAATATGGGTGGGCATCATCCAGTCCGCTGGGGGCCTGAATAGAACAAACGGCAGAGGAAAGGGAGAAATTCACTCCTTTTTTTCTACCTCATTGCTTGAGTGTCTCATCTCATCTTCCCTTATCCTCAGACTGGGATTTATACCATTGGCTGCCATGGCTCTCTAGTGTGTGGACTTGGACTGAATTACATCACCAGCTTTCCTGAGTCTCAAGGTTGCAGACAATAGTTTCTGGGACTTCTCAGCCTCCATGGTATACATCAATTCTTCATAATAAATCTCCATATGTATCTCTCTAGAACGATCTATAAGCCTATGTTAGTTATATCTGTATATCTCTGTCTGTACCTCTATCCTATTGGCTGTGTTCTCTGGAGAAGCCTGATGCACGTGTGTTATCAATCCCTGCCCTGTGAATAGAATCTGCAGGTGGCTGATATGTTTGCATGGCCATCTTTTTATCTAGTAATGATCAATCTGAGTAACAGTGAAGATCTGCTGGGGAAAGAGATGGGGGAGGAGGGGAGACAGGTAAATTAGTGGTATATTTGTTGTGATTCAGGTGTTATAATAATGCAGCATTCAACTTATTGCTCTAATTGTATTTAAACTGAGATAAGACCAAACCTCAACCATGTGGCATTTTCTCACATTCATAGGTTTAATGTTAACTTCAAAAAGTAAAAGTGGTATACCATGTAACTTCAAGCAATGCTCCCAACCATAGCCAAGAACTGCAGATTCTTGGCTATGAATAATAATTCACAATAATACTATGACTTTCAGAGTATTTGACTGAAGAACCTAGGGATTTATGACAGCATATTTTTCTCCATTCTCAACAGTAAGCTGTTTGCTCAATTATTGAACACCTTCACAAGAGAAATCAAACCTCCTGAGTTTCAGATAAATCTAGTTACTCTTCACGTTAGACACATGAACCTCTTCCACTTGATTTGATTCTTCCTTTTCTGCATCAGTTATTCAGTTCCTCTGCTGAAATTCCCTTTATCATATGACTCACTTACTATTGTCCCTCTTATTTTCTAATAATCTGTTGCAATTCATCAGCGCCTTTTCCTTTTTTTTTTTTTTTTAACTTTTATGTTAAGTTGAGGGGTACAAGTGCAGGTTTGTTACACAGGTAAACTCTTGTCGGGGGGATTTGTTGTATAGATTATTTCAGCACCCAGGTATTAAGCCTAGTTCTCATTAGTTATTTTTCCTAATCCTCTCCCTCCTCCCACTCTCCACCCTCCAAAAAGCCCCAGTGTCTGTTGTTCCCCACTATATGTCTATGTGCTTTCATCATCCAGCTCCCACTTTTAAGTGAGAACATGCGGTATTTGGTTTTCTGTTCCTGTGTTAGTTTGCTAAGGATAATGGCCTCCAGCTCAATGGGCCATGAAACTAGGCCGGTGTTATAAACCATACTTTCCCAGGAGTTCTTATTGAGGAGAAAGAGACATGACTTACTGCGTGCACAGTGACACAGGGGAGTCTGTGCTGAGTGCTCTCATTGAGGAACAACAGGCAACAGAGTGTCTGAAGTTATAGGAGAAACATCTCAATCCACCAGCCTCCATGCATTTTCCTCAATTTTTATTTATATTAATAACTGCAACTTACTCCTTGCTGGGAAAGTGACAGTAGTCTTGCATCTTCTCTCATCAAGCCTACCCCAATCACCTTAATCCTTGCTATTCAATATGTAGTCTGAGGATCTGCAAAAACATTATCACTTGATAACCTGTTAGAAATGCAGAATCTCAGGCCTCATTCCAGAGCTATTAATGCGGAACCTGACTTTAATAATCACCAGGTGACCCATAATCCTGTTAAATTTTGAGAAGTGCTCCTCTGGAGAACTTGCATCGATGGCAGAAGGTTGCAATTAACTGAAGAGCAAAAATTCACACTTACCTATGTCCTGAGACTATTCCATGAGTTTATTAAATGAGTGGACTAGACAGTGTTACCCTAGGAGGTCACTACTAATTCCTCACTAGCTGAGTGACATAGTATTCATGGGAGCCAGGTGAGTAACAGTGCAGTTGGTATGAGGTGGAAGGGTCCATTCGATTACTTCTTAGAATGAAAATAGAGGCCAATCCTCCTCTGTGGACGTAGAGAAAAAGGGCTAGCTGATCCAAAGGCGGATAGTAGATGTGCCTAATACTGCTATTTCTTGGACATAGCAGAAAACACATAGTTTTGCTACTGTTGACTAAGAGTGTCCTACCTTAATCATTGGTTATATAGGCAAGCAGTTAATCTGGGTATGGTTTTCTTTCTTAAATAAGATATCTTTCTCCTCTCCACTCTTACTCCTTGAAACTCACATACACTTTTTGACCACTACCACGTGCTATGTGCTGGTGACATAAATGCAAAAGATGTGGCCCAGCCCTATAGCACTTCTACCAATGCAGTAAATATTTCAGTTTACAACTTTATCAAGTACAATATGAAAATGAAGGCTGCTGTGGGCTTATGTCTCCGTCTTTGCAGCATTCCTTCCTTTTCCTGTTTCTCCCTCATTCTATATGATGCTGATGGGACCACCATTATGTGGTCTCACTCACTCCATGGCAGAAGGAGGCACAGGACCCAGGCTGGTAGGTTTGAACCCAATCCTCTTGGACAGAGTGATTGATCTAGGGATGGACATGATACCTAAGCAGAGACAATCCACATCTTTATCAAAGAGTGATATGGACTCTGAGGGAGTGTGTGTATTAGTCCATTCTCACACTGCTAAAAAGAAATACCTAGGCAATACCATTCAGGCCATAGGCATGGGCAAGGACTTCATGACTAAAACACCAAAAGTAATGGCAACAAAAGCCAAAATTGACAAATCGGATCTAATTAAACTAAAGAGCTTCTGCACAGCAAAAGAAACTACCATCAGAGTGAACAGGCAACCTACAGAATGGGAGAAAATTTTTACAATCTACCCATCTGACAAAGGGCTAATATCCAGAATCTACAAATAACTCAAACAAATTTACAAGAAAAAAATCAACCCCATCAAAAAGTGGGCGAAGGGTATGAACAGACACTTCTCAAAAGAAGACATCTATGCAGCCAACAGACACATGAAAAAACGATCATCATCACTGGCCATCAGAGAAATGCAAATCAAAACCGCAATGAGATACCATCTCACACCAGTTAGAATGGCGATCATTAAAAAGTCAGGAAACAACAGGTGCTGGAGAGGATGTAGAGAAATAGGAACGCTTTTACACTGTTGGTGGGACTGTAAACTAGTTCAACCATTGTGGAAGACAGTGTGGCAACTCCTCAAGGATCTAGAATTAGAAATACCATTTGACCCAGCCATCCCATTACTGGGTATATACCCAAAGGATTATAAATCATGCTGCTATAAAGACACATGCACATGTTTGTTTATTGTAGCACTATTCACAATAGCAAAGACTTGGAACCAAGCCAAATGTCCAACAATGATAGACTGGATTAAGAGAATGTGGCACATATACACCATGGAATACTATGCAGCCATAAAAAAGGATGAGTTCATGTCCTTTGTAGGGACATGGATGAAGCTGGAAACCATCATTCTCAGCAAACTATTGCAAGGACAGAAAACCAAACACTGCATGTTCTCACTCATAGGTGGGAATTGAACAATGAGAACACTTGGACACAGGGTGGGGAACATGACACACTGGGGCCTGTCATGGGGTTGGGGGAGTGGGGAGGGTTAGCATAATGAGATATATCTAATGTAAATGACGAGTTAATGGGTACAGCACACCAACATGGCACATGTATACATAGGTAACAAACCTGCACATTGTGCACATGTACCATAGAACTTAAAGTATAATAATAAAGAATATCTGAGACTGGGTAACTTATAAAGAAAAGAGGTTTAATTAGCTCATGGTTCTGCAGGCTGTACAGGAAGCGTAGCAGCTTCTGCTTTTAGGGAGGCCTCAGAAAACTTACAATCATGACAGAAGGCAAAGGGGGGAAGCAAGCACATTTTCACATGGCCAGAGCAGGAGGAAGAATCAGTAGGGGAGGCATTACACACTTTTAAACAACTAGTTCTTGACTTAACTCGCTCTCACCATGATAGCATAAGGTGGATGGTGTTAAACCATGAGAAATTGCCCCCATGATCCAATTGTCTCCCATCAGGCCCCACCTCCAACATTGGGGTTATAATTCAACATGAGATTTGGGTGGGGACACAGATCCAAACTGTATCAGTGAGCATCATGTTTTATCTCTTGGGATCAAAAGCCTAGAAGGCCATGCAAGTCTACAGCTGTTGTATCTGTGTTTCCTGCCATGTAAAGATAACCTTGCTGAATTTGAAGTCAAGTAGAAGGAAGCAGAACTAAGAGAGGGGATACAGAACTCTACACCTGAAGATCCCACCTCCCATTCCCACATCTGAGTCAATAGATTGCTATTTTTGCTTTGCTTTGTTTTTTGTTTATGTTTTGCTAAATTAGAGTTAGGTTTCTGTCACGGGCCACTGATGAATGGAGGCCCCACTGAAAATGTGGGAATCCATGAATCTGGAAGGACATGATGGTGCCCATCTAAACATGCCAGACAAGGAAGATGGGTGCTGGCAGGGGCAGGCATGGTGGGGCAATCTGTGTGCCTCTGACTGAACTCTGGGCATTTCTTCCTGGGAACCAACTGATGGAAAGACCATGGGGCATGGAGTGAGAGAAATAAAAGTTCATTCTCAACTCAGTCATTTTCTTGGTGTATGGCCTTGAGTAGTTACTGCACATTTATGGAACACCTACCTCATGCATCATTGGGAGGACTCAATTAAATCATGTAAGGCCCCATGCACTTCTAATATATACAGCATCTAAATGTTTACTTCCTAATTTATTCCATAAAGGATTGAAGCTTTTAATATAAAAACATACTTTACAAAATGATTAAGAAATATAGACACTTAAAGATGATCATGGGCTGGAAATATATAAATTAGAGGAAAAGTTTATGATGGGGGGAGGAATAACACTAACAAGGCAAGATCTCAGGATCTGTGATATTGTTAACTGTTTCAAGCTTGGTTTTGAGCCTTCCGGAAGCCAAAGGGAAAAGGGGGGAAATATTCATATACTTCTCAATGTCAAAATGAAATAAACATACTCTTTTTTTCCAAAGAAGTACAGAAATATATAATAAATTGCAAATGTAGCCTTCAAACAGGAGAGTCACTGGTGGTATAATAGACAACATCTTTCTACAAATACAACAGTAACAATGGGTGTCTGATTTCTTTAATCATCCTTTGATGTAAACCAAATATGTAGTTTTAATGCCCATCTTAGAAAAGCAGAGTCTATGAACCCAAATAGATGGGTAGATGGAATTTGAAAGCTCTAGAATAGGCAGAGAAGCTTCTCAAAGGCTACCCCCGATTATCCGTAATAGCTGAAGAGAATGAAAGTATACTGCTGTTGGGGCTTAGCAAACGATATCCCCAAATGAAGGCTTCGGCAGAAGCCTCAGAGGCAAACGTTTTTCTCTGCCCTCCTGTCTCACAGACTTATTCTCCCCACAAGGCTAGCCATAGAAACTAGACTCTGTCCTCCCCATCATGAGCCACAGAAACCCAAGCCCCTTTTCACTAAAGCCAGCCATAAAAAACTAAAAATACTACTCTAATTTTCCCTCTAATTTTGTACAGCTTTTCTGTACAAAAGCTGGCCATAAATCATCTGCCCCACCTTGTTTGACTGTAGGTCACAAGGCCCCTATTCCAGAGAGGGTCCTGCCCCACACCCAGAAGGAAGGAATGCTGCTCAGAAAGACCAAGAAGAATCTAGACAGACAGCCTTGCTGGGTTTCCCCACTCAGCCTATTAGCATTAGATCATAGCCTTTTCCTCCAATCATATTTCCACACATACTGTCCATAATTTGTTGAACCTAAACATAAAATGGACAATTTTCTCTGTTTCTTTGGGTCTTTATTCTGAAGGACCCTGTGTATACACATTAAATAAATGTGTATGCCTATTCTTGTATTAATCTGCCTTTTGAGTTGATTTTTCAGTGAACCTTCAGAGGGCCAAGTTTCCTTTGGCCCCTACACTGCTTAAACCTCATTGAATCCTGTGTTGTAATTCAAAACAAATGGCAATTTTCCACTACTTTATCTACTGGGTCTTCCCCTAAATCTTCTGGTTAGACTGAGGTTTAAGAAGATATTTCATGTTTGTCCTGAGGGTCTGCACACCGCTGGGATACTGTCACCTATCTCTAGGTGCTTCCCTAGTTGAAGATTCTCTCATATTCTACATATCAGACTCCCCCCAGGTCCCTCCTTGCAGGCTACTTAAGGAAACCTCATATGATCATTAACGAAGACCCACGGGAATGTTAAAAAGTTTGGTGTAAATTCTTTGGGGTTTTAAAATGGCACCTTTATGTCTGTGCCTTTAAAGATCCTGGAGGATTTAATTCCTTGGGGAATTCCAGTGAATTGTTCTGACTTGTACCAACTGTCTCAGACGCAAAGATGTGCAGACTCCTGTGCGGAGGCTCAGCTCTGCCTGTAGACACCATTGTTACACACACAGAAAATCAGCTCCAGGGTTGTCTCTCGCTTCAGAAAAATGGCACACTCCATTTGTTATCAGATGCCTCTGACTTCAGTGATTTGAAAGGGAACTCTTGTGTTGTCCGGAAAATTAACTATCTCAGCTACACTTTCTTCCTGCAGAAGAACACTTCTTATGGAATTACGTGATTATTTTGATACCGCTTGGCTTTGAAAGAAGAGTTAAAGTAGAAAGTCAGCATAACCCATCTAGGCATGGAGAGAGGGGAAGTGGCATAGCTGAAGAACCTACAGAAAAATGAGAAAAAAAAGAGAAAAGATTAATAACTATGATCGGGGCAAAACTATCAACACAGGAGTGGGTTTTGTTTGGTTTGTTGTTTTTTTGTTTTTGTTTTTTGTTTTTTTTTTACCATTCCCCAGCCCTATTAAACAAACCCCAGAAACTTTTATTCTTGGTGGCCCAATTTTCCTTCTCTCAACTAAGTCCAGTTGTTATTTGTTTTTTGCTGATCCATTATGTAGGCCAAGCTTGTCCAACCCGCAGCCCACGTGCTCCAAGTGACCCAAGATGGCTTTGAAGGTGGCCCAACACAAATTCATAAATATTTTAAAAACATTATTGAGGCAGGAGAATAGGGTCTGGAGACAGAGAACTTAAGGCCAATTTGTGCTGACTTCCTAAAAGAGAAACATCAAGGTCTGGGGGCAGGAAACCTAAGGCCTATTAACACCAACTTCCTAAAGCTGAACCTAAAGGAAAAACTCCATCTCCCCGGCAGAATAGCAAAGGATCAAAGGCTACTTTCCTTACAGCCCTCTCACTCTACCATGTCTCAGATGGAAAGGGAGAGTGCCTTGGGTTCGCAGGGCCAAGCAGAGACCATCCCTTTATCTGCATAGGGCACCAATTCACCTCAGCCTTTAATTAGCCACATACCAAATCCTTCATCGGGATAGCTGATAAGAACCTCAAATGGGATAAAGTCCAGAAAACTTTGTAACTGGGCCCTTAAGCCGCTTGCTGGGGCCCATTCCCACCCTGTGGAGTGCTTTCTCACTTTCATAAATTCCCGCTTTTGCTGCTTCGTTCCTGCATATCATTCCTCTCTACTTTGTGTGTGGTGTTCAATACTTTGTTCAAAATGCCAAGGACCTGGACAACTTGTAGTCAAGACACTTCACCAGTAATATGAGATTTTGGGGGACTTTTTTATTTTAGCTCATCAGCTATCGTTAGTGTTAATGTATTTTATGTGTGGCCCAAGACAGTTCTTCCAATGTGGCCCAGGGAAGCCAAAAGATTGGACACCCTTGATGTAGACTTTTGTGATGCAGAAGTTGGGAACTGAATGTGTGTGCAATACAGAAACACATGTGTATAGGTATATATCCACCTATATGTATACATGCCTGGTATATACAAGTGTGTCAGCACATATGTGTAATACATATGTGTGTTTCCATGTAGATCTTGGTGTGTCTGTTTCTCAGGATCATGTGGCCTAGAGATTGGAGAACATTTCCATGGAAAGATAAGAAAGGGATTTGGGGAGGTTCTGGAGTAATTGTGGAGTTTATAAATTAGAGAGACTGAATCACATGTGGCCCTGCACTATATTCAGTTTACAAAAACATGAGTTAACCTTCCCTCGTCCTCCAACATCTATCCCCTTCCCAAGCATGCTGCCTTCGTTTTACTTCATTAGTTCATATGATTGGTGGGTGGGACATCAGGGAATGGGAAAATTTCTTTTTAGAACCCAAACAAGTTGAAGTTGATTTCCTAAAAACAAATTTCTGGCTGGGCGTGGTGGCTCACACCTGTAATCCCAGCACTTTGGGAGGCTGAGATGGGCAGATCATCTAAGGTCAGGGGTTCAAGACCAACCTGGCCAATGTGGTGAAACTACGTCTCTGCTAAAAATACAAAAAAATAGCTGGGTGTAGTGGCATGCACTTGTAATCCCAGCTACTCGAAAGGCTGAGGCGGGATAATCGTTTGAACCTGGGAGGCAGAGGTTACAGTGAGCTGAGATCACACCACGGCACTCCAGCCTGGGTGACAGAGCAAAGCTCCGTTACAAACAAAACCGAATTTCTTTATTGGCATTCCCAAAGATGCAACCAAGAAGAGACACTATTAGACTATTAGAGAGAGACAGGAAAATGAAGCAGCTTATCCAATAGCTCCCTGCTTATGGGGATTCATGAGAATATTTTCCTTCCATTTCCTATCCCCATTTCAAAGGAAGGGGCCAAAGAGAATGGGCTTAGAGACTAAACATTTGTGTTGGAAGTAAGCATGAAGATTCTAGATTAGGAAATCATTTTGCATGTGTCGTCATTTGCATGGGTTTTCCTTTTGGCTTTGTTCCTGATTTGAATGTAGTCTGTAAAAGGAGCGATATGCCTTTTTTCGTATGTGTGTACATGCATCATTTACTCAGTATCTCAATCCTGGTATTTCATCAGGAGTGGGATGTCAAGTAAATTATATTTTATCCCTAGGATGACAATGACTGCTTTCTAATAGCAGGTCTGTGACCTGGTCCTAGACCTGAACACTGAGAATTTTGTTGAGTCATTAAAACTAGATTTTATAGATCTTCAAGAATTATTTATGAAAGAACTTGATAGATTAGAAATTGTGGTGCCTTTTTGTTTATGTAGACAGTTTGAAATCTGTAGAAAATTGCAATGGATTGATTCTATCTTTAGCCTTTCCTTAAAAAGAATCTATACATTATAAGTTTTGTATTTCCTTAAGTGGAAGTTTGCTTTGAAGGGACACAATATAAATATTTAACTAAATGGAAAATAAAAATATTGAAGGAGTTTTTTCTTTATGTCAGAGAAAGAAAAAAGACTATGTGTGCCTATATGCAATCCCAATTAACTGCCTTTGGAGAACTGTTTCTCTAAATATTTCAGGCAGGAACAGTCTATAACAGCAGGAAGAAGAAACTCAATTGAGGGGTTCATGGCACTATCTAAAATGGGTGAGAAATCATTCTGTCAAACGAGAGAGGTTTGAAATTAAACAAGTATCAAAATTACATACTCCCTGGGAGAGTGGTTTACTCTGGCAAGTTGACTACCATGCAGGGTATATGAGAGTAAACTGACTATAATTTTATCCTGTCACCAGGTAACTACAGTTGTAGTCAATACGCTAATAGCAACAAAGGGCTCTGTCTGCTGCATACCCCGAAGCAGCCAGCTGCCAGCCAGCTGCCAGCCAGCTGGGTTCTTCAAGTAAAGAATCAAGTTCCCCTCCCAGCTCTTTAGAACACCAATAAAATCTGATGGACAGCGATTTAAAATCTGTGAAGTTCTTATATCCACTAGTGCCAATTACCAAAAAAAAAAAAAAAAAAAAAAAAAAAAGTGTGAAACATTGTAGGATATACAAAAATTATATTTGGTCTTTGTATCTGGTTCCTAGCATAGAGCTCCCAAAACGCTTGGGATTTCCAGAGTGATAGGAGTGTATTTTGTTATTCATAGTGAATTCCTTTCAATTACACCTGAGTTTGTGCTGATGAGATGACTCTTAATGGGCCTCCAGATAACTCAGGTTGGGGGCTGATGACCAGAGGGGCCCACCATGTGATTAGAGGTTTGGAACTTTCAGTCCCCCTTTCCTTCACCTCCAGAGACCCTGTAACCACCCAACAGGATCACCTTGCTTGCTGCCTAGACAGAGCCAATTTATCAAGTAGAGAATTCCAATAGAGAAAGAGTAATTCACTCAGAGCCAGCTTTGTGGGAGTCTAGAGTTTTATTATTACTCAAATCAGTTTTCTAGAGCATTCGGGAATCAGAGTTTTTAAGGATGATTTGGTGGATGAGGGATCAGTGAGATGGGAGTGCTGATTGGTTGGATCAGAGATGAAATCATAGGGAGCCGAAGCTATCTTCTTGTGCTGAGTCAGTTCCTGAGTAGGGGCCACAAGGTCAGATGAGCTAGTTTATCGATCTAGGTGGTTCCAGCTGATTCATTAAGTGCAGGGTCCGCAAAATATCTCAACCACTGATCTTAGGTTTTACTATCCTGATGTTATCCCTAGGAACAATTTGGGGAGGGATAGAACTTATAGCCTCCAGCTGCATGACTCCTAAACCGTAATTTCTAATCTTTTGGCTAATTTGTTAGTGAAAGGCAGTCTAGTCCCCAGGCAAGAAGGGTATTTCTTTTGGAAAAGAGCTGTTACCATCTTTGTTTTAAACTGTAAAGGAAGTTCTTCCAAAAGTTAGGTGGCCTAGGCCCAGGAGTTAACAAAGACAGGTTAGAGGTGAGAAGCAAGATGGAGTTGATTAGGTCAGATCTTTTTCACTGTTGGTTATAATTTCTTTCTGAAGTGAGAATGGTTTCTTTTTATTGGAGTTCCTAAAAATCGAGATTGGAATGAGATAATGTAATACATATATAAATAAGGAAAAATAATTTTCTTAGACTTCTAATCATTAGATGATATATACAAAGCCCTTTGAACAATACCTGGCCCATTAGTGCTCAATAAATTAGCTTTCCCAGAAACATCCTCCATGTCTTACCCCACTAACACTCCCTGCCATCAGGTTCCTTTGCCAAGGTGACGTAGCCCCGCCAAGGTCAGTGACAAGGATGTGATATTAAGGAGACTATTCAGTCCTGACCCTGTAACTGCCCAACAGATTTCAAGTGGTTTCAGTCCCACAGAATTTTTTTTCCCTTCCACACCTCCCAGTTCTGTGCTTGAATGTATCAGAGAGCATTGAATACTTTCTGACAACCAACAAGTCCATCACTTTTAATATAACAGCTTTTTGGTCTGAGCACACTATGACCAAAGATATTTAAAATGATATTCCTCAGGACCATTATTCATGGGCCTTGCACTCATGCCTTCAAGAGCTGTATCACTTTGTTCCAGAATCCAGAACGGCCAGGCCTCTGGCTTTGTGGCTCTTGTTTATGGTAAAGTAGAAAATATCAATATCAATCACACAGGAAGGATGAATTGGGGTAGGCCTAGAACATATTGCATGGAGGATGTTGGGGAAACCAGCCCCACACCACGTGGTGGGTACCCTGAGTCCAGCGGAGACAAAGGAGTTAGTGTTTAAAAGGCGGGTCCAGGGGACCTCCGTGTCAGAGGCTTGCTCATGGCCCAGAGCTCTTCAGCTCTGCCTAATTTATTGGTTTACAAGCTCTTTGTTCTTAGGGCAAATGTAAGGCGTAGGAAGGGATGAGGAAAATGATTAATCAGTGAAGGAGAACTTGTGAGTTATTCAATAAGATGTATAGCAGTGGCAGGTTTTGTGAATTTCCTTGAGCAGAGGTGTGTGTCTAAACTACTTAAGATCTTTAACTTATCAGGACTGAAATGGTTGGGAGTGAGTTTCAGGAGGAGCCAAGATGTTTGATTATACTCCACTGCTTCAGGGGAGTGTTACCTCCCTGAGCAACCTGTAGAATGCCACTGAGTGTTTATGCTCTTGGGGCATAAAGACATGAAGGCAATAAGGAGACTTTTCTCCTCAGAGGCTGCCCATGGCTCCCCATGGGTGTCTCACACAGGGAAGACCAACTTATCTGGTGCCTTTACCTTTTGATTATGTTATTAAACTGAACTGGGGCCCACTCACCTGGTGCAACAAAGCCAAATACTGACATCAAGATTGCAGTGAAAGTGAAACCACCTTTGTAGAAATTATAACAGTGAGAGAAATCTCACCTAACTGACTCCATACTGCTTCTAACCTCACAAGCTAACTGCCTTTGTTAATTTTAAAACAAAGGTAATAATAGTCCTTTCCCACAACTAACCCCTCTTTGCTTGAGGACTGAAACCACCTTTGTAAGACTAACAAAAGGCCACAAGTTTGGGATTATGGGAAGGGCCTGAATTCTGCTAAGATGTCAGCATAGTTAAGCAATAACCAGCCATTGTTCCCCAGCTTGCCTTTCTGTAAACATTTACTGCTCAAGAGTCATGTAGCTGGAGGTCACAAGATTTGTAACCTCCCCAATTGCTCCTTCAGATAACATCACTATTGTCAAAACCTAAGATTTATCTTTGAGATATTTTTCAGACTTTTGCATTCTGACAACCTGCTGACTCAACCCAGACCCATGACTCAATTGGATCTTTGACACCTATCCAGAAACCGACTCAGCGTGCAAAGACAGTTTGGATGCTCCTATGAGTTCATCCCCAGCCAATCAGTAGAACCCATTCCCTATCCCCCTTCCCACCAAATTATTCTTAAAAACCCTAGCCTTCGAGCTCTTGGGGAGGCAGATTTGAGAATTATCTTCCATCTTTCTGCTTGGCTGAACTCTCTTTGCCACAAAGTCAAACTCTCTTTGCCACAAAACCTGCTGTTCTCAGTGCATTGACTTCTCTGGGCAGTGGCCAAGAAGAACCCATTAGGCTGTTACAAGAGAAAGTAAGGGACTTATTGTAGGGTGCCAAGCAAGGAGAAATGGGCAGCTCATTCTTAAGACTTTAATTCCCCCATGGCTCACGGTAAGGTTTTGTATAGGTGGGGAGGCAGCGATTACAGGCAAAGTCATAAATCAATACATAGAGGCTATACATTGGTTTGACTAAAAAGGTGAGACATTTTGAAGTAGGGGGCAGGCAGAGGTGGATTCAAGGCTTTTCTAATCTGCGAATGGTTAAGGAGGCAAAGCTTTGTCTAAAACTTTGAATCAGAAGAAAATAATTCTGATTTGTGGGTGTGACTCCTCCAGGCCCCAAGCCCCTCGGGAGGAAATTTAGAACAAAGAGTAGAGGTCAGAGTTTAGTCCCCATTTCCCCCTTATCTGAGGTTTACATGCTGTGCTGGCAGATCCACTTGGTGGGGGTCCAGGCTTCTGAAAATCAACTTGGGGATGTACGTTAAGATGTTGTCTTTAGCATCCACAGGGAGCAAAACATCTGACTCCAACTCCCCTGTCTATTGTTTTAAGCTACTGTGACCTTGCTTATCAAATTGCTCATTTACTTCTCAGGGCTAGCTAGGTACCTGGAATTTTCCTTGAAGGAACTCAAATTTTTCCTTTCTTTTCATTCCTGGGTTGGGGGGACAGTCCCCTAAGAGAAAAATAAAGAATAAGGAGACACAGGAACCACTTCCCCTGCAGAGCACCTGTATTAGCGTTCTCTAAAGGGACAGAACTAATAGGATAGATGAGTACATGAAGGGGAGTTTATTAGGATAATTGATTCACACAGTCACAAAGTGAAGTCCCACAATAGGCCATCTGCGAACTGAGGAGCCAGGAAGCCAATCTCAGTCCCAAAACCTCAAAAGTAGGGAAGCTGATAGTGCAGCCTTCATCTGTGGCCAAAGGCCTGAGAGCCCTTGGCAAACCACTGCTGTAATTCCAAGAATCCAAAAGCTGAAGAACTTGGAGTCTGATGTTCAAGGGCAGAAAGCATCCAGTGCAGGAGAAAGATGGAAGCCTGAAGACTCAAGTCTGCTCTTTCCATTCCTGCTTTTATGCTGGCAGCTGATTAGATGGTGCCCACCCAGAATGAGGGTGGGTCTGCCTCTCCAAGTCCACTGACTCAAATGTTAATCACCTTTGGCAAGACCCTCACAGACACACCCAGAAACAATACTTTGCACCCTTCAATCCAATCAAGTTGACACTCAATATTAACCATCATAGCACCTTCACAGAAAGATAAACCCACCCCCAACAGGAGGTACAGGGGTGGAGTGGGCTGCTGCCTTCAAGCTGGGGTGGGTTGCAGGTGTCAAGAACAGTAAGGAGTGGGGGAACCAAATTAACTCTCCTCGTCTATTTCTGGTGACTTCAGATACCTCACTTTCCATTCAGAGCACTAGTCTTCAAACTTAAAAAAACCAGGACACATAGTTTAAAAAATAATAGCCTTATGACATAAAATTTAAAAGTTAATATTAATTATCTTAGTAATATTTCAAGTGAACATACGGGTAAATACCAAATTTAAGCCCCTCAAACAAAACAGAATGCCACTATGTTGACTATGACCCAGTGAATTGATTGCATGACCCACATAGTGGGTACCAAACCCAATTGCAAGGAGACTGCTGAGTGTCCAAATATCTCCAATAGCAACTCTTCCTTCCTCATAGGCTTCCATCTCTGCAGCAGGCGATTTTTGTGTGTTTGTGTTTGTTCTCTCCCAGGAAGAGTTTAAGGTATGTGAGCTGTGTAAAATGTTGCAGGAAAGTGTCTCTCAAGGTTTCCCTCACTTTCACTCCATTCCTTCCCAAGCTGGGGTGCCTAGCTCTTTCTTCATTCACTGGGGGAAGAAACAATGACTCACCTCCTCAAAGATGAAGTACAAGCATTCCTCATTTTGGGAGTTAAGTCCAATAAACCAATTGAAGTTGAAAATACCATAATTCAAAAGTGTGTAAGGAGTGTACTGAATGCAGAACTTTGGTACTATCGTAAATTCGAAAAAACCTAACCATCTTAAGTCAGGGACCATCTGTTTAGGTATCTAAAGTTTTGCCAGCACTCTATCATACACTTCATCTTATTTATTCCTTCAGGGGAGGGAGATGGCATCTTTCAGTCTCAGTAGAAGGCATTAATTCCTTTTGTCTTTTTTCTGGTTTTTTTTTTTTTTTTTTTTTTTTTCTGAGACGGAGTCTTGCTTCATCACCCAGGCTAGAGTGCAGAGTGGTGCGATCTTGGCTCATTGCAACCTCCGCCTCCCGGGTTCAAGCAGCTGTCCTGTCTCAGCCTCCTGAGTAGCTGGGATTACAGGCGCCTGCCACCACACCCGGTGAATTTTTGCATTTTTGGTAGAGACAGGGTTTCACCTTGTTGGTCGGGCTAGTCTTGAACTCTTGACCTCAGGTGATCCACCTGCCTCGGCCTCCCAAAGTGCTGGGATTACAGGGGTGAGCCACTGTGTCCAGCCCATTAATTCCTTTTTTAAAAAATACATTTTTAGGAGGATTTTTGTGGTCACCTGAGTTAATGTAGAAGGTGACAGGAGAGGACCTAACTCCACTTAATCATCTCCTCCCTGTTCCTCACCTGGCTTCTTTGCACAGGGTGGAAATATTGTTGGAGAAGAAAGCAAGCCAGAATTGTTTCAGTTCATCTTATTGCCCTTCTAATCAAAAGTTGAGTGTGTCTGGAAACCATTCAAATGTGAAAAATCTTCCTAATGAAGGCAAACTAGAGAAATGGATGAGAGCAAATCACTAGGGGTGAAAAAGCACTAGAAAGTTTTGAAAAAGTTACAGCCTGTTATAGTTCCCTACCCTTCACTCTTGAAAGACTATGAAAACTTCAAATACTGCCCTTTGACAGCACAATACTGTACAGCTGCAGTGGCCTCGTGTTGAAAGTATAAAGCAAATACTGTGGTTAAAAAACATTTCTCGGAGTTCTTTACATTTCCCCACTTTTCATGTAAGTTTCTGTCTTATCTGTAATTCCTCCATTTTTATCATGACCTTTTATCTTGTTCTTGTGTTCTCCCTTCGCTGTAATTGCTTCACCATCTCTGCTTTCTCTGGTTGCCTTGAGATGTTCGGGGCTGCTTGCTTATATAGTTTATTCCTTTGTTTTGTCTTTTTGTGGCTTGTGAGCCTTTCTGCCTCTCAATATTCACACCATGCATGGTGAATAATACAACCAGAAGTATACCATAGACCAAGCCCCTCCATTATGTCTTCCTCATCCCAAAAAGTAGGTTTGTAATCATATAACACTCATTTTTATTTCTTAAGATTTCATTCTAGCAAATTACATGTTTTTCCTTATAGGGCTGCTTTAAAAACTTAATAGGCTGTTTTTTTTTAATCAGTTTTGATGGTTTACAGAAAAGTTGAGCAAAAAGTAGAGTTCCAACACATTCTGTCACAGACCCCTCAGCCTATCGTCTATTCCCCTATTATTAACAACTTGCATTAGTGTGGTACATTTGTTACAATTGATGAGTCAATATTGATAAATTGTTATTAATTAAAGTCTGGTTTACATTAGGGCTCACTCTTTGCCTTGTAAATTCTGTGAGTTTTGAGTATAACAACATGTACCCACTATTAGAATATGGTACAGAGTAGTTTTATTGCTCTAAAAGTCTTGTACTCCACCTATTCATTCTTCCCTCTCTCCCTCTCCCAGAACCCTTAGCAACCACTGATCTTTTCAGAATGACATCTTTCACTTAGCAATATGTGTTTAAGCTTCCTCCATGTCTTTTCATGGCTTGATAGCTCATTTCTTCCTATTGCTGAATAATATTCCATTGAGTGGATGTACCACAGTTTGTTTATTCATTAGGGCCTCTTTTCTCTCTCTCTCTCTCTTTTTTTTTTTTTTTTTTTTTTTTTTGAGACATTCCTGCAGCCTTGACCTCCCTGGCTCAAGCCATCTTCCCAACTCAGCCTCCAAAGTATCTGGGACTATAGGCATGCACCACCATCCCCAACTCATTTTTGTATTTTTTGTAGTGATGGGGTCTCACTTTATTGCCCAGGCTGGTCTCAAACTCCTGGGCTTAAGTGATCCACTCACTTTGGCCTCCCAAAATGCTAGGCTTAACAGGTGTGAGCCAACACACCTGGCCTGTTAAACCCTCTTTGTATTACAAAATCTTAGTGATCCTGGCTTTTTTCAGCACAACCAAGATATTTGATTTCTGTACGACAACTACAACATACATATTTTGATGCCTATGGAATAGCCCTGTTTTCTCACAAATCAGAATACTGCAAGAACAGATAACAACCATAAATGTATTGCTGTATTTCATCTTCATTTGCCATCTGGTCTCACTTGAGGAGAATCTTATTTGAACATCAACAATATCCTAGGTATCCTAGAGGACACCCTGAATTAATGGCTGAGATCCTCATTTGGCGAGTACCATGCAAGGTAGGGAATATTCGTCATCGTTTTCCTCTGGTAAATTATATTTCTCTTTAAGAAAAAAGATCAGACACATCATGGAACACTGCTGATTTTGTGTTCATCTCTGGTATATTTGTGTGTTGTATGCCTGCTGCCATTGTCCGTTTATTTGGCACATAGTTTTCCCCATCAGCATGTGTCTGGATGGAATCCAGGTGAACCCTGTGGACCTGGCTGACCCCTACTCCCACTTCAGTGATGCTCACTAGGTGGTGAGAAGATGGAGGCAGTTCCGACGGCTCAATGACCAAGTTCATCCCTGGTTAACCCAAACAGGACTGTTTCAGTTCTGAAATAAAATTGAAAACACACCCTGGAAAGGGACATAGAATGCAAATCCTTAGAGGACACTTCCTGTGTTCTCCATTTCAGCCTCTCTCCCTCAGAATCTATTAGAGTGCCTTCTCTTGATGAAAACTCAGTGTGCACATTCAGCTTATTAAAATAGGACACGATTTTTTGGCATGGTAGATATTTTAAAAGTCTTATTTAAATAGAGGGTCTGATTTTTTAATCCAAGGTAGTAAATTAGGAATGGGAAACCTCAATTTAATCTCATTTTAGTGAAGATTTATTGAGAGCCTACTAGATGCTGGAAACTGTGGTAGGTATAATAGAAGATGCCACCAGGAATCAGAAATGGATTTCAGCTTCAGAAAGTTTACTGCTTTAGGAGGACTGATTTGCTCATTAATAGTAGAAAAAAATACGTTATGAGAAAAGAATAATTCAAGTTAAAGGAGCTGGTGGGAGAGGTTAAGATGTCCAGATGAGATTGTCCTATATGGCATGAGCACCTTGAAGATGAAACTTAGCATGTCAAGCTATCTGAACTAGGTGGTAAAAACTATGAAGGCAAGAAAATGGGTGTGTTGCCCTCATCTGATGAGTATGTCTGGTTGTTAAATATTGTCTCTCTTTGAGTTCTGTTTCCTACTCCACGCCATCTGGATTTTCTCTCACTGGCTCTCTCCATGTGCCTCTTACCTCCTTTTTCTTATTCCTTCTGTCTCTCTTCTCAAATTGTCCTCAGGACTCAAGATTTAGTAAGTATTACATACTTTGAATGAATTTTTATATTGTCTGTGACTACTCTTTAAAGGTATGTGAAGTAGTTTGTATATCTCACAACACTGAATTAAATGTGTTTAATGTCTATGGAGAGGTATCATGCTCAGCACTTTGAAGCAGAAGGATGTCTATCTTATTCACCTGTCTTTAATAGTGCCTGGGACACAGCTGGTGACTCCAAGAGATTTCAAGCAAGAAAACCTGGAGTTTGTATCATTTATTAGTTCTGTGGCAATGGAAATTTTGCCCATTTTTTAATGTCTTCTCATCTAAGAAAAGGGGGTAATAATTATATTTCAAAGTTCATTTTAAATCAGAAGAAACAAAAGATAGGAAAACACAGCCATCAAGTGTTTGAAGTATTGTGTGTTGCCATTTGTTTGGATGGCAATCAAGAGCTCATGAAAGAGTAAAATTCTCCAGGCACAGAAGAGGCACCATTCCCCCTTTTCAGTTAACCTGGTTAGTATATTTTTGGGGTTCCTTCAAGGTCTATAATTCCACATTTCAGGACCATCTCATTTCACCAAGCTTAAGACATATTTCTTATACATCTTTTGTTTGGACCTACATTTCTAAATCTGTTCCCTTTCTCTTGTACCACTCTCCCTCCCCGTTACAATGCACTGTAATACATCTTGGAAAAAAGTCCACTCTGCCTTCCTAACTTGACACAGACAGCAAGATCCGACAGATTTATTTGTAAATGGGTCTTTTATGCTTCATGTAGCTCAGCGCTGCATAAATAATACCTGGAAAACTTTTCAAATTTCAGCCCATTGGCAGGCCTGAACTCCACATACGTTATTAGAAACTCCTACGAAGTGAATCTAAATGCCACGGTCCTTGTAGGGGGCTACGTGGCTGATGCGGCAGGTCAGGAAAATGCATACCTTTGCGTGAGTTCCTCCAAACTCAAGACTGGGGGGAGGTGGCCTCAGGATGTCCTCTTGAACTGAGTACATGGATTACAATCATAAATGTTTTGGAATGAAAGAAGCTGAGAGAAGGGGAAGGAACATTTGACATATCATAGTATGATTTCCAGGCCCTTAAGGGATTGTAGAGAGGAGGCTGGGATTTTTAGGACACTCCCTGCCCCAAGAACACATATGCATGGGCATGTAGTCCCATGCAAACTTACATACTCCCACCAAAACCAAAGAACACGTGAAATGGACTGGTCACATTTGAGTAAAGTGGTCACCTAGGAACAGTGAAGGAGCAAAGGTGAACCCTCACTGAGAGTAACCTGCCTCATTTACTCCATCCTGCTCAGTTCCACTGTCTTTCCTTAGCCATTTTGTTTGTGGGAGGCAACCCTTTCTTGGGATGAAAGCACTGTCCCCACAGCACAGTGGAAGTATCCTAGGGTAGGCTGTCTTAGCCTTTATCTGTCAATAACACAACAATATACTGCATCTTCCCTAAGTCAGTAGTTGTCTCTTCTCTTGACGATAACAAGTCTCAATGGTGGTGCTCTCACATGGGTTGGGGACTCCTCAGCTGTAGCAAAGATAAGGCCAGGTAAGGGCTATACTACTGAAAAAACCAGCTGGGAATAACGTAGTTTATCCCAAACTCCCGCGGATTGACAGGATGGTGGCACTTGATAATTGCTGCCTTATGGAATGAGAGACCAGCCACATATTTTACGGGACATAAACAAGGGCATTGGCAAGTGAACAGGTGGGTGCAACATAAGATTGACAGATAAAATACAGGATTCCCAGTTAAATCTGAACTTCAGATGAACAAGTAATGTTTTAGTTTAAGTAGATCCCAGACAACCCAGTTATATTGGAGTTTTTAAAAAACTCTCTCATATATATGTATACACACACACACACACATATATATATATATATGAAGGTCCTGAAAAGTGTCTTTCTAGTGAGTATGAAATGATAAAGTGTTGACTATCCATGTCAGTCATGATTACTAACTTTTAATTTTTATTTTATTTCAGTAGCTTTTGGGGAACAGGTGTTTTTTTTGGTTACATGAATATGTTCTTTAGTGGCGATTTCTGAGATTTGGTGCACCCATCAACTGAGCAGCTTATACTGTATCAATATATAGTCTTTTATTCCTCACCCCCCTGCTAACCTTCCCCCCAAGTCCCCAAAGTCCATTGTATTATTCTTATCCCTTTGCATCCTTATAGTTTGGTTTCCATTTATAAGTGATAGCATACGATGTTTGGTGTTCCATTCTTGAGTTAGTTCACTTTGAATAATAGCCTTCAACTTCTTCCACATTTCTGCAAAGGCCATTATTTCATTCTGTTTCATGGCTGATTAGTATTCCATGGTTTTTACATACCACGTTTTCTTTATCTACTCAAAACAATTTTTTATTTAGCATAAGTAAAGTCCCATGCAGTATTTGGCCAAGAGGATCAATTCGGGGGGTGGGAGAAAGCCCCATGACTGACAGTCCTTTTATGTTACACGGAATCTGGGAAGCACTTCCAATGGAAACAGAAGAAAGGGTGAGGAAAAGTGTGTTGACATAAAGAAACACCTTCACCAACAAAAAGGAAACACAATGATCATAGTCCCTACAGATGAAATAATTGAAATTAGGCTAAAGGGAAAAGATAAGTAATCATTTTGATCCCTAAATGTTTTGAGTTGTGCTTTAATCTCTAAATTTTGGAACATTTTTCTTACAGTTATTCACCATGAGTAGATTAACTTAAGTAAATGTCACTATTTACTCTCAAATTTATTTTTTGGAAAAACTAGCGGTAAGAAATGTACTCTCATCCAGGTTCATTTCATTTGCACTCTCCACACTTCCTAATCTTTTCTAGCTATTTTCACATGTTTTAAAAAAAATGCTCACCATTTCCAACCGTAACCGGAACCAAGCAAGTATTTAATCATTTAATGCAGTTCTCTATTGACTTCCCAGAGGGAAATCTGGGGATTTTGAATGGAAATTCAGAGCAATGTCTGTGTTGCCCTTGCCCCACTCAGATTCCACTTCTCCCTAATTTATGCCTTTCTTCTCAGAAGGAGTTCATCGAGTTCATTGCCAACTTCCACTGCTTCATTACCAAATGTGAACCTCCCCCTGGCACTAGGCTTACTTTAGCATTTTTTCCTCAGGTGAGAGCGTGAAATGTCTCAGTTTAATCACTTGTGAGCAGAGAGGGCACCAGATAGCAACCCGGGCGCTCTCCCACCTGCAGCTTCGATAGGAAAGAATCAATCTAGCATATAAAAGCAGGCACAGATAAATTGCTAAACACTGTAGTACAATGACGGCATACATCTCCGGAATGAGAATCTTCAAAATCAATAAGAATTGAAATTGAAAAAGGAAGAATTGTAGCTGTCAAAATGCAGGATGCTGGCAGGTTATTCACGTTGAGGTCCATTTTGGCTTTTCTAGCCCAGGAGAATCATCTGTTAAGAAAAGTTGTCTCTAGGGTGACCTTTGTTATGTCTCTTTGAAAAAACATTGTGTCTCAGCCTAGGGACTGGATTCTTCTTCCAAATCATAATTGACCTTATCCTTCATGTCATGTTAGGGGACATTCCCCTCAGCGAGAGAGGGAAGCCCGAAGGAGAATTAGAAGCCAGTGTTCAGAGGCTCATGTGGGGAGGGGGCCTGGGTATAGTGAGGCCATGTGGGCTGGAAGGACTTTAGTTTTTGACCAAGTTTTACAATCTGTTCTATCATTTTCTGAAATTTGAAATTCTAAAAAAATCAAGGAATGTACTACCATCACAATAATAATAGCCCATTATTTACTAAGTAATTATATGTGCCTGCATTGTGCAAAGCACTTGATATACATTCTTATATATGACAATAATGGTGATAATACTGATAATAGCTAAGTTTTTTAGTATGTATTTGATGGGCATTGTGTCATGAAAGCCTTATGCCACCCCTCCAAACTATGTACAATTACGATCCCATTTTACAGATAAACAGGCTTAAGAGTGGTTGAGTACCTTGCCCAATGTCACACAGTTGGTGGGGGCTGGGGTGGACATGAATCTCACTCTGTCTCGCTCCAGAATTTTCCTGCTTTGCTTCCTTCAGTCATGTTTTACATCTGTGCATGTTAGCATTTCTGGCAGCTGACAGTTGGGCTGCCTTTGATGTTTTTTTGTCCATGACTCATTCTACTGCCCTGCAATTTCCTCACCCCAAATGGTAGGAAGTCCTTCCTCATGCCCGGTCTACTTTCAGTTATAACTTCTTGGACATGTTTCTTTTTTTCACCAAACTTAGAGCAAAGGAGATATGGAATTTTCCTTTTGGCATTTGGAAATCTGTAAGAATCGCCATCATGTGATTTAGCGTGTGTGTGTGGTTTTTTAAAACTAACATACAACCATTCACAAATTAACCACTGTACGTGTGTCCTGAAAGCATGTTTTAAACCTCATCTTCATGTAATGATTAAAAACAAAAGTTTGTTGCCTGGAAGACCCACTAGGAGTGCAAGTAGCAGCAGGGCACAGAGGAGAAAGAACTTGTCACAAACCGTGGGAACCAGAAACCTGTCCTGTCTCTCAGTTATGAGATGAAATTCAAACTGTGAGGCTCTACTTTCTGTATATCTGCATTTTAAAATGTATCTTTATTTTTCCAATCTTTTTTTTAAAGAAAGATTGTGTTAAAGGGATATATCTGGGTGCATAGGTTACCTTAAGATGTAACCAGTTAGCAGATTTGTTCAAAAGAACAATTTTGCTTTTGAAAGCAAAATTGACAGATTAATATCAATTTTTTTTTTTTAGCAAACTGTGTTTCTAAAACGTATACATTATCATTGGCTTGAGGACTGAGGGACTAAAGTCTATACACATATATTTTTCATGAGCACGATGTTTGTCTTTCAAATAGAGGTTTCATCGGTAATGGTCTCTAGGGCAGGGTGCTTCAAACTGGAAAGTACAGGAGGCACCTGGGGATCCAGTTAAAATAAAGGTTCTCATTCCAGAGCTCCAGGGTGAGACCTGAGACTGCATTTCTCCCAGGTGACATCAATGCAGCTGATTAGGGTTCATACTTTGAGAAGCAGGGCTCTCTACTACCATACAGATTTTGTTACCATGAAGAATATATAAGGAACATTATATACTAGGCGCTAATTCATATGTTGTTCAATAAATTGAACTGCTCTTTTTGTTTGCCTTTTTCCCTCCAAGATACAGTTGAATTAGTTACACAGACCTATATTCTCAGTTCTTCTGAAAGGCAAAGTAGACTTTAAATTGGCAATTGCTAATTTCAATGTAAAATATCTAAAAAGTTTAGAAGTGGGTATCAGCTTGACTTGTTTATAACTAACGAAGGGGTCTCAGGCTAAATTCTACAAGGCTGAAACTAACCAGTTGGCCAACATAAATGAGTATCTTATTTGAAAGAATCTTTTTACTACAGAATTTGGAAATTAAAGCTAAATTTGAAACCAACTTATATCCTTCTCCTTTTTCCTCATTTGTCCCCCAAATACTTTCTAACTTCCCACTCAACTTCTCTCAGCCTCTATGATTAAGGAGACTAACCTAGTAGTGGCACTTTACATTTTACTACTTGAGCAACATAATATTTAGAAATACTGCCTAAATATGACAGTGCATTTTGAGCCTTCGCTGCTTTAAAAACAAACAAAGGTTTACAGAGGAGAAACCTCGCAAATTCTACCTTGGCCAGGTGATGAAGCTTAGCATTGCTGGTGAGAAGTTTTATTGATAGCACATACCACTTAGTATGATATAACAAGAAAGGCATTCATGTTTGTGGCATTCTTGGCAAAACTCATAACCCCAAGCTAATCACAAGAAAACCAGCAGACAAACCTGAATTGTGGGATGATCTACAAAATACCTAACTGGTACTCCTCAAACTTGTCAAGGTCATTCCAAACAAAAACAGAAATTCTCACAGACCAGAGAAAACCAAGGAAACGTGAGGACCAAATGCAGTGAAGTTCCCTGGATTGAGTCTTGGGACAGAAAGAGGACATCAGTGAAAAAACGAGTAAAATCCGAATCATGTCCAGAGTTTACTAAATATTGATTTCCTGCTTTTGACAAATGTAACAGTAATGTGGTAACATTAGAGGAAACTCAACTGGGTGAGGGATATATAGGAATTTTATGTACCACCTTTGCAATGTTTCTATAAATCAAAAATGATACTGAAATGAAAAACTTATGTAAAATGATGTTGACACTAGGGAGGGAGTAGAAAGTGATAAGAATGCCTCATGGACACTTTTTTTCCCCTATAAAGTGTGTGTGTGTGTGTGGTATGCAGGAGTGTGTATTTTGCTAGTCATATACTGAGAAAAATAAAGTCATACAGAAAATCAAAGGCTACCACTGGTTCAAAAAGGAAGGCATGAGAACATATCAGTACCACATGGAAGGTGTCTTTAATAAAAAGGCCTTAGTCATGAAAGTTAGCCCAGATGCTCAGCTGACACTTACCAAATTGCTTTGAAAGAAAGCATAGTCTAGAGGAACTGTTGAAAAATCTGTCGAGTGACTAATCCCAAGTTGGATCCCAATAGAGGAAATTGGAGAGATCCATTAGGCAGGCGAGGCTGTTCATTTCCTCGGAATTATTGACCGTGGCAATGCCCTTGCTCCCTACGCATGTGCCACCTTAGAAACTCCCCTGCCGGAATCGAGTTAAGTGGAAACATCACAATCAATAAAAGATACTCTATTTTCCATTTGCTCATTGTTTTTTGAGGGCTTATTTTGGAACAGCACGAGGAAGATTCAATTCAATATCAGTTCACCTTCTGGGTGGGGAGAGGACTCCAGATATTGACTTTCAGGGTCTGATAAAGTTTGTGACAAGGCTCAGTTTGCTAACATTCTGACCAAAATGCAACCTCAGCCACAGAGGATTCAGAATAAGCAGATGTTCAGTGTCACTTCATCATCCTGGAACCCTTTTCTAACTCAGCAACCAGTGTCAGCAGAGCATCTTCGGGCTGGTGACCTGGCAATGGAGGACCCTGCTCAAAACTATTGAACTGAGTCACGGAATCATGGGAAATAATAAATGCTATTCTGACACTATGTTTTCCAGTGGTTTTGTTACATAGTAAAAGCTTACTCATACAGTATATACTACTTGTTAGAATTGTTTACTATAGAATTGTTATATTTTTTCTCTCACCCAACTTAAGCCTTAAGAGTTCAAATCCTAATTCATGTAGAGGCCAAGATCAAATATTTTGTCCTCAGAGATCTGCCTCTATCTGTAAGTCATAATTAATTGTTCCTCTTTCAGTGATTCCTTGCTATTGTTGTATTTTACCTGAGACACTGCTGCCGTACTTCATTATACCTTTATCGTCTATTTCTGTGTTTCTCTAAACTCTACATGGTAAGGTGTATACATTTTTGGTGACTAGCACAGTTTAGTAGGCACTGAAATATTTATTGAAATTAACTAAGTGTACAGAAGTTCTAGGAAATTTTTTGTTTTATTAACCAACTTCTTTTTTTCTGTGGGGGTCTTTGAATCCAACATATAAGATCTTCTTGAGTTTTGACCAACCTGAGAAATAAGAGGTTAGTCAAAACTCAAGAGGATGCTATATGCTGGACTCAAACAGAAGAAATGGCAATGGGAGTATATTATGTCTATTCTATTAGCAAGAAAAGTAAGATTAGAGGACACAGTATACCTGTAAGCCAACATGCTTTCTCATTCTCACTTCCAGACTTAACTAACTTACCCCGTTGTTAGCAGCGCTACACTAGACTGTGTCTGAGTGCAGTCTTGAAGATCACCCTCCCTGTCCCTCCCCTAGTGTAGCAGTGACCCTGCTCCATGTCTCCATTGTACATATGCGTGTTTGGGTGCCCATAACTCTTCCTGGCAATATTAATTATAGGTGAAGACCTAGCACCCTAGTTTTCTGTATTCCTTGTGCCCAGGAGAACTCCAGTTCTGGAGTCGCAGGCACAGAGTTAGTACTTGGCAAATATTTGTTGAAAGATGAAGCTCTGTGATTCTGGAGATAGATTTTATCATCTTTCTCACTTAATTGGCATTAAAACCATCATACTTATCACACAGCAGCTTTTCTATGACACATAACACTGCATGGACAGAAGGGAAAATCAAGCTGTATGTGACACATGGTGTCTGGTGCATATGATACTCATTTTAATAGGCACATCCTCACTTAAGGAGAACAGTTAGAACTCATTGCAATAATAAGGGATGATTAGCATAGGCATTTGCCACTTGTGCATTAACTTAACCTAATGATTACAGTAGTTTTTTAATGATTTAAAGATAATGTGAACATGACATGTTCTGAAAACTCAGTAGGGATTTGGTTGATTTTTTGTACTTCGTATTTTCAGCAACTTTCGTAGGTATGTAATGAAATGCCTTGGAAGATGTTTCTGTAAGGAATGTAGCTCTCAGATTCTAGTGGGGCATGTGATGCTTCTTAAACATAGATTCCTGGTCTCCATCCCTCCCATCTTCTGATTCAGGAAGTCTGGCATGGAAACCAGCATTCGGTATGTTTAACCACCACCAAGTGGTTTGGATTCTAGTAGTCTATCTGCCACCTTACATTTAAGGGCTCTTTTGGTTGCCAGGAACAGAGACCTGCTCGAGTCGCTGGAGTTTAAAGGCCATCTTTCTTTTGGAAGGATAGAGAAATGGCCCAGGAATACAGGAAATATTACACAAGCAGATTTGTGCAAGGTCCAACACCAAAGCAGCTCCAGGGACTGGCCTGACCCTCATCTATTATGGACTGAATATTTGTCACCCCAAAATATGTATGTTGAAATCCTAACCCCAAGGTATTAGGAAGTGGAGCCTTTGGGTGATAATTAAGTCATGTGGGTGGAGGCTTCATGAATGGGATTAGTGCCTTTATAAGAGAGACCCCAGAGAACTCTTTCTGCCATATGAAGACACAAGAAGTCTGCCATCTGCAATGCACAACAGGGCCCTCACTGTGCACAGCACAGGACCCATCCATACTGGCATCCTAGTCTCAGACTTCACCTCCAGAACTGTGAGAAATAAATATTTGTTGTTAAGCCAGCCCGTTATGGTAGTTTGTTATAGCCACCCAAACTAAGATACCACATCTGTCTCTCTTGCTTTCTCTGATTCTTTCTTCATGTCTAATCTCTTCTCGCTCTGAACCACTTCTCCTTAGGTCTTTAGGCCCTCAGGACATGGGCACAGGCCACCCCTCTTTGTGCCCCAGTTCTTACCTAAAGTTCTCATCATTACCTAGGAGCTTATGAGTGCTGCTTTCCTGAGAGAGGATCTAATTGGTGCAGTGCATGCCCTGGAGCCCTGGCATACAAGTTGAAGGTCAGGAACAACCTTTGTGAGAACCATTCCTGGCTGGGCATCCACTCCTTAGGCAGGCCGCTGGGGGTGGGAAAGAAGGTTCTAGAAAGCAAGGTGGCTGGGAGGCTGAGGGGCATGAGCGAAGTGTCTGTTACTGACACTTGTTGTACCCTCTCATCATCTCAACCTCAGAATTTCTGACAGATAATAAGATATGGAGAGAATTCATCTTAACAAAAGACCTTTACCTTAAGGAGTATTCACAACTGCAGCCCAATTGTGACACTACTGTGGAGTGTGATGTCTTAATAATACAAAGACCCAACGGGGAAGTTCCAAGATGTTTACGGATAGAGAAACTCTTAAAATTCAAGGGCTGGAAGATGGAGAGGACCTACTTAATTAGGAACATATTTTGATTCAGTTGAGTCAAACTTTGAGTGCTCATTATGTCTTACTGCTCCTGAGAATTAGTTGTGTTAGGTGGCATCTTAGCCAGCCAGAGTTTTCCATGTTGCTTTTGGTTGATTTGGGGTTTTTTTAAATCAAAATTAGTTGGGAGTAGGATTTACTTGATGGAAATTTACCTAGATCAACTCTTTTCACACTTCAGAAGTTAAAAAAAATCCATCATATTCAGAATTGATGTGTTTGGCAAAATAATTATTTCGAGTTTTCTGTGTGTGTGCACACAAGTATGTGAATGTGCGATAAGAAGAAGTATGCATTTGGAGTCAAAAACCAAATATTTTCTTGAAACTCATAAACTGTCCACAGGTTAGAAAGATTTCATTTTGGACATTGCAGTGAAACTTGAGTAATTATCCATGTTGTGTGTCTGTAAGTTTGACAGTGATGCCTTCAAAATATTTTGATATGCAACCTTTCTTCTTTCCCTTTGTGTTGTCGGACAACATGCCAGCTGTCAGATGGAGGGAAGAATGAAACTTTGGCATCACTATTCCTGCCACCTTCACCGAGAAGGCCCTATAAATAGCATAATAGGATAAAACTGGCCACAGAGGGAGAGCAGCAGCTGGCACACGTTGTATCCAGAGCTGGAGGTGTAAATGAATTTCAATATCTTAGTGATACCAAACAACAGTAAGATTACAGAGAATGAAGCTTTTGTTATGAGAGAGCCCAGTATTTGAAGTAAATAATAATGATAATGCTTTTCATTATCAGGCGGCTTTCCCCTTTGAAAGTGGTTGCAAAGAAGAAAGGGCCCTGTTTTCAGAACAACCAATTTCCTCTCTTATCTCTCTGAAGAGTCTCCCCTGATTTCCCTCTTTTCAGAATTGGGAGGTGATACTGATCTGAGCCAGGTGGTAGGTGGAGTGAATTAAGTCAATTGTTAACTTAAAATGTTACTATGAAATATATTTTGCTCTAATTACCAGAAAAGGAAATAATAGAGGACTTCATCTGGAATGTTCTTAATTGTCACCCTATTTCTTGGCTTCCCTGTTCTCTGCTCATTCCTTGCCATTTCAAATTTGTCACTTGAAGTGCCCATTTGTCAACTGAAGAGCCCATATTCAGTTCTGGTTCTTTTTTCCTCTGCCCCAAATGCTTCATATCAAAGGAGCTCACCCTCCTTTGAGGACCGATAGCATGTACAGAAACACACACGTCACACACAGCTAAGCATTTGTATCGTCCTTTAATTGTGTCTTATACTCCATGTTTTTAACCAGATTTTGAACTTCTTGAGACTACAGAAGACTTAGTCTCCAATTTGCTGTCATGGAGCCCAGCATATTTCTAGACTCATAATGCTGCCTTGTGCCCAACCTAACCAGGGTACCTTGAACCAGCATCAAAAGACGCAGTCCCAAGAATCTCAGGTCAGTGGCAAAAGTTTTGGTCCCCTGACCTTGTGCCATCTTTCCTTACCTCCTGCCTCCTGTGTCTTCTCAGCTCTCAACTCCAATCTGCCACTCTGGTCCCACACTTCCCCATCCTGCTTGGATGCAGTTTCAATGACTCCAGTTTGACCAGTCCTAATCTCGCCCCAGCAGTAATTTTGCAGGACCCTCTGACTCCTGGCCACTCTGGCTCCCATTTCCTCTTGGTGACTTCTCTGCCTTAACCAGCCTCTAAGATCAGGAATTGGACCACAGATGCTCAATTGTAAAACGGCAACCTTATCTCTTGTAATCAATCCAAATCAAGCCCAACTTTGTGCCAGGGTCACAGCTCCACATAATCTAACCTCCTCAATGTCTCCAGCCTTTTTTTTCTGCCTTCTCTCCCCTCCCCTTACCTCATTCTAGCATTTACATGGCCATTCCCTCTGCCTGGAATGCTTTTCCTACAGCGGATCACATGTCTGACTCCTGCCCATGTTTTCAGATCATTCTCAAATATCCTGAAGTTGACCTCACCCAGTTACTCTCTCAACCATTTTTATTGCTATCAAAGCATATATCACCATCTATAATTATCTTATTTGTCAATTTGTTTACCCTCTGTCCCCTCCCATCAGCAGAATGTAAGCTCCTTGAACACAGGAGCCTTATGTATCTTTTCACTATCACTATCACTTTCACTATCACTGAGGGGGCATTGAATATAGAAGATGCTTACTCCATGGATGGAGGGTTGCATGGATGTGGAAGGAGTGAGAACACAGTAAAATAGAGTTCTTAATTGATCTCTGCTTGTGTGTTCTCTCTCTCCCTCTCTTTCTCTCTCTCCATTCACCTCAGGGTCCATGACTTCCCTACTGCTATATGGTCCAGTACCAAATTGACCCTGAAATTGTGAACATCACAGATGCCAAACTATTTTGGTAAACGGTGGTTGGAGATCCATGCCGAGCCTTGCTTAATTACCTGTATTTCCTCACATTTAAATAGAGTGGATAAATTTCTAGTTGAATATTTGCTGAATATACCATGTAGATCAGACAATGGTGCTGTGTCTACTAACTGTGGAGATGATACGCCACCACCAACTGGAGTAAGCTCCATTTGCCCAGCCCTATTCAGTGTTCAAAGGGGTTCTGCTATATGTTTCTGGTTGATGTAAACAAAAACACAGGCAACTGTGATGATCAAGTAATATTACCCCATTTCACAGACAAGCAAACCAAGGCTCAGAGGCTTTGTTACAAGGCTGTTAAAAACAAGAACTGAATGTATACTGTGGTTGTGAATTCTAATCTGGGCTTTCCTACCGTACCCTGTCTTTCTCCTGGTCCTCTGTCACTTTGTTCTGGTTTCTTCTTTACTGACAGTCATAGTCAACCTCAATGAAATTTCCATGACCAACAGAGGAAGGCCTCCTGTAACAGCATATCCATGGGGTCTTTAGTAAATCTCCTTAATAAATGTGTCCCTAGGAGGGAACCTGGAGGCAGTCTCCTTTCCCAATACTCGAAGACAGGGGTCAGCAATTTTTTCTGGTTAAGAGCCAGATAGAAATTTTAGGCTTTGTAGGCTAAGAAACAAAATGGATGATATTTTGTAGATTCTTGTATGACAAGAGATAGAACTAACTTCCACAAATTTTTTCTAGAATTTAAAAAAGTAAAATCTACTCTTAGCTCATGGGCCATATGAAAACAGCCAGATTTGGCCTGTGGATTGTAGTTGGACAATCTCTGCTTAAGGAGAAAAGCAGACATACTGTCCCAGGGCTGCATTATGTTGAGTTTCACTGTGAATATATGTATATGTATATTAATATATGATTATATGTGTGTTTATGTGTGTATATATCCTTAGAGGGCATACCCCCAATACATACCCTGAGGTTCCCTGGACAACGTCAAATCTCATTGACCTTGCCTTCAACCAAGGACGTGTGGCTCCTTTTCCCTGGAGATGTAGGGACAGTACGGGGTGCGCTGGCTTCTATGCTTGTGTCTTGGCAGCCCTTCTGTAGAAAGTTGGAAAGGGCTATACCTTTCACCTTGGCCACAGGAGACGTATTCTCTCACCTGACCTTGGTCAGGTGTAGCTTGTTAGGTGGGCAGTCTTGCTGGGTATTTGCCATCTGTCATTGAGTCTCTCTCACCTTCTCTACTTAGAGGTCCCTGAAGGAGGCCTTTATGCCCATCCAGTCTTTCAACTCTCCTCAGAGACACATCACTTATCCAAAACCCCACTAGATTTGACTGTCAGATTTTCAGGTATCAATAAAACTTTGTGTTGGGAATATTATTGTATGGGTGAGACCATGAAGGCAGTTAGGGTTAGGCCGACTGAGAGTGCTGTTTTTCTATATGTATGGGCATGAGGCCTTGTTTTTCACTGAAGGGGGTGGTAATTATAATAGAGGTTTAAGAACTGCCTGACCATTTAACACTGAGTTGTTGGGTTATACCTTAAACTGTATTTTGACTGTAACATGTGGGCTTTCTTCTATGGAAAGTTCTTCCCATTTTTTTAACTTTTAAGTTCAGGGGTACAAGTACAGGTTTGTTACATAGGTAAACGTGTGTCATGGAGGTTTTTTGTACAGATTATTTCAACATGCAGGTGTTAAGCTGAGTACCCATTAGTTATTTTTCCTAATCCTCTCCCTCCTCCAACCCTCCACCCTCCAAAAGACCCCAGCATGTGTTGTTCCTCTCTATGTGTCTATGTGTTCTCATCAGTTAGCTCCCACCTGTAAGTGAGAACATGCAGTATTTGGTTTTCTGTTCCTGTGGTAGTTTCCTAAGGATAATGGCCTCCAGTTCCATCTATGTCCCTGCAAATGATACAATCTCATTTTTTATGGCTGCATAGTGTTCCATGGTGTGTATGTACAATACTTTTTAAATCCTGTGTATCAATGATGGGCATCTAGGTTGAGTCCATGCTTTACTATTGTGAATAGCGCTGCAATGAACATACACATGCGTGTGTCTTTATAATAGAATGATCTATATTCCTTTGGGTTTGTACCCAGTAATGGGATTGCTGGGTCAAATGATAATTCTATCTTTAGATCTTTGAGGAGTTGCCACTTTCTTTCTTTCTTTTTTTTTTTTTTGAGACGGAGTCTTGCTCTGTCGCCGAGGCTGGAGTGCAGTGGCACAATCTCAGCTCACTGCAACCTCCGCCTCCCAGGTTCACGCCATTCTTCTGCCTCAGCCTCCCGAGCAGGTGGGACTACAGGTGCCCACCACTACGCCCAGCTAATTATTTGTGTTTTTTAATAGAGACGGGGTTTCATCATGTTAGCCAGGATGGTCTCGATCTCCTGACCTCATAATCCACCCGCCTCGGCCTCCCAAAGTGCTGGGATTACAGGCGTGAGCCACGGCGCCTGGCCCACACTTTCTTCCATAATGGCTGAACTAATGTGCACTTCCACCAACAGTGTATAAGCATTCCTTTTTCTCCACAGTCTTGCCAGCATCTGTTATTTTTTGACTTTTTAATAGTAGCCATTCTGACTGGTGTTAGATGGTATTTCATTGTGGTTTTGATTTGTATTTCTCTAATGATCAGTTATGTTAAGATTTTTTTCCATATAATTGTTGGCCATTTGTATGTTTTCTTTTGAAAAGCATCTGTTTGTGTCCTTTGCCTACATTTTTATGGGGTTGTTTTTCTCTTGTAAATATAAGTTTCTTTTAGACACTGGATATTAGATGTTTGTCAGATGCATAGTTTGAAAAAATTTTCTCCCATTCTGTAGGTTGTCTGTTTACTCTGTTGATGGTTTCTTTTTTTTTTTTAATTATACTTTAAGTTTTAGGGTACATGTGCACAACGTGCAGGTTAGTTACATATGTAGACATGTGCCATGTTGGTGTGCTGCACCCATTAACTCGTCATTTAGCATTAGGTATATCTCCTAATGCTATCCCTCCCCACTCCCCGCACCCCACAACAGGCCCCTGTGGGTGATGTTCCCCTTCCTGTGTCCATGTGTTCTCACTGTTCAATTCCCACCTATGAGTGAGAACATGCGGTGTTTGGTTTTTTGTCCTTGTGATAGTTTGCTAAGAATGATGGTTTCCAGCTTCATCCATGTCCCTACAAAGGACATGAACTCATCCTTTTTTATGGCTGCATAGTATTCCATGGTGTATATGTGCCACATTTTCTTAATCCAGTCTATCATTGTTGGACATTTGGGTTGGTTCCAAGTCTTTGCTATTGTGAATAATGCCGCAATAAACATACGTGTGCATGTGTCTTTATAGCAGCATGATTTATAATCCTTTGGGTATATACCCAGTAATGGGATGGCTGGGTCAAATGGTATTTCTAGTTCTAGATCCCTGAGGAATCGCCACACTGACTTCCACAATGGTTGAAGTAGTTTACAGTCCCACCAACAGTGTAAAAGTGTTCCTATTTCTCCACATCCTCTCCAGGACCTGTTGTTTCCTGACTTTTTAATGATTGCCATTCTAACTGGTGTGAGATGGTATCTCATTGCGGTTTTGATTTGCATTTCTCTGGTGGCCAGTGATGATGAGCATTTCTTCATGTGTCTTTTGGCTGCATAAATGTCTTCTTTTGAGAAGTGTCTGTTCATATCCTTTGCCCACTTTTTGATGGGATTGTTTGTTTTTTTCTTGTAAATTTGTTTGAGTTCATTGTAGATTCTAGATATTAGCCCTTTGTCAGATGAGTAGATTGCAAAAATTTTCTGCCATTCTGTAGGTTGCCTGTTCACTCTGATGGTAGTTTCTTTTGCTGTGCAGAAGCTCTTTAGTTTAATTAGATCCCATTTGTCAATTTTGGCTTTTGTTGCCATTGCTTTTGGTGTTTTAGACATGAAGTCCTTGCCCATGCCTATGTCCTGAATGGTATTGCCTAGGTTTTCTTCTAGGGTTTTTATGGTTTTAGGTCTAACATTTAAGTCTTTAATCCATCTTGAATTAATTTTTGTATAAGGTGTAAGGAAAGGATCCAGTTTCAGCTTTCTACATATGGCTAGCCAGTTTTCCCAGCACCATTTATCAAATAGGGAATCCTTTCCCCATTTCTTGTTTTTGTCAGGTTTGTCAAAGATCAGATGGTTGTAGATATGCGGCATTATTTCTGAGGGCTCTGTTCTGTTCCATTGGTCAATATCTCTGTTTTGGTACCAGTACCATGCTGTTTTGGTTACTGTAGCCTTGTAGTATAATTTGAAGTCAGGTAGCATGATGCCTCCAGCTTTGTTCTTTTGGCTTAGGATTGTCTTGGCAATGCGGGCTCTTTTTTGGTTCCATGTGAACTTTAAAGTAGTTTTTTCCAATTCTGTGAAGAAAGTCATTGGTAGCTTGATGGGGATGGCACTGAATCTATAAATTACCTTGGGCAGTATGGCCATTTTCATGATATTGACACATACACTCTCCCAAGACTAAACCAGGAAGAAGTTGAATCTGAATAGACCAATAACAGGCTCTGAAATTGAGGCAAGAATTAATAGCTTACCAACCAAAAAAAGTCCAGGACCAGATGGATTCACAGCTGAATTCTACCAAAGGTATAAGGAGGAGCTGGTACCATTCCTTCCGAAACTATTCTAATCAATAGAAAAAGAGGAAATCCTCCCTAACTCATTTTATGAGGCCAGCACCATCCTGATACCAAAGCCTGGCAGAGACACAACAAAAAAGGAGAATTTTAGACCAGTATCCCTGATGAACATCGATGCAAAAATCCTCAATAAAATACTGGCAAAGTGAATCCAGCAGCACATCAAAAAGCTTATCCACCATGATCAAGTGGGCTTCATCCCTGGGATGCAAGGCTGGTTCAACATATGCAAATCAATAAATGTAATCCAGCATATAAACAGAACCAAAGACAAAAACCACATGATTATCTCAATAGATGCAGAAAAGGCCTTTGACAAAATTCAGCAACCCTTCATGCTAAAAACTCTCAATAAATTAGGTATTGATGGGACGTATCTCAAAATAATAAGAGCTGTCTATGACCAACCCACAGCCAATATCATACTGAATGGGCAAAAACTGGAAGCATTCCCTTTGAAAACTGGCCCAAGGCAGGGATGCCCTCTCTCACCACTCCTATTCAACATAGTGTTGGAAGTTCTGTCCAGGGCAATCAGGCAGGAGAAGGAAATAAAGGGTATTCAATTAGGAAAAGAGGAAGTCAAATTGTCCCTGTTTGCAGATGACATGATTGTATATCTAGAAAACCCCATTGTCTCAGCCCAAAATCTCCTTAAGCTGATAGGCAACTTCAGCAAAGTCTCAGGTTACAAAATCAATGTGCAAAAATCACAAGCATTCTTATATACCAATAACAGACAGAGTGCCAAATCATGAGTGAACTCCCATTCACAATTGCTTCAAAGAGAATAAAATACCTAGGAATCCAACTTACAAGGGACATAAAGGACCTCTTCAAGGAGAAGTACAAACCACTGCTCAATGAAATAAAAGAGGATACAAACAAATGGAAGAACATTCCATTCTCATGGATAGGAAGAATCAATATTGTGTTGATGGTTTCTTTTGCTGTGCAGAAGTTTTTTAGTTTAATTAGATCCCATTTGTCAAGTTTTGCTTCTGTTGCAATTGCTTTTGATATCTTCATCATGAAATCTTTTCCTGTGCCTGTGTCCTCAATGGTATTGCCTAGGTTGTCTTCCAGGGTCTTTATAGTTTTGGGTTTTATATTTAAGTCTTTAATCCATCTTGAGTTAATTTTTGTATATGGTATAAAGAAGGCATCCAGTTTCAGTCTTCTGTATATGGCTAGCCAGTTACCTCAGCACCATTTATTGAGTAGGCTATCCTTTCCCCATTGATTGTTTTTCTCAAGTTTGTTGAAGATCAGATAGTTGTAGGTTGGCAGTCTTGTTTTTGGATTCTCTGTTCCATTGGTCTATGTGCTGTTTTTGTACCAGTACCATACTGTTTGGCTACTATAACCCTGTAGTATAGCTTGAAGTCAGGTAGCATGATGCCTCCAGTTTTGTGCTTTTTGCTTAGGATTGCCTTGGCTATTCAGGCTCTTTTTTGGTTCCATATGAATTTTTAAATAGTTTTGTCTAATTCTGTGAAGAAAGTCAATGGTAGTTTAATGGGAATAGCACTGAATCTATAAATTGTTTTGGGCAGTATGGCCATTTTAATAATACTGATTCCTCCTGTTCATGAGCATGGAATGTTTTTCCATTTGTTTGTGCCATCTCTGATTTCTTTGAGCAGTGGTTTGTAGTTCTGTTTGTAGAGATCTTTCACTTCCCTAGTTAGCTATATTCCTAGGCATTTTATTCTTTTTGTAACATCTGTGAATGGGAGCTCATTCATGATTTGGCTCTTGACTTTACTGTTGTTGATGTTTAAGAATGCTAGTGATTTTTGAACATTGATTTTGTATCCTGAGATTTTTCTAAAGTTGTTTTATAAACTTAAGAACCTTTTGGGCTGAGATGATGGGGTTTTCTAGATACAGGATGATGTCATCTGCAAACAGGGATAATTTGACTTCCTCTCTTCCTATTTGAATGCCCTTTATTTCTTTCTCTTGCCTGATTGTCCTGCCCAGAACTTCCAATACTATGTTGAATAGGAGTGCTGAGAGAGGACATCCTTGTCTTTTGCCGATTTTCAAGGGGAATGCTTTCAGCTTTTGCCCATTCAGTATGATGTTGGCTGTGGGTTTGTCATAAATGGCTCTTATTTTGAGGTATATTCCTTCAATACCTAGTTTATTGGGAGTTTTAAATGTGAAGCAGCATTGAATTTTAATGAAAGCCTTTTCGGCATGTATTGAGATAATGTGGTTTTTGTCTTTAGTTCTGTTGATGTGATGAATCACATTTATTGATTTCTGTATGTCGTACCAACCTTGTCCTGGGGATGAAGCCTACTTGATGGTGGTGAATAAGCTTTTTGATGTGCTGCTGGATTCATTTTGCCAGTATTTTGTTGAGGATTTTTGTATCGATGTTCATTGAGGATATTGGCCTGAAATTTTCTTTTTTGTTGTTGTATCTCTGCCATATTTTGGTATTGGGATGATGCTGGCCTCATAGAATGAGTTAGGGAGGAATCCCTGCTCCTCAGTGTTTTGGAATAGTTTCAGTAGGAATGGTACTAGCTCTTCTTTGTACATTTGTAGAATTCAGCTGTGAATCTGCCTGGTTTTGAACACCATGCAGAGTTAGAGACAAAGTCACAAGTCAGTCTCCTTTGCTGAAGCCAGAACAGGGCTGTGTGCTAGTCACTGGGGTTGCGCCCAAGTATTCCATTTCACCACCCCCTTCCCGGTATGTGGAAGGTTAAAATTCTCTGCTACCTTGCAGTTGGGTGGTCAGTGACTGGCTTTGGATGATAAAATGTGAGAGGAAGTGGTGTGCGTCTTTTCTAGACAAAAGCACTTAGTAGCCAGAGCAACACTGAAGTGCTACTTTTTACCCAGCTGTGGGGAACACAGAGGCACAGGGGAGATGGGCCCATAATCAGCCTTGGTCCCTGAGTCACTAAGGTAAGCAGAGCCCTCAACACAGGGCATGTAGTGTGAGTGAGAAATAAACCTGTGTGGTTATAAGTCACTGCAACGTGGAGTTTTATTGTCACTGCATCGTAACCCAGCCCATCCTGACTGCTATCATTTGGCTAGCCCAAATATAGGAGAGTTGAAAGAAAATCTGTCAAGCTGCTTGTTTGACACTGTTAAAAATGGTTTCCAGTGAGGCTATTTCTGGATACCGTTGTTTTGTTCACCACACTTGAGCTGGAGCAGTGGGCAGTTTTGTGTCTTTGAGTAGGAAACCAAAAACCAAACCTCTGTCACAGAAAGGGAAAGCCACGCACTGGCTGAAGAACTCCGGACACTTGGGTGAATGTCATTGCTTTTTACTCTGCACATATTGAGTGCCTCTTGTATACAAGGCTCTGTTAGAACCTCAGACTGCTTTGTCAGACATTTTCTGAAAGGAGAGCTGCAAGGATTCTCTTTGAATTCTTACTTGTTCTCTTTGCAGTCAGGCAATCAGTAAGGAGGACATCTAATTAGCAGCTGTTGCATCTTTGTGCAGACAATTTACAAATCTGTTCTCTAAAAGGTGAGAAGTTAATGAAAGTAGAAACATGTGGCTAAACTCTGGAGAGGAAACCCACCCCCATCCCCGCCACCACACACCCACCCACTTCATCATGTTTGCTGGGCAGCTCCATTCCTTCAGTTTGCTGAACTTGGTCAGAAGAAGCCCCTTGCTGCTCACATGACCCCGAGTTTATTTTGATCTCTTTGGATTGAAAACTTATTACTAGTTTAGTGAGCCCTCTCTTCTAGCATGAGCAGGTAATGTGAAAAATCAAAACTGACAGCACATTTAAATCGAACCCCTAACCCAAATTGGGTGTCTGTACATCTCATGGAACAATTTAAATCCCCAGATGAAAAAGCAAGGAGAATTATTGCAATTGCTGCAGCATGTGTATTGAAGGTGGAACCTTCCAACTGCTGACAACCAAATGCCAGGCAAACCAGGTTTAGATTGCAGGGAGGAAATAAAGTCACCATCCATTCAAGAAACCTAGAGAAGCCACAAAATAGAAAGGGAGACCTTCTTAGTTTAGTCCATCACACACCTGTAGCCACTATAGAATTTACTATTCTGAGCAACATCACTAGAGAATTACCTTTTTCTCCTCTTACTGAAAAATACACAGATTTATTCAATGAGTACTTTTCATAAGTCTCCATGAGACTCTTTTTTAGTGGAATAAGAATGAAAAACTCATAAACAAGTGGCCTCTGCTGCCCAGGTGTTTATAGTATACCCTGAGAAAGGGCACCTTTGGCTTGTAGGTTCTTCTCTAGTTGTGTTCTGCCAATGAACAAGAAGTGAAAGGAACTTCTGATTTTTGAATCATAAATATTTCTTTGTGTGGTGGGGGAGTAAAAATGTGGTAAACAAGGGTTTGTCAGAGGCTACTCTGAGAAAGAGGAAAGAATAAAAATGTCCACGTTGGCAGAACTATAAATATTTGCTGTTTCTATTCAAAATCACTCTCTGAACCATGATATCAACATGTTTGGGACAGGAGCCAGTCTGGGTATTAGAAATGAGAATCTTCTTTTTGTTCACGTAAAGAGGTAAGGGAGTACCTGTTAATTTATCAGAATGAAGTATGTGGTTAAGGCACTCAGAGAATTGAGTACACTCAATTTTGAGCAATCTGGTTTCAGAAGGTCGGATTAGGGGAGTCTCGCTTCATGTGCAGAACTTTGGGTATCTTTTAACAAGTGTACCTGAGTTCCTCCAGTGCTGATAAACAAGGCTTTGGGCCTCAGAGGTCTGCAGTGGACGTGGCTTTGCGTTCTCTTGACTTATTATACTACGATGGCAACAACCAGTTCACAGAGGCCTTGGAGCAGCTTAGCAAAGGTGCAACAAGACAGCGTCTTACTCAGCTGTGCATTACACACCTGCTGCCTTTGTTCTGTGCTTTTCCAGTGCTATGGCGCAGGGTGACTGTCAGAGCTGCTTGGCAAATTTTCAGGTGCAACCCAGAGGCTCAAGAATTAGTGCTTTTTAGGGAAACTTTTGGCAGGGGCAGTGGGCAGCCAGGAAATAAAAGCTTTCTCTTCTAACCTCCTAGGTGGACATTTCCAAGTCATGTTTCATAAGGCCCCTCAGAAGGCCCTAGGGGATTGAGCAGCTCAGTTCACAGTGCCCAAGGAGGGCCAACCTGATGGCATGGCTTTGTGTTGCATTCCCCCTTCCCTGTCTCATGACCCCAGTCCCTCACTCCTGCTCTGGGAGTCCTTTTACCAAATAAACCACTTGCACACAAAATTTGTCTCAAGCTCTCTTTGGAGATAACCCTTCCTAAGACACATTCCACTCACAGGCCTCTCCCTCCTTCTGTAGAAGTGTGTCATTTTAGACTAAATTCAGCCTCACTGCTGTTGGGACATTATTAGTGAATATAAAAGATCCCAGTCACTTTTCTATTTCCAAAATGGTTTTAGAACCAGGGGCAGGTGGACTGAAATGATCCCATTAAAATGGTCTATGACCTATTTTTTTCCTTTTGATATAGGAGAGGTTCTTTTAATGTGTGTTTCTAGCCTGCTGTATTTCTCCTTTGTGAGCCTCATTATAAAGCCTTGACCTTTAGGAAAGAAATTAAAGTATACGGCCATTTCATGGTATTCGCCTATTTCATGGTATTCGCCTTCATTCTCTATATGCTTTTTGATCTTTGTGGAGTATAAACAAGTCTGGAGAGAGTGCTGACGAGGCCAGCATTGTGGCCTGGATCCCGCATGGCTGATTAGCCTTGCATGGCACAAAACCATCACATAGCCTGAAATTGCATTTTGAATTCTGATGGAACGTGGTGTAAATGTGTGCTCTTGGTCACCCGCGGTAGCAGATGACAATGCACATTTCACCCACGTTCCTGAACACCAAACGAAAGTGCCTGTGACAGTGACTCGGAAGTGCGGTGTTGCGTGTGATGAGAAGAACACGTTTATGTAACAAACGTTTTTAGCTGGCTGAGCAGGGCTCAGATGAGACTCACGGAAGCAATGCCCTGGGGTGAGGAGCGCAAGGGCAGGAAACCATTGGAATTGTTTATCACTTGAGACAGAGGACTTTGTGAGATGCTGGGCAGAAGCAGAGGACCTTCAAGGCTCAGGTGACCGTGCACGGCACTGGGCTGAGGCGGGGCCAGGCTCTCCACTCTGCAAGACCCAGGATTAGAGGTGTTGCTTCCATGCGAGGGGATGGCATGCTTGCCTCGACACAAGTGTTAATAATAAGTGTGGAGGAGGGCAGGCAGGGAGAGGGATAGGAGTATTGGACTACTGAGCAGCACTTGGTAAACTGAGGTAGGTAAGGGGAGGAGGAAAAGAACAAAGATGTGGTGACTCAAGAGGGTGACCATAGTCAAAATAATTGTACATTTTTAAATAACTAAAATGATATAATTGGATGTCTGTAACATAAAGGATAAATGCTTGAAGGGATAAATACCTCATTTTCCAGGATGTGGTTATTATGCATTGCATGCCTGTATTAAAACATCTCATGTACCCCAAAAATATAGACACCTTTTACCCACAAAACTAAAATTAAATTTTTTTTTAAAAAGATATGGTGACAACAGCACCCACTGGGTAGTCCTCAACACCAATGAGACTCAGCTTTGTCAGCAGATGGGCACACCTTTGATCACCCTGGCTCAGGTGGAGGCTGTTGAGCCAGCAGACATTTGGGCCAACTTTTTCTATTTCACCATAAGGGACTAGGCTGTGGAGGACTCCCTTTCAGATGTTTGTAAGGCTGTTGAGTGGTTTAAAAACTTGGTAATTATGGTGCATTTACTTTGTCACTTTCTCCCTTGCCCCAAATGAGCTGACTCTGCAGCCCTATTTCCAATGATAATGGGTCATCTTGGCGGCTCTGCGAGTTGCTGTTGTCCCTGAGTTTCAGGTAATGCCTGGTGGCGCCCCACGAGGGCTGCAGCTTGCAGAGGCTTCACTAAGAGTAGAATTGGGTCTTCAGGATAAAGTGTGTTTGAACTAAATTTTGTGGTCCAGGAATATGGGGTAGTTTGTTTTTGTTTTTTAGGTGAAAGTCACATAACATAAAATTAACCATTTTAAAGTATACAAGCAGTGGCATTTAATATATTCACAATATTATATGACTCTAATCTCTGTACATTTCTAAAACGTTTTCATCATCCCCAAATGAGACCCCACAGGCCCACAGGAATGGGGTTGTAATGCCTGCCTACATTGATAATGACATTTTTATGAGGGACAAATTTTATAAAGAGCAAGCTGTGTACCACCTTTAAGTTTAATTTTTAAATGATATCGTGTTTTAATTATTTAGAACTGATAGACACAATTTATTTTCAATGCAAAGAACTCGAAAATTTTGAAAATCACATGGGAAAAAACCCAAATACAATGCAAAGAAGACACAGGCCACAGTTTGGACACAATCACTTGAAAATCTTTTGCTAAATGTACATGCTCGTCTCTTTCCACCATGTCAAGGTGGAAAATGTGTCTGAGAATCCCCTGAAAGAATATGGACAAGTGTGAGTTCATCAGTCTCCTACGGGATTGTGCTAAGCCTCTTCCAGCATGTTTGAGGATTACTGGTTAAGCAGCAAGGGTGGTTTAGAATCAGATCAGACCTGAGTTAAAAATCTGAGCCCTGCCACTCACTACTAGAAAAAAAGCACTGCAGTCTTCTCCCTCAATGGAATGGCTCATTTCCCAGCGTGTTGCTAATTTCCAGTTTTGCCCCAAAGATAGTATTTTAAAAACTTTCACACTGAGTTCCTTTCTGTATCAGATGAGTAAATTTTTCTGAGCCTTGGTTTTCTCATCTGTAAATCTGTAATATCTGCTTCATGAAGTTATTATGAAAATTAAATATGAGTAAATAATAACTTTTTAAAAAAGAGGCAAGAACAACAAAGGCAGAGATATAGATGTTTGGGGGCCAGCTTGGTACAGCTGCCAGGCCAGGGCCTTTCTCTGGCATTTCATCCTCAGAGTGAGTTTGATTTAAACTCATGCTTCTACAAATGTAGCAAAACTGCCACATACTAAAGCCAGAATGCCAGACACATACTGCTAGGCACTGCCTTCTCCTGCCAGGGACAGTCTTCCAATTCAATGTGAGATGAGTTTTGGTACCAAGTGATGATGCACCGGCAAAGGTGGAGAAGTCAGGGAGCAGACTGATGGAGGCAGTGGAAGGCCATGTGCTCTGCACGTGACTAGCTCAGTAAACCCAGAGCTTTGGAAGCAGGCCCTTTCCAAGGCTGTTGAGAATATCAGTTCGACAGGCTGCTGGAGGTAGACTTGCTGCTGGAGGGAGGACATCAACGCTCATGCAGCTGAGAGGTGCTCACACGACATGCCCCCTGATACTGGTTTTGTGCAGGAATTGAGGACTCATTGCATCAGCTGTCATCTAGGGATGGAGTGAAGTCTGGAATCCTGTTAGCTTTGCCGGGTGACATGTCCAGCCTCTCCAGTTTGTAATTTGTTCTGCAACTTGTTGAACATCTGTGCATTAAATGCTATTGAAGGTGTTGACATCTGGCAATAAGCCATTCCCCGGGGGCGTCCTGTGCATCTCTCATGTCTCTGGAGACTTCATCCATCCAAAAAAGTATTCCATGGCCAGGTAGGTTTGGGAAACACTGTGTACGACATGACTCTTTTTCTTTTCTTTCTTTCTTTTTTCTTTTTATTTTTTGAGACGGAGTCTTGCTCTGTTGCCAGGCTGGAGTGCAGTGGCACGATCGCAGCTCACTGTGATCTCCACCTCCCGGATTCAAGCGATTCGCTTCCTCAACCTCCCAAGTAGCTGGGAATACAGGCACCTGCCACCATGCCCAGCTAAATTTTTTTCTGTATTTTAGTAGAGATGGGGTTTTACCATGTTGGCCAGCATGGTCTCCAACTCCTGACCTCATTATCTGCCTGCCTCAGCCTCCCAAAGTGCTGGGATTACAGGCATGAGCCACTGCGCCCGGCCAGGGCATGAGTCTTTAAGAGTCCTAGGACAAATTAGCATTTACAACCTCTGAGATGTTCCATAGCAAAGGAAAAAGAAAGAAATAGTGAAAACTGAACTTGCTATTTCTCATGCTCATTTAAACACGAAACCTTTTTGCCATTTAATACTTTTAAACAGCTCCTAAAATCGGTGTTTCCTGCTGGTCCACAGGAAATCTGTCACAATAAGATATAAGGTTTTCAGACTGAGATTCGTAAACAAAACTCCTCAAAAATTGTACTTTGATCCAAATGCAGATTCATATAGTGCCTTCAGAACCTTTGAGATCTGATTCTATTTTTAAAGCTTCTTAGAAGAGAGATTGCAAAGTGGGTTGTTTCTCTAGCCAGACAGGGCAGGTAAATAGGGGTGGCTGGTGGGATGGGAGTTCATTTGCACCCATGTACAAATTGCTGGGGGTCATGGTGAGCTGGAAACCTACAGCCCTCAGCTGCAGCCAGTGGCTGCTGTGCAGTGGGAATATGGGTCAGATCAGTGAGAGCTTTAAGTTTCTTAGAGGACATGGAAACCTGTAATTTTTAAGCAGGGAATTTCACAACTTTAATGTGTTACTTCACATTTTTAAAATACTGTGATGACCCAGCAAAAACAACAACAACAACAAACAGATGTTGAGACCAGCCCCATCTCGTGAGCTACCAGGTTGTGACCTTGCCTGGGATGGGGCTGTGGACTATTTTCAGATTAGTAAGACATAATAAAATGAAAGGATGTGTGAGTCTCTGAGGCAAATGCTGTGCCTGGATAAAGATGTTGGTGACTCATGCCCTCCATAGATTCGTGATGCTTTGCCTTCATCTTTCTTGACTGCGAGTCAGCAGCATTGACTCAGCTGATGACGTCTTCCTCCCCAATACATATTTTTCAATTAGTTTCCAAGCCTGTTCTTTTGCTTTTCTTCCTACCTTCTCCATCTCCTTTGCTGTTCTTCCTCTTTTCCCCAGTATGGGAAGGGTTAGAAAGCTCTAGGGCACAGCCCTTGATCCTGGTTTTCTTTCTTTCTTTTTTTTTTTTAATTTAACTTTTATTTTAAGTTCAGGGATACATGTGTAGGTTCGTTATACAGGTAAACTTGTGTCATGGAAGTTTGTTGTACAGATTATTTTTTTTACCAATGTATTAAGCCTAGTGCCATTAGTACCCATTATTTTTCCTGATCCTCTCCCTCCTCCCACCCTCCACCCTCCAAAAGGCCACAGTATGTGTTATTCCCCTCTGTGTATTCATGTGTTGTCATTACTTTGTTCCCACTTACAAATGAGAACACGCAGTATTTGGTTTTCTGTTCCCACATTAGTTTGCTAAGGATAATGGTCTCCAGCTCCATCCATGTTCCTGCAAAGGACATGATCCCATTCTTTTTGATGGCTGCATAGTACTCCATGACATATATGTACCATATTTTTCTTTATTTAGTCTATCATTGATGGGCATTTAGGTTGATTCCATGTCTTTACTACTGAGAATAGTGCTGCAATGAACATACGCAGATTTACTCATTTCCTCGGCAATCTCACATGGCTTCACAGTGGTAGATGCTATCTATATGGCAAGAGTATACAGATTTATATTCCAGCCCAAATCTCCTTCCTGAGCTCCAGACTAGTATATCCAAGTCACTTGTCATCTCTCGTCTGAGATCTTGAGCCCAAAAGATCCAAAGTAAAACTCCTAATCTCCCGACCCTGCTAAATCTCCATACACAACTTTGCCTATCTTGATTAGGGTCTTGGCACTGGTGATGATGGACAGTGTGGTGAGTTTTGTCACTTCCTTCATATCTTGAATGAAGTGTTCCCTTTCTAAGGAGGTCTACCCTGACAACCCTGTTTTAAATTATACACTCTAGTCTGATATACCTCTTCCTGTGGCACTTATCTTCTAACATACAACATATTCTTCTTTATGTTTATTTTTTCAGCATCTTCCTCCCCACACTGGAATGTAAATACACCAGGGTGGGAATCTCCATCTGTTTTATTCACTGTACCCTTAGATTCAATATCAGGTGCATAGTAGATACTCAATAAATATGTATTGAATGAATGAATGAATGTCAGTTGTCACTTGGTTAAAAAAATTTCAAGAGAAGGTATGCTTAAAGCTGGTCATAAAAGTTTAATGTTCATTGTCCACTAATTGCATTGAACCACAAACCACTGCTGTGTAAACAAAGAATGTCTTCATGATGTTTTTGGTAGATAGAAAACCTACTACAGTAGGGGCAGGTTTGAAGAAATGATACGTAAATATATATATACATACACACTCTTTTTCTGATCAGCAGTTCCACATGTTGTTGCAGAGACCAAATATTCTAATGGACATGACTGTTTAAGCATTCTAGCAGCTTTCTGCTGGGTTTCCAATTTTAAAATTTAAAAGAAGAAAAAAAGCACTGCAGTCTTCTCCTTCAATGGAATAGCTCATTTCCCAGCATGTTGCTAATCTCCAGTTTTGCCCCAAAGATAGTATTTTAAAAACTTTCACACCGAGTTCCTTTGTGTATCAAAGACAAAGTTATTATCAAAATTATTACTCATGTTCTTTGTCATGCAAAAGGCATAAGTAATGTTTTTAATAATGCAAGCCATTAAAAAGTAGATGGGCTGAATTCATTGTGCCTGTTTCTAACCCGCTTTGGGAAAGGATTTTTCTACGCAGAAAGGTGTAACCCCTTGATGCCTGCATGAGTCTTTCCCCCCAGTTTTCAATATAGAGTTGAACATGTTCTTCATTTAGAGACTCAGAGACAAAGCTGCAGCCCTTCAAGTTATTTCCATCAAGAAGAAAAGGGTTTTGAAGGAGATAGGCTCACTGAAAGGAACAACTTTCTTTGGTAACAATGGATTTGGAGGAAAATAAAGCTTGTGGGATTTCTTTAAAGGATAATTCCCTCATTCAAAATGGTTTAGGGTTAGGGCCATTGGACAAGAGATATCTTAGGAGTTAAGATTCCCTTCATGACTGAAACCTTACTATCACTGGCTAGCTAAGAAATAATTGTGGTGTGTGGGGAGCGGATACTTCATATATGTGCCCCTGTTTTCCTAGGCACTTAAGGTCATGAAGTTCCTGCTTGGGTATCACTAAGATTAAAGAATCTATTTCCACTGAGTTCCACAATCTTTTTTAAACATGGTGCTCCGGGTAGCCACCAACAATCAGTTTGAGTTGGTATGTGAAATTATGGTGCAGGATAAAATAAGACATTTTGTAAGAAAGTATTTGTAAAGGATAAATGACAACGTCAGGCAGAGTGGCGCTCATGAAGTCTAGACTCAAGGCCAGATTTCATGTCCCTCTGGTTGCTGCTACTACCTTGGCAGCCTTTCTAAATTCTACAATTCAGGTGCCTGCCCTGGCTTTTGACCAATGCCTGATGGCCCTCTCTGAGGTGTCTTAAACCTTCATGCAGGTTTTTAGAACAAGAGATACGGTCATAAGATCCTCATCTCAGCTCATCACCCTGGTATGTTTTGAGCACCCTGGCTACATACAACAAACATCTTTGTTTCGACTGCCTTAAATTATTTGACATACAAATGTGACATTTTCTGAGTTTCGTTTAGAAGAACCAGGTAGCCTGTAGCTTTAATTCCTTTTACAAATAAGAGTCTTTGTTCTAGTCCAAAAGAGTCCCAACCTATAAGGTCGTATAATGGGAGACAGGAGAGAAGGCCTGGGATTAGAATAGGTCCCCAGAGAGGAGAACATGTCGTAACTTTCTCAAACCCCAAACTTGTGGTGCTTCTCTGCTACTGGAAGAAAGTCGTGTTTCTTTTTCCCTTCTCATTTTCAGAAAAGAAGTGTGAAAGGATCAAAAGAAAGGATTTGCTTAGATGTTAGTGTGGCCTGATTAGGTCGGAATTAGCCTTTTTCTCTTTTCACTGAGAGAAGCAGAGACCATCTGCGGAAATTATTTAAATTCATGCGCCTTCCAGGGAAGCTGTTTTATTTGCCACTGCGTTTATTGTAGCACCGGGGAGCTTGACAGTCATTCCAAACTTTTGCTGCAATAGTACTAGTATTGCCTGTGGCCATTAGATTAACAAAAGGAAAAATTAACTTTCCTCCTGCTGAAAATTAACACTTTAGATTAATTAAAAAGCAAATGCAATCAAAGCCTCTGGATTTTTTCTCCGAAGGTGCATTCTGCAGGGCCTCAGGACTGCGGTGAGTCTCCTTAGCTTATGGGGAGGGAAGACTGGAATGTTTTATCAGGATTAATTTATAATGTAATTTGCTCAATGTGATTAGAATGGAAACCAGTGGGAGTCCAAAGTCTCTATTGCTCCATGGAGAATGGATTGCACTGCCGGTTGTCTTGGAGAAGGAGAAGGAGGGAAATAAGGAAGTACACATGGGCTACTTGAGAGTTCTGGAGCTCAGTCACATCCCAGGTGCCCCACTTCCTGTGTGACCTTGGGCAAGTAATGTAACATCTCAAGAACTCTGTTTCCTCATCAGCAAAATGGGTATACATAATAGAACTCACGCATCACAAAGCCCTTAGCACATAAGGAGCATTCACTCAATGGATGGTGGTCATCATTGTGCCCAGGCACTTAGTGAGATCATCACTGATCATTACAAACATAGATGATGTTGACAGAATTATCCATTACTACTTGGTCTTTGGGTCCAATACACATATTCCAACCCACTTGTTTCAATTATTTGGGAAATGTAGTTTTGTTCGAAGGAAGCTGATTTGACAAATGGCATATCAAAATCTACATATTATGTGATAGTACATTTTCTTCTATACCTTTTGCTTATTCTTTCCTTTGAAGATGCTTCAAAAATCTTCAATGTTTCCTTTTTAAAAAAATATTCTCCCAGCTACAAGTTTGACTCCTCAGGACCCCCTTGCCTGGTGTTTAAACTTCTCACTGTCTCATCCCAAACAGCCTTTGCTGCCTTGTCCCATGGACTGTGAAATACCCTAGCCACACAGAAATTGTTGCCATTTTTCAAACCGGCTGTGGATTTTCATACTCTCTGCTTTGGCTCATAAGATTTCCTCCATCCGTGAAAACTTTTCCGTGTTCTAAATCTGGAAAACTCTCCTATATAGACCTATCTCAAATATCTGTTTCTTTATAAAGTTTTCCCCTGATGTTAATCCGCATTTTGGTTCCATCCTTCTTTGCAGAAACAACTCATCTGTCCTTATACTCTTCATTTTAATTTTGTGTATGATAATAACAATTTAAAGTATAGTCATGCACAGTGTAATGACATTTTGGTATATAATGGACTGCATATATAATGGTGGTCCTATAAGATTATAATGCGATATTTTTACTGTACCTTTTTTATGTTTAGATACACAGACACTTACCATTGTGTTGCAATCACCTACAGTATTTAAATTAACATACTCTACAGATTTGTGACCTAGAAGCAGTGGGCTATACTCCATAGCCTAGGTGTGTAGTAGGCTATATCGTCTAGTTTTGTTTATGTAAATCTATGATATTTGCATAACAAAGTGACCTAATGATGCACTTCTCAATGTATTCCTGTCATTAAGCAATACATCACTGTAGTTATTCATTTATGGGACAAAATTATTTCCTACAATTTCTAGAGCATTACCATGTGCCTGGCATTGTGTGAAGAACAGACTCATCTTATCTCATTTAAGCTTTCCAGTAACTTACCTATGACTTGCCCCATTTGGCGAATGAGGAATCCAAGACTCAGACACTTACCATGGTTCCATAACCAGTATGTAGTAGAGCAGATGCTAGAACATGGGCCAGTTTGTCTTTAAAGTCCATGTTCTCAAACATAGACTATTGTTCCCACCCATTGCCAGGACAGATTCCATTGTGTTATGATTTATGCTCCTGCCGGTCCCTCTTTTTTAAATTGTAAGTCCTCTGAGGTCTAGGACCATGGCTTATTTGCCATTCTATTCCCCAGGCCCAGAAGAGTGCTTGGTACCCACTGAGGACCCAGTACCTGCCAGAAGGACTGGATTCATGCCTGCATGGGCAGGTAGAGACAAACGCTGAGGACAACGGCTCCCAACTTTCAGAACTATGACAGTCCCATAAACGACATCAGTTTGTGTGCCTCCTCTGACAATGACTAATGATTCTCAGTCTCCTTGAGCACATTAAGACACGATTACATTCTGTTAGCTCAGCTCTCCTGCCTTCTAAATTAGAGTGGTGAGCACAGTTTCTCTGCTCCAGTCACGTTTTGCTGCAGCAGATTCCATTCAACCTCCTGACACCAATTTGTGTGCTATTTCAGCATTTAGTACGAAGACAGGAAAATGGTATTCCCGCCTGTGTCCTCCAGGCAGACGGCCTGCTTTAAGGTTTAGCCATGTGATTTGCACTTTCCGCAAGTCTAGTCTACTCGATTGAAATTCTCCTCCCGAAATTCACTCATTAAACTCTCCCATGATCCATCACTATGAAACTGATTATCACAATGTTGTCTTTTACCATTATTAATCTTTGGAGATTGATGCTCTCTGGTGCTTCTGACTGACTTGCATGATTTTGGCTATTAATCTTTATCTCAATCAAATAATTTACTGTTTTAACTTGGAAGGTATTGCTGCTCCTGAGATTGAATCGTATCAGCTTTTATGGCTTCACAGTAAAAGCTATTTTTAAAAATCTCACAAACGTTTGGGTTTGCAAACAAAGTCTACTTCCAAAAATTTCTGAACACTGTTATTTCCCTGAGCCCATTCCAAACACTATAGTCTCTCCCCGTTTTTGTCCTTTCTCCACCTTCATGGGGACAATTAAATGTGGTACCTGAAAAGTGACCTTCAGATGTCAAATTCCTGGAATATGACAGTGGCAGCCATTGGAGTGCTCTTTGCAGACCTCCTACTGTAAGTGTCATAACTGACTGAAGGTCCCAGCCACTGCAACTTGGAATCCATCATGGGTTTGCAACAGGACCACACCTTCTACCAACTACTCCTTGCAAATAACTGAGAGTGTCACAGTTATCCTGAGTCTAAAAGTTATTTTAAGTCTAAGGCAGACCCATTCCTGGAAGATAAGAGACATATTTGTCCATGAATTTTGGTTCTCTCCCATGCCTGGTGACAAAGGTACACACCCTACCTTCTCTCCTCTCTGGCTCACTTGGGGTCAGATTTCAGCATGAACTGATTGCTCTCCCTAGTCTACCCCAGCTTCCTCCCAATGATCCAGACTAACACGACTCCTTTCCCATCTTTGACCAGATCAAGACCTGACTGCACATGGAGAATTTAACTTTAAAGGGAAATGGTATTGGGGAGGTGGGAGAAATAGGCAAATCAAAAATCAGTATTCTCTGAAGAAGAAAATGGAACCAGTGAAATTACTAATGGAATGAAATGGAAATAATTTCTAAGAGCATGTGGCGTTTGTTATTTTATTAAGCCCACTTAGTTTAAGGTTTAATATGTTCATTAGAATGTATTCATATACTTCTCAAATAGTTGGGAATCAAGGCAGGGAAAAGACATGACAAATACACTAAAACAGGGAGGGTGTGAAGATGTACTCTGCATTATTCTGCAGATAATCATGTGTTTTGGATTCTGTATCTCAAAAGTAGGTTTTTAAAAGTTAAGATATATAAACTATTTACAGGCTTGTGTGATAATAATAGAGATATAACGAGAAGGAGATGATGTTCATTAAGAAGACTGAGTTTCAAGAGACAGAACTAACTCCAATTCATGATAATTTTAGACAATGAATTGCAAGGAGAGCTGATATTTACTTTTTCTCCCCCAACTTTCTTTTGGGGGTTTAGGGGCTGGGCAATAACAATTTCAGTAAATTGACTGCACTGTAATAGGTACATACAAATGCGTGTTGTCAAAACTTGTCTAGTTTTCAAACTAAAACAATTATTACTGAAAATGTGAGTGTTTGAAAACAAAGTACTAACAGACTAATATTATTCACAGTGATGACTTAGATATATAAATCTTCAAATTTACACACAATGCTTTCACACAGTTGTCACATTTACCCTTCTCTGTGTGATCTATCTCTCTAAAGAATGCCTCAAAGTAGAAAAAGTGAAATCAGCTCCCCATTTTATGGATGAAAAAATTGAGACTCAGAGTAGTAACTCACCCAAGAGCAAATGGCTGACAGGTGGTGCTAAAACCATCTGGAACTCCATGGCTGTGGCTGTTACTTCTCTTGCTGTTCTTGCTATGACCTTCTTAGGACCAAGTGTGGCAGGCACACATCATAGATTCAGACAGACCTTGAATGTGTGATCTGGGGAAACTGAGGACTTGCTGAGCTTTCGTCTCCTTGCCTTTCCTATCTTTTCCTGAGGTACAGTGTGTGGGAGCACAGATGACAGGATCCCAGGAGACCCAAATGAGAGAAGGAGACGATTTTGTTTTGGTGGTAAAGCAGTAACACATTGATTTCAAATATTTATCCCAAATTCCTTCCCAATGAGTAGACTGTCTTTGTGGTTTATTAAGGGGGAACAAACATCCCTAGTAAACATGAATTCAGCAAATATTTATGAAGCAACTTCTCCATGATAAGCATGGGGCTAAATGTTGTGGATAAATACATAAGAGGCTGCCAGTATCTTTGGAGCTCATAGTGAGATAAGACATTTCTCAAGCCGTCTTCCTCAATCACCTGGGGAGCAAGTGAAAAGCACAGATTCATGGAACGCATCCCGGTCTGACTGAATCAGAATCACTGAGGGTGTTGGTGGGAGTGGGAGGGGGCAGAAATGTATATATTGAAAACACAGACCAGCTGATTTGCTCCAATCACATCCACACAGATCAAAACTACCATACTGTTCTATTTCCCCTATTTAGATGACTTGCATTAATTACATAAACTGATTATTTGGGGATGCATGGCTGTGACCTGACAGTAGGGAAGAAACTCAACATGGAAAGAAGTCACAATGTATAGTTCCTTACATGCAAGTGTGAGTTTTATCTTCTTCCTCCTGCAGTGCCTGTCAGAAGACTGGCTGAGTGAAAGGTTGCTCTGACAGAGGCTAGCCTGGGAGGAGGAAAACTTGAAACCTTATCTCAAATCAGCTAATAATTCACCCTGCTCTCTGGTTCATCTTGTTGAGAGGTGAAGCCAGCTGGACTTCCTATGTTGAGTGGGGACCTGGAGAACTTTTCTATCTAGCTAGAGGATTGTAAATGCACCAACGAGCACTCTGTGTCTAGCTAAAGATTTGTAAACACACCAGTCAGCACTCTGTAAAAACGCACCAATCAGTGCTGTCTGTCTAGCTAAAGGTTTGCAAACGCACCAATCAGCACTCTGTGTCTAGCTAAAGGTTTGTAAATGCACCAATCAGCACTCTGTAAAAACGCACCAATCAGCACTCTGTAAAATGGACAGATCAGCATTCTGTAAGATGGACCAATCAGCAGGATCTGGGCGGGGCCAAATAAGGGAATAAAATCTGGCCACCTGAGCCAGCAGTGGCAACCTTCTGAGGTCCCCTTCCACGCTGTGGAAGCTTTGTTCTTTTGCTCTTCACAATAAATCTTACTGCTGCTCACTCTATGGGTCCGCACTACCTTTATGAGCTATAACACTCGCTGTGGAGGTCTGTGGCTTCACTCCTGAAGTCAGTGAGACCACGAACCCACGGGGAGGAACAAACAACTCCAGACGCGCCACCTTTAAGAGCTGTAACACTCACTGCGAAGGTCTCCGGCTTCACTCCTGAAGTCAACAAGACCACGAACACACCGGAAGAAAGAAACTCAGGACACATCTGAACATCTGAAGGATCAAACTCTGGACACACCATCTTTAAGAGCTGTAACGCTCACTGCGAAGGTCCAGGGCTTCATTCTTGAAGTCACCAAGACCAAGAACCCACCGGAAGGAATAAATTCCGGACACATTGTGATTTGTACAGCTAGGAAGGATGGGCTGGGTGAGTGCAATATGCCCTTCCTGTGAACATGCAGAACCCAGCGAACAACTTGTAGCACTGGAAGTTGAAGGTTGGTGGTGACGAGTAGTTGAGTAGTGTTTCATGTCTAGAAAGCCAAACCTCACAGAATGATCTCAGAAAGATAAAAATGAGTAAAATTGAAGATACTCTCCTATTGGCCAGTTAAATATATAGAAAGAGAATTTAAGAAAGAGCATAATCCAAGTTGTCTCCCAGGAAGTGTGGATTTCATGGAATTCTCTGTTAATTCAAGCATATTTATGGAGTATCTGTTCCATGTTTATGTCAGGCGCTGTGCCAGGTGCCAGCACTGTTTGGGGATGGACCCTATTAGCATAATTCTGCAGATGAGCCCAGATTACTCATTACCTAACACCCTGGTGTTCTCTCCTCCTTCCTGGGAAAGCAGAAAGAGAAGGTTGGACTATGCAGAGTGGTGGCGGCGGAGCATCAGTTGAGCTCTTCTCTGCATGAAGCCCGCACCTTCAAAGGTAGAACTCACTTCCCATCAGAGAAGCCACGTGTATATGGATTCAAACTAAAAGCTTTCTATCATATTGCCTTTTAACATTTCTTGCGGCTTTTAGAAAGGGGAGAGAGAATCGGATTGGGTGACAACACTTCTAATGGAGTCTTTACTTTTGGTGGTTTCTGAAGGAAAAAATCATTGTACATGCTCGCTATGAAATGCTTTCTGTCTTGGAATGTCAGTTGGCTTTTTTTTTAGTCACAGAGACTCATTTACAGCACTGTGATCCCGGGCTCTGGAGCAGGTGGACCGAGGGTTCCAAGATCATTTGGCATGGCCTCTGCCGTGTGCTGAAATTTAGGAGGGATGGTTCCCAGGCAACACCGTACTACAGAAGAGTCCCACAGTGGTTCTAACTCTAAGTGGGCTAGCATATGACCAAATAACTAACCAGTCTCTTATTGCTGGGTTGATTCTCTGTCCAGCTGTCCAGAACCCTCTTGCTACCCCCACCTCCACTGAGTCTCTGGGAGAGTTTGATCAACTTTGCCTTGTTTCCAAGTTCTCTTTCGCAGTGAACATCAAACACATTTATCAACACTAATTACAAAGTTATTTCTGACCCCCCGAAGAAAAGCTTAGAAAATACAAGAAAGCACAAAGAAGAAGAAAAGCACTATTCCTCCTTTCATTTTTCTATAACAAATATTTTCCATATGATTTTTTTTTCTTTTTTTCTGAATCAGGGATCTTATTGCACACACTGTGCTGTAATTACTTTTCACTCAACAGTATATCTGGAACATTTTCCCCACCTTTATATCTTTTACAACAGGAGTTTTAGAGCTGCACGTTATTCTATTGTATTGATGTGCCTTATCCTATAGAACCATGCCCTTTTGTTAGAAGTTTAGAGAGCTTTTTTCCCCTTCTAACATTTGTCTATTATATAGAGACTATCCTTTCATTCAATTCTTTTTGCACATCTGTGATTTTTTCCCCCAGGATAAAATTTTCAAAGTGGAATTGCTGGGTTAATCAGGCCTTTTAAAGTTTTATGGGCTTGAATCATCGACAATTGTTTGAGGATACCATTGGATTAAACCCTGTGCACTGCAGATGGAGGAGGTGATGGATTCTAATCTTTAGTGATTTGTTAGGTCAAAATGGTGTCTAATTGTTACAAAAGTTTCATTGTTTTGATAGGTAGGGATTTTCAAGTGTTTTACTCTTAGGCTCACTGAATTTTTGTGTGTTTCCCCTTATTATTTTTATTGATTACTGTTGTTTTTTTGTATTGTCCATTGTAATTAAAGTATCTTTTCATTTTAAACTCTTAATTCACACAGTAAATTGTTCACAGGCTTTTTGTCTGACTTTGGTATTTAACAATAAGGTTTTCATTTCATTTTTATGATGCCAAATATTTTAAAAATCTTTTCCAGAATCTCTTTCTTTTTGATTCTTTCATCCTAAGAGTGAGTAAATATGCTCCTATACTCTTTTAGTTCTTTTAAGATCTAATTTATTAAAACCTGTTAATTCCCCTAAAACTTATTTGGATATATAAGAAACTTATATATATAAAACTTATTTGTCAGGAGGGATCTAAGGGCCATTTATGAAATTTCTTTTTCACTGATTTACATGCCTCCTTTGTCTATATTATGTACATATTTTAAGATTTAATTCATTTTCTATTTTTTTCTGCCTACCTACTTTTAGGTCAATGCAATCGTTTTAGTTACTATGACTTTTAAATAGTTCATATTCCCTTGGGTTTTTTTTCTTTTGATTTTGAGAGTATTTCTTAATTTCTACCTTTATTTCTGCTTTTTAATGTGTGACTTCTCTCCTCCGATTATATAGGTGAATGATTTTTATAAATGTTCCCAGAGTGCTTAAGCCTTCATTCCCAGCTGATTCACCCTCATATTGTCCTAACTCACACCATGTAAGGCTTCTGTTTCAGGACAGGGGCCTCTACTAAGTGCCAGTTAATACATATTAATGTGAAACATGAATAATTGTTAATTATCATTTCTCTTACACTATTTTTAAAAAAATCCTCTCCATTCTTACTATATTTCTAGCCTTCTCTCTCTTCCTAATTGTACCATGTTTGTCTCTCCACCTATACAGTTAAATATCCCAGACTCTTGAAGGAGATATACTTTCCCAAGTTGGATTATATTTCTTTTTTCATCCTATGGGAATTGGAAAGTACCCATGTGTTCTCAAACTTTCTCTAAAGACCCAAAAGATATAAATCTGAGCAGTAATCTCAAGCTATAATTTGCCATGCAGTTCCATTTGATCTCAGCAGAGAGAAACAAATACTGTTCTCCTAGGTCCACTTCCCTGATGAGTGTCTCGGTGATCTATGCTAGAAACCACCATCTCCTTGACTATAGGGGTTACGTACAAAGAAAATGTATTTCTTTCCAGCTTCCCTCCACAAGTTGAAAGACAGATTTTACATTAGAATATAATGTAACACTGTTGGGGGCCTACAATAAATTAAAAAGTTAGCAAATAGGATTTGCAAGTAAGTTTTCCATCCCTTTAGTTTCACATTTCCCCCGACACTCGACTTTTCAGTGTCCCAGAGTGTCTATCACTGTTGGGTTTCTCTTAGATGCTGTGAGTTAATGCAGAAATGATCTAAGAAGCAATGTGGCATCGTGGTTAACAGCAGGGGTTGGTAAGTTGGTTCTGTAAAAGGCAGATAATAAACGTTTTTTGCTTTACGAGTGATACTCCCTGTTGCAACTACCCAACTGTCATTGTAGTGAAAAATAATCATGCACAATATGTAAATAAATAAGTATGGCTGTGTTTCTACAGAACTTTTTACTGAAATGGGTGAGGAGCTGCATTTGGCTCATGGGATGTAGTTTGCTGCTCCCCAATTAACATTGCAGGTTTTGCGGCCAGCTTGCATGTTCTGGCTCTGTTCCTCACTTTCTAGGTCCACAATGTTAGGTAAGTTTCTTAGCCTCCCTGTGCCACAGCACTACATCCAGAGTGAGGATAATTATAGAATTTACTGTAAAGGGTCGTTATGAGGCTTGAATGAATTCATGCAAATAAACCCCTTAGAATTTATGTGCCGGGAACATCATAAGCCCTAAACTAAGTGTTTAATGTTGTTTTCACTAGGGACCAGTATACTTCATAGATCACAGATAAATTTGTCAGGAGAAGAACATTTTAAGCTAGTTTTAAATACGTTATTAATAAACCCTTCCTTTTCTCTTAATTTCTATTGTTTAGACCTTGGATCCACTCCCAGCCCTCCCAGCATCACATCTTAAAATGTGAATGAAAAAGTCTAACTGCTGCTTGCTGGTGTTTTATTTCCCAAAGAGAAAATCACAGAGGCAACAGCAGTCTTCCCGGGGTACTTTATAACACAGAAAACAAGGTCTGCTTTGTTATGGCTACAGAGAAGCTCATCCCATACATTTCTTTTCACATGGTTTGCCAGTCCAGATCTATTTACTCCATGGCTTCCTGGCTAATTATTTCCAGCATGGCACTGATTGAGCTGTTAATAAAGTGTGAAGGTGCCTTGCAGATATATTCTCAGCCTTAAAGAAGCGGATCTGTGTTGCAAACTGCAAACTGCTGTGTCCTCCGATCCCCCCAATATTCTGGTGATAGCATCTCCAATTGTAAAATTAATCAAACCTTTCTCAGTGACAGAAATGTTAATTTAAAATTTTTGTCACAATTACCGAGAGTGTTATTGCAGCTTCTGACTTGTAATTAATTTCTTCTTCCTTCTCTCCATCACTGGGTTAGACTCCTTTGTAATAGTGATAAATGAAATAGCTGCCTGACCTTTTTTTTATTTAAAATAAATTACTTTACAAGAAAAAAATTAACTTCAGGTAATCAACACCTTCAGATAAACAGGGGAACATGGGACGTAAGGTACTTTATTGTTTCTCTCTCTCTTTCTCCCTTTTTAATTTGTGTGTCTTCAGTGATTGAAATGACAAATGGTGAAAGGGTGAAGTGAGTCTACTTTTATGGCCGTGTTCCTGTGTGGAACTAATTTAGGTTGTGGTGTTGGTTTTTATGAGAACTGGGGAACACTAACAAAATCAGAGTATGATACTAAGGAAAAATTGTAAATTAGAATTAAAGATCACCTCAAGGGGGAAAGAGGAAGCAAAATGTTGTCTTTACTTGAGCAATAACTGGAAAGTTTAGCTCAGTATGAACCTGTCCCTTGCTATTCCAAGTGTGGGCTGCAGACCAGCCACATTGGTAATATCTGGGAACTTGCTAGAAATGCAGAATCTCAGGCCCTGTCACCCTAGTTGCACTAAATCAAATGAGACCCCCGTGCAATTTATATACGTACTGGAGGTTGGAAAACACCATGGGCCCAGATTTAGAGTTGGAATGTCTGTGGAGGCAGTTACAAGTGAGGCTTGTCAACAAATAGCAAAGCTTATGGCATACCACCACTGTGCGAAGAGTAAGAGAACCACTGTGCATATTTGAAATTAAGAACATGCACAAGGGATGAAAAAGGATACTTAGAAATAGGAATTGCTTTTCTAGTCCCCCTGCAAGAGGGCCAGATTTGGTACAACTATCAGAATTGTCAGCTTTTGAAGGGCAGGAACTGTTCAGCTGTATCACAGTAGGAGGTCACCAAACATCTGACTGAGTTTGCAGAAAGAGTAATGGAATCGACTAGACCCCATGGTAAAAATCCAAAGCAGTTGGTTGAAAGATGTAAAATGCTTTCGTAGCGCAAGTGGGTTTGTTTGTTTAGCTAGAGTAATTGTGGTAGAATGAATGAGGATTTCCTGCTTCTTGAAATTGAATGATGGGGAATGAAAGAACATTTCCTGGCTGAGGTGCTAGAGACTAAGAACGACATGTAGGTGTAGAAACATTTATTGTGGACCTATGACAGTGATATGGCCTCCACCCTGGAGCAACTCATAGAGTCTGAGACATGGTAGGGCAACAGACTTAGTTTCTTTCTGGGACTCACTTTATCACTTCCTTTGGAATACATGGCTTTTCTCATTAATCATTTGGAATACATGACATTTAAGCTAAATATAGAGCTTAAATATTGGATTAATAATTAATATTTAGCTTAAATGTTTACCTCCAGATCTCAGCAGAAGTAAAGCTAATGAAGAGTAGTGCAATCCTGGGCCACATTCACATAAATTTGGACAGATTGGGACTTCATGACATTACTAGAAGTGTGCTTATTTGTCATGTTGCTATTAATAATCAAAGCAGTTAAAAATGCTGGCTTTTAAAACCCCATCCTCAGCAGAGTTTTGTGAATAAGGATTACATGTGCAATGTTTTTCTAGGGGAAGCAAGACTGGCTTGGGATCTTTGTTGTGAAACCCTCTGTCAAAATTAATTAAGTGAATCGTGTAATTAAAATTTATGCATCTAGATGGCCCCCAATGGCTTGTTTCTTAATATGGGATTAGTTCTGAAACATCTGAAATAGCAACAAAAAGACTAAATGGCATTTTTTGAGATAAAACTTAAAGCAGCTAAAAAACATTTGATTTAAGTGTATCTTAATGGCAGTTTTGGTTAGTATGGGATACTTCCCTCCTTTCAACTTTTATCGTATTAGGTGTAAATCCTCAGATTGGGGGCTCTAGAGACAACCTGGTATTATTTTAAAAACTAGGCCACATCACAAACAAACTTATTACAGGTGGCGAAGCTGGCAGGAGATAATTACCAGCCCCTGGGTTCACACGGAGGCACTCGCCGGCAGATTGGGTTCCTCTGGCCCTTGATAAACAGAGTTATCACTAAAATACACATGCTGGTGAATATATTATTTCATTCACCAAATAGAGATTTCAAATGACTTTGTAACACGCCAAATTAGGTTAATTATCTTATAAGAGTGTTTTGGAAAAACTCTAAATGTGCTGTAATGAGGCTGCAGAGGCCTTGGTATAAGCCGGCCTTTAAAAAACTATTTATTTAAAACTTATGTTTTGCTCCTGCCTTCTTTATTTCTCCTTGCCTTGAAGGGCTCCCAGAGAGTGTTCCTTGTGGCAACTTTTTTTCCTCCAGCCCAGTGCCGCTTTCACAGAGACCAAGACCCTATCAGAGTTTTACCCCTCCTACCTCACCCGTGGTAACCCACCACGTGTCCTGGGAGCTGTTCTAAGCCAGGACTCAAGCATTTCGGGTTCTTGAGAATTGCCACCCATTTGTCATCTTGATGTTTTGATAAAGACATCTCTGTTCAGCAGGGAGCCTCATAAGGGCAGAAGTGTTATCGGTGGAGGGTCTTGACTACGTACTGTCCAAGTCCTTGGCGTTTTGAACAAAGAATTGAACAAAACGCACAACGTAGCGGAGAAATGAAAAGGAGGAACAAAGCAGAGAAAGCAGGAATTTATGAAAGCGAGAAAGCACTCCACAGGGTGGGAGTGGGCCCCAGCAAGCGGCTCGAGGGCCCAAAGTTTTCTGGGCTTTAAGTACCCCATTTGAAGTTCTTATCAGCTACCCGTTATCTGGATGAAGGATTTGGCCTGTGGCTAATTAAAGGCTGAAGTGAATTGGTGCCCTATGCAAATGAAGGGCTGGTCCCTGCTTGGCCCTGCCAATCCAAGGCACTCTCCCTTTCCATCCGAGCCATGGTAGAGTGAGAGGGCTGTAAGGAAAGTAGCCTTTGATCCTTTGCTACTCCGCTGGGGAGATGGGGTTTTTCCTTTAGGTTCAGCTTTACAAGGTGTTAATAGGCCTTAGGTTTCCTGCCCCCAGACCCAGATGTTGTCCTTTTGATCCAGCTTTGGGAAGTCAGTAGAACTTGGCCTTAGATTCTCTGCCCCCAGACCTTGGTGTTTTCTCTTTTAGGAAGTCAGCACAAATTGGCCTTAAGTTCTCTGTCTCCAGACCCTATTCTCCTGCCTCAGGAGCTGGGTTGTGTTTATCAGAGAATCCTAGCATGGGGTGCAGGCTTGGGAAACAGGCTGCAATAATACCTGTCCAATGAATGAATGGAAGATGATGAAATCTATCCTGTCACCAGAATGTAGTTGGCACTCAGAGCTGGTGGAATGAGTGAACTCTGAGACTTCTCAGCTTAGAATTCCCTGACTCTCCTTTCTACAGGATAGAGACAGAACTTTCTCATATCACCTTCAAGGTCTTCCTGGGCCCCTTTCATGTCACTTCCCACCTTATATTCTCAAGTTTAACCACATTGAGATTTTCAGGACCTTGAAAGCATCCAGTCTCTTTGCCGTTAGAGTTCCAATACACTTTTTCCTTTACTTGGAATAAGTACCTAACTTCCATCACTACCCTTTACATTCTGTTGCTGGTTAATGCCTCCCTTCACAATTTGCTTTGATATTACTTCTCTGGGAAGCCCCTCTGAGCTCCCAAGACTGATTCAGGCATCCATTTTTTTCTATAACATCTCATACCTGCTCTGCACCCCCAAATTACTTGATACTTTCATCTCAAAAACTGTGAAATCATTTAGGACAGACATTGCACCTGTCTCGTTTACTGTTTGATTCCCAGCCCCTAGCAGAGTATCCCGCACACAGCAGGCACTCAATTTGTGTTGAAAGAATAAGTCACCCCTGCTTGGTTGTAAGATAAGCAGATTGTCATCAACACAGAGAACAAGGCTTCAGATTTAATGACCTCATTAACAGTGGAAGATTAATGCTGGAAGAACCCTCCTGAAAAAGGGTTGAGATATGTATGAATTGGAGATCCTGCCATTGCGGCAGCTGAGAAACATCTTTGTCCTGTGGGAGCAGCACTATGTCCTGAGGAGCGGCTTCCTGGAGGACTTGCTATTGGGTATGTCAGGGCCCCAGGCTTTTTGAGTTATACAGAACTCTAGTACCTGAAGGGCCAGGGTTCTTTGAAGTCTGCAAAGTCTTGGAATTAAATGAGAAATGATGTGTGTGAGTGGCAGAGGTTGCCCATCCATCTCCAAGTATCTCCCCACCCTTCCTCTCCCATTCCCCAAGAAATAGAATTTCAGTTTTGCCTGCTTACCTCCCTTTTTTTTTTTTTTTTTTTGAGATAGAGTCTTCCTGTGTCGCCCAGTCTGGAGTGCAGTGGTGCGATCTAGGCTCACTGCAACTTCTGCCTCCTGGGTTCAAGCAATTCTCGTGCCTCAGCCTCCTGAGTAGGTGTGATTACAGGTGCACACCACCACAGCCAGCTAATTTTTGCATTTTTAGTAGAGACAGGGTTTCACCATTTGGCCAGGCTGGTCTTGAATGCCTGGCCTCAAGAAATCTGCCCTGCCTCAACCTCCCAAAGTGTCTCCTCATTTTTATATAGAAAAAGGTACAAGGAATTGCCTAAATTCCTCTGTTGGTGAGGGATTCTGAATGCTTTAGTCTTAGAGATCTTAGAGTATATAGAATATTTCATTTTACCCATTGGCTTTACTACTGGAAAATCCTTTGCTGGATACATGTGAGAACTTATTTCAATCAGTATATCCAGGAACATCTCTAAGTTTGTAGAGTTGCCTGGAAAATAAGAAAATGTAGCAATTGCTGGCATTTTCTGGGCATTTCTTATGTTGTAAATACATCTGCATTCAGCAGGGAGCCTCATGAGGGCAGAAGCAAGGTCTTGTTCATCAGAGAATTGTAGCACAGGACACATGCTTGGGAAGCAGGCTCCAATAGTACGTGTCCAATGAATGAATGGAAGATGGTGAAGTCCATCCTGTCACCAGAATTGACTCGGCACTCAGAGCTGATGATTTTAGGGATATCTGGAGGTTTTAGGGATATCTCATTTTAATACACATGGCAGCCTACTATTATTGTCTCCATTACCAATGAGGAAATCGAGGCCCCAAGAAGAGACTTACCCAATGGTAAGTCTCTTGTCTCTTACGAGAGCATGCAGCCTGTAAGAGACAAAGTCAATATTTGAACTGCCTTTCTTTCTTTTCTTTTCTTTCTTTTTTTTTTCGAGATGGATTATCACTGTGTCGCTAGGCTGGAGTGCAGTGGTGTGATCTCGGCTCACTGCAACCTCTGCCTCCCGGGTTCAAGCAATTCTCCTGCCTCAGCCTCCTGAGTAGCTGGGACTACAGGCACTCCACCACACCTGACTAATTTTTGTATTTTTAGTAGAGACAGGGTTTCATCATGTTGGCCAGGATGGTCTCGATCCGTTGACCTCGTGATCCACCTTCCTCAGCCTCCCAAAGTGCTGGGATTACAGGTGTAAGCCATCGTGCCCGGCCTCTGAACTCACTTTTTTTCTAGAGCCCATGTTGTTATTCTGTGTATATGGTAGGTGCTCTTGCTGGCCTCATTTCACAGATGAGAAAAGCAAGGGTCAGAGAAATTAACTAACTTACTGAAGGTCAACCAGTCCTCATGGTTAGCAGAAACAAGCTTAAAACCACCTCTGATTCCCATGAGTGCTGGTGACCACCAGACTGTTTTGCTTCCTGGCAGTGTTCTGCGTCTGGTAGCTTCTGGTTCAGAACCAATTCCTTAGAAAACCTGCTGGGGTATCTATTGATAACTTCCTGCTTTATCTACACAAGTGCTATAACATGGAATGACTCCTGTCTGGGAGCTGCTTTTGTTCACCATTCTCCACAAAGCAGCCAAACTGTATTTACTTCCCAGTCCCACTGCATCTGTGACCAATGTCACTCCCAGACGGCATACTGATGGCAGTAGCTTTTGTAAATTGTCCTGAGAGAAGCTAGTGTGGTCTGAACCATCCCCAGGTGTGAATGTTGGTGGAATCATTCCTGGAGCCCCTGGAGGTATTTTGCCATAAACCTCTGAACATAGAACTGAACTTCATTCTTCACTGTGCACAATGAAGAAGCACAATGCCCTAAAGCTGTAGAGTGAGCTATGACACTGGACCAAAGGATCTTTCAACATGTATTTTAATGATGTAGAGTTTAAAGTTTTCCTTCTTACGGCAGGATCTGCTCTCCAAATCACTGATCTTGTAGGCCAAAAGTGGATGTGGTTCAACTGGACTTGGTATGTCTCAAACCATTAGCCATCACTGTGGAGTATTTCTGTCCCTTGCTGGCCTTCTTGACAAGACTTTTTGTTTGTTTATTTGAGTGTTAAGTAACATTACTGGAATGTTTGACTAGTTATTCAGGTAGACAAATGAACAGTATTTCTGAGCGCTAAACAGGATGAAAAAAGTTTCCAAACACTGGAGAAAACTATTGAAAATTTCAAGGTTTTGGGCTTGAAAAAGTGTGATTAACTTCATGAAAACAGAAATCCTACAGGTAATACAATTTTCTAAGTACAATAGAATTTATCAATTAAAGTGGAACCAATAAGTAATGTTTAACCACATGCAAATTTCTTATAAGATCATTTAAGATAACTACTAAAGTAAGTAGGAGCTCCAAACTGAGATTACTTTTACAGAGTCAGAGAATTGCTAAGGAGGAAACATTGTGACTGAAGCCAAGGGACCTAAATTCACACAATTAATTATTCCAGTACTATCTTCATGTTACAGGAAAACAGTAATTCTGGACATATGCAAGTATTATTCATTAAAATAGAGAACTATGACTCAATATGTATAGAATATAAACACATTTTCTAGTGTTGAAAAATATTTATAGTCTACAAATGATGTTATATGGTATATATTGGTGGTGTTCTAAATGAAGAAAATTGGAATTTCTTTTTTAATTTTTTAAATTTTCTGAATATGTAATAGTTGTACAGATTTATGGGGTACATGTGATATTTTGATGCAAACACATGATGTGTACTGATCCAGTCAGGGCAATCAGAATACACATCACTCTAATCATCCATCATCAATCCAAGTTGGGAATGTTCCAAGTATACTTCTCCAGTGATTCTGAAATATACAACAAATTAATGTTAACTATAGTCATACTATTGTGCCATGACATACTGTTCTGACACAAAATATTTATGTGAAATATTGTACTCATATATGTAAAAAGCACATAGTTCCAAACACCATTTAATACAGACAAAAATCCTCAAAAGTTACAAGAATCCTGAAAATGTCCGATAGAGCTGATAGAAAAATATGGAAACCTCCCAGGACCAGAAGTAAACTAAAAGAAGTATCAATAGGAGAAATCAGAGAAGCCAGTGCCCGCTTTGGGTACTGGTTGATCACAAGGAACTCAAAACAGTGGATTTTCCAGTTTGCCCCCAGCAGCAGGACAGTCTGCGTGGCCTTTTTCTCTTGGGAGATTCTTGGGGAGAGCTGGTCCTGTGAAGGTGCTGGGATCACTTCTGATGCCTAATTCTTGGGAAACAGCAAAGTAGGAACAGTGAGTTCCAAACTTTCCCATGAGGGAGCTCATTTTCTTGTATAATGATGCCTAGGTGGGTCAGCTGGCCTTAGACCTGGACATTTCCGTCATGCTCACTGTAGAGGGGCTGGAAGAACACTGCTGGAGGCCATTCTGAAAGAAGGTTCTCTCCATCCTGTCTGAGATTCTGGGAGAGGATGGAGAAGCACGTGGACCTGGGACAGTTCTCCATGAAAGGATGAACCTGCTCTTGTACCTCAGACAGACCTGCAAAGCCACCCTACCTGTGCTGTCATGCTCAGCAGCTCACCTCCATGTTCTGGAATTCCAAGCAGGTACTCTGAACATCCTTCAGGTAATAGCAGAACCCAGAATGAAGAGAAGGAAAGCTGGCCTTGGAGAAAAGAAAATCTTGACATGACTTTTGTGCCTGCATGGTATCGATGGTATTGCTAGTTTTCATTTAATTACTGTTCACTGCAAGTCAACAATGTGTCAGGCACGGAGGACATAGCTAAGACTCTTACCCTGAGGGAGTCAGACAATGCACAGAGAAAAGCACAATCAAATGCACAAGTCCCCTCTTATCCTCCATTTCCCTTTCTGCAGCTTCACTTACCTGCAATCAATGGCAGTCCAAAAATACTGTGTTGAAAACTCCAGAAATAAACAATTTATAGGTTTTAAATTGTGTGCCATTCTGAGTAGTGTGATCAAATATTGTGCCATCCCACTCTGTCCTACCTGGAACATAAATCATACCTCTGTCCAGCATCTCCACACTGTCTATGCTACCTGCCTGTTGGTCACTTTGTACCATCTTGGTTATCAGATTGAATGTCCTGCTTTCACAGCACGTATGTTCAAGTAACCCTCATTTGACTTCATAATGGATCCAAAGCACAAGAGTACTGTGTCTAATTTATAGATTAAACGTTAGGTGTGTATGTATAGGAAAAGACATAGTGTGTATTGGGTATGGTACTGTCTGAGGTTTCAGGCATCTGCTTAGGGGTCTTGGAATGTATTCCCTGAGGAGCGGGGACAATTGTACCAGGCTTTGCACTGAGCTAAGTGCTGTGAAGGACAAAGGCGAGAAGTAGTGATAAAATGGGGAAAACTAATTACCAAGGATCATTAGAAATGGACTCTTTGAAGGGATTATATTTATGCAAAACCTGAGAGATGAAAGAAACCCAAGGGAGGCAGTTGTTCCAGGCAGAGGAAACAACATATACAAAGACCTAGAGGTGAGAAAAAGCTTGGCATGTTCTAGAAACTGATCACAGAACACAGTGGCTAGAGAGTGGAGAATGAGGGGTGGCTGTCATATGAGATAATGGAGAAGTAGGCAAAGTCTGGGTTGTGGAAGACCATATGGGTATTGCTGTATATTCAAGGTCATTGGGAAGCCACTGAAATGTTTTAGGCAGAGAAACACAATTTCATTGATAATTTTAAAAGCTTCCTCTAGCTGCTGTGTCAAGGTTAGATTGAAGTGAAAACTACAAAACATTGCTGAAATTTAAAAGAGATAAATAAGTGCAAAAACATATTGTGTTGATGGAGTGGAAGGATTAATAATTTTAAGATGACAATATTACCCAAAATATCTACAGACTCAATGCAAGTCCTATCAAAATGCCAAATTTTTTGCAGAAATTAAAGTGATACTAAAATTTATGTGATGCAAATTGAAGTGATGCAAAATTCATAGCCAAAACAATGTTGAAAAAGAAGAAAAAAGTTTGAGGACTCACACTTTCTGATTTCAAAAATTACAAAGCTACAGTTGTCAAAACAGTGTGGTACTGGCATACGGACAGGCTCATAGACACATACTCACATACACAAACATACACATACCACATACAGGTTGAGTATCAAAAATTCTAAATGCTCTAAAATCTGAAACTTTTTGAGTGCTGACATCACACTAAAAGACATACTCACTGGAGCATTTTGGATTTTCAGATTAGGGCTGCTCAACTGGTAAGTATAATGTAAATGTCCCAAAATCTGAACAAAATCTGAAACACTTCTGTTCCCAAGTATTTTGGATAAGGAATAAACCTCAGCATATATGACCAAGTACGTCAAAACCATCCAATGGGGGAAAATCATCTTTTCAACAAATGATGCTTGGAAAACTTGATATCCACATGCAAAATAGTGAAGTTTGATCCTTACCTTGCCATATAAAAAAGTTAAGAGAGAACAAAGACTTAAATGTAAGAGGTAAGACTATAAAACTCTTAGAAAAAAAAAATAGAAGAAAAGCTTCATGACGTTGGACTTTGCAATAGTTTTTTGGATATGACACTAAAACTACAGGCAACAAAAGAAAAATAGGTGAATTGGATTTCATCAAAGTGAAAAACTTTCGTGTATCCAATGGCACTATCAAGAGAGTGAAAAGATAACTACAGAATGGAGAAAATACGTGTAAATCATGTATCTGATAAGGTATTAATATTCCAAATATATTAAAAACTCATACAATTCAACAACAACAAAACAAAGCCAATTCAAAAAATGGGCAAAGGACTCGAATAAATATTTCTCAAAAGAAGATATGTAAGTGGCCAATAAGCACAGGAAGAGATGTTCAACATCACTATTCATTAGGAAAATCCAAATAGAAATAAAGTGAGATACCCCTTCATACTCATTAGAAAGCTATTAGATGGCTATTAGAAAACAAAGGAAAACAACAAAACCTGCTAGATAACAGGTGTTGGTGAGAAAGTGGAGACATTGGAGCCCTTGTGCATTACTGTTGGGAATGTAAAATGGTACAACTGTTGTGGAAAACAGGATGGCAATTTCTCAAAAAGTTAAATATAGATTACTATGTGATCCAGCAATTTCATTTCTAGGTATATACCTGAAGAAATAGGAAACAGGGACTCAAAAGATTCTTGTACACCAATGTTTATAGCAGCATTATTCACAATAGCCAAAAGTTGAAAACAACCCAAATGTCCACCAACAGATGACTAGATAAACAAATTGTGGTACATACATGCAGTGGAATAGTATCCAGCCTTAAAAAAGAAAGGAAACTCAGATACATGCCACAACATCTTGAGAACATTATGCTAAGTCAAATAAACTAGACACCAAAGGACAGATATGGTATGATCCCACTTATGTGCAGTACCTAGAACAGGCAAATTCATAGAGATAGAAAGTAGTAGCTGGGGGTATAGCTACTATTTGTTTAATGAGTACTAAGTTTCAGTTTGAGATGATGACAAAGTTCTGGAAATGAGTGGTTGTGATATACAACATTGTGAATGTATTTAATGACATTAAATTGTATGAATAGTAAATTTTTGTTATGTATATTCTACCAAATGGAAAGAAAAATAAGATTGAATTAGAAGAGGAAAAGATTACAAATGGGAGAAGCAGTAAGAAATACCCTTATGCAGGAGCTAAAGGAAGAGATGATGATATTTGCATTAGAGTGAGGACAGTTGAATGAAGAAATAGGTTTCTGTGGGAGGGGGTGGGTGTGATTTGTAGGGATGGAATATCACCCATAGAGGTTGTGTTTTATTTCCCCTTTAAGCTAAAATAAAAGTCCCTCTTACTGTAAGGTATTGTACTTTGGGAAAATTCTGTAACTTTCTTTTGGCCCAGGGAGTTCTCATGACAGTGTAGCTTCATTTCATGGGGCTAACTCTCACACCTACTTTGACTCACCATTTCCTTTGGCGTACATATTATAGAGATTTCTGGGAATTCATCATGTGTGCCTTTTCTTTAAAAATGTGTAAAGAAACGTTTTGATTTTTAATATCAGGAGGCAAGTCACCATGTGATTATTCGGATTACAATGGCTCAAGTACTTATAGACATTTTTCCAATTTAGATAAAAAGTTTATTTGGTGTTAAGTTTCCTTAATTTACTTTATTATAGTCATTTATATATTTAATTTATACTTTTATCCCTTGGACAGCCCTTATAGCCTTGGTTTACCCATCTGGTGCCAGGAAAATCAGTTAGTATCTAGCATTAGTATTAAGGGTCTCTGACTATATGGCCTTATTTGCAAACAAATTCTCCCAAGTTCTCAGCAAACATTTATTTTTGAGAAGGCAAGTTAGCAGGAAAGATAAGGATTTTTACGTAGTATTTGCATTGTCAATTTTCTGTTTAGAAGAGGTAGCATTATTTTGCATCATCAAAGAATGAAAAAACAGCTTCTATTTCTTATCAGCTCATCTCTCAGATTTTTGTAAAGAAAATTACATTTGAAAGCCCACTGCAAAGTTTCCAGCAAATGGTCACAATTTCCTAAAGTGATAGCTTTTCTCTCTATGCCAAGAGAAAAGTCAGAGTGGATGTTGTGGAGGTTCATTTTGGAAAGTGTACTGCTTTCAAAGCTTGTTCATTAAAGCACAGAGAAATACTGTAATGGCTCCTGTGCGCAGATTGGACCCCGCTTTATGAAGCACAACAGCTGTGTTGGTATTACAGCAGGCAGCAATGCAGTGCTTAGGCGTGTGATTAACTGAGCTGAGGATCATGGGCTGTGGAGGCAGCGTCTGCAGGGCCGAGAGGCTGAGCCTACTGGGTACCATAACTAGTGACCAACCTCAGAAAAGAGGGCCAGATGTGTTAGCAGGGACCCCAGTCCACAGATACTGGGTTTCACCATAAAAAATACAATCCCTTTCAAAGTCAGTGAAAAGTAAGATGGGGAGGAGACAAGGTCGTTTGAAAAAGATTTTATAGTCATTTTCTTTGTCACTTTTATAATAAAGCAATCTTCCTAACCTTTCTCGAGTTTATGGGGAAAATATTCTCCTACTCTTGTAAAAATAACAGTAGCAGTGGTAGTGAGCTCCCAATAAATGTTAACTCATGTGCCAAGAATTGTGATAAGGGTCAGTTATGGACTGAACTGTATTCCCTTAAGGTTGATACGTTGAAGCCTTAATGCCGAATGTGACTGTATTTGTAGATGAGACCTTTAAGGAGGTAATTAAGGCTAAATGATGTCCTAAGGATGGGACTCTAATCCAAAGGACTGGTATCCTTAGAAGGAGAGAAATAAATATCGGATGTCTCTGTCGTCTCTGTCTCTGTCTCTCTCTCTCTCTCTCTCTCTCCCTCCCTCCCCCTCCCTCCCTCCCTCCCTCCATGTACAAGGGTAGCTGTTTACAAGCCAGGAAGAGAGGCTTCATCAGACATCAACTCTGATGGCACCTCAATCATGGACTTCTGGCCACTAGAACTTTGAGAAAATAAATTTCTGTTGTTTCAGCCACCCAGTCAGTCTGCGGTATTTTGTTACAGCAGCCCAAGCAAATGAATGCAGGATCCTATAAAACTTGTCTAATCCTCATAGCAAACTTATGAGGCAGGTTTTTTTTTTGTTTTTTTTTGTTGTTTTTTTTTTTAAGATAAGGACCTTCAGATGCTCAGATAGGCTAGGTAAATTAATAAGCATGCAGTTCTTGCACCTGGATGGCTCCTACTCTGAAACATTGTGAATCACAGTTTTCACCAAAGAAAATAGAGACCTTATTTTCTTGCATTAAATGGCTTGTTTTCTGTCATGATGCTGGAGGTGGTGTTTTACCTTCCCTCTCTCACCATCACCCAGCAAGGCAGCCAGTACAGGGTAGGTCCTCATAACTTTATTGAATGCAAGATGTAGAGGCACTAAAAATAAAAGTGAATGTGGAGTGATTTAGATCATCAACCATTTAATTGTATTGATTTAATAATTATTTCCTTCTGCTTAAATCATTGCCAAGATAGAAAATTTGGCTGCATATCATGAGTAATTGACTAAATATATCCTCAGGAGAAAATATGATTCTTCAGCAATTCATTATGAAGAAAAAGGTACAAATAAAAGATAAAAGAGACAACCACTGCTGATGGTTTTAGGTAGGAAAGTGGCCATTAGTATATTCCTCAACTAAGAAAAGGAAACTCATCTATGTCGACAACATGTTCTGGGGTAGTTGTATTCACTTAACTCTAGAATTCAGCTGTAGAATTCAGAAATCCTTCGGTCCAAGTTATTAGGTATTTTTTACTTCCTGGTGACTGACAGTAGTGGATCCTAAAGCCTTGGAAATAAACCATTCTCCAGGATACATTGTTCTATTTCTTCCTTAAAGAGGGTTGGCCATTCCCTAAGGAGGAGGTAAAAGAGTCTATTCTATGCCTTTCTTCTCAGTTCTGGAAGAAATTTTTCTCAAGTCAAAAGCATATGTACATGCCTCTTGTTTTCCTTTGAAATACTGTCACCGAAGGAGATAAATTATTCTCATCTCCTTAGACGTTGGTAAAAGATGAGAGAGCTACACACATTAAAAAGAATTTTCAGTCTTTAAGACCAAATTCACTGAGGTCTCCCTGTTTCCCAGCACATGGTCCTATATTATCACATGATATATGTGTTAGTCTGTTTTCACACTGCTATAAGGAACAGCCTGAGACTGGGTAATTTATAAAGGAATGAATTTTAATTAATTCATAGTTCAGCATGGTTGGGGAGGCCTCAGGAAACTTACAACCATGGTAGAAGGCAAAGGGAATTAAGGCATCTTCTTTACAAGGTTGCAGGAAGGAGAAGTGGCAAGTGAAGGGGGAAATGCCCTTTATTAAACCATTAGCTCTCCTGAGAACTCACTCACTATTACTAGAACAACATGGGGGAAACTGCCTCCATGATTTAGTTACCTCCACCAGCCTCTCCCTTGACACATGGGAATTGTGGGGATTGTGGGAAGTACAATTCAAGATGAGATTTGGGTGGGGACACAAAGCCTAACCGTATCAATAGGTGACCAGTAAGAGTTGTTTAATGAAAAGAGGCACTCTAAAGTAATTTTTGGTCCTAGGTAAACTGGACTTCAGAAATCCTGATATATGACCACGCAAAATGAACAAACACGAATCATCTTTTAGATGTTGACTCTATCGCACTTAGGTGTTTTGTTTAAGTAACAACAAGCCTCTCCCACCTCCAGAGAGAGGCTATAGCCAGGAGACCTAAAGCATGAATGTTAAGCTATAAATTATCAAAGGAAGCATATTTACATATCTAATAAAACAACAGGAACCACCTTATAGAATCATAATGCAACATGAGTTTTTCAGAATTCATTTTTTAAGGGGAGAGAAATCTCTTTCCTCACTTTTTCTTCCAATTAAAAGTCTCTTAATCCTTTCTCTGCCTTCAAAGTAATGCTTGAGTTTTAGAATCCCAGAGCGAGCTGGAAGGGAGCCAAAAGGAAGCAGAATCCAACCCACTCATTTTACAAATGAGGAAAACCTGATTAACTGATTTGTCCAAGGTCACATATCTATTAATGGCATGCTCAGGACTGAAACCCAGATATTCTGATTCCCAGGAAATCCGAACTTTGCTTCCAGGCTTGTAAAGGTGTAATTGCCTCCATCATCTGAAATTGAGATATGCCTAATACTGCTGGGTTCAGTCTCTTCTCAAGATGGATGTGTAATTGTCTAAGCATCATCTGTTATTCTGCCAAAGATTCAACACAGTACTCAGTGGGAAACCAGTTCTAATTTAAGTCAGAGCAAACGATGTGTTTTTTTTTCTCTTGCAGGGCATGACAAGTTTCAGAAATAATGAGCTCTACTCACTGGACTTCTCTTTGGCTTTGTATTGTACATTAGAATCATTCTTACTAATATCCTCTAAGGAGCTGAAGGGTTACATGAGCTTTTAGAGCCATGTTTTATTATTAGGATCATTCATACCAGTTATGCATAAGCATATACCAATAGAAATAGGAATTTGTAGTATTGTGTGGTGTGTTTAACTGAACGTGGAGTGGTGTACTGAGGTTTGAGATCATATTAAAGTGCAAGCCTTATTTTTATGTAAACCCTTTCTGGCCTGAGGCACTTTTCTCATTACAACCCTCCCTGCTGCAATCTCCTACCATAAAGGGAGTTTTTGCTCATTGAAAAATATCAAAAAGTAGATAGTTTATTAATGTCAACCATTTGAGCAGCTGGTTGAAATGGATGGGTGGAAACAAACGCTCCTGCAAATTCTTCCATCCATGGAAAGAGGCACAGCCCCTTGTGTTATCTAAGCCCCACACTGCCACACAAATGCCACTACCCCTTCCTGAACACTTTCCCTTCTGTGTCTGCTGTGTGACCTCAATAATGTTTCTTGACCCTTTGGAGGTACAGACTCTATCCATCATCTGACAAAAGCCCGTGGACCTGTTCCAGCCCCAATGCACATGGTTAAACACACCCAATTTTGCTAATAATTTAAGGGGGTCTTAATGACCCTCTGGAGTCTTTCAGGGGCCTTAAGAAATCCTTGTTAATGTTCTTTCTTTTTCTTATAATCCAGAACTTGTAAGCTGTGGGGAAATCATCTTTGATTTCTTATTTGAGGTTTAAACCATGAACATTGGTCGACATCTGACAACAACCCACAGCAAATGAAATAAATTTCTCATCAAACATTGTTTCGATGCACACTGCATATATCATGCTAGACAACCTGGGAGTACCTGAGATACTCTTACACCGAAGCATACAGTTTAGGTGGGGACAAAGTGAAGCTAATATAAAATGGTTGATTGAGCACAAAATGGTAAGCCCCACTCTGCAGGGTTCAGAAGACAAAGTAATCTCACAGGGTCAGAGCAATCAAGAAAAGTCTTTGCAAAGGTGGGAGGAAATAATCACTTGAAGCATAAATAAGCCTTAGGTAGGTGGAGGAAAGATATAAGGATAGGGAAGATACTTTGAGCAAGGGAGCAAAGTATGAGTATCACTGTTGGAGAGAATATCAAATCAAATGAGCAAGAATGTGGACAGCAATGAGTGTATGTAGCAAATTTTTCCTATTAGTAAGCATCACCTGACAGATGTTCAAAGATGGTGGTTCTATAGGTCTGCTTCTGCTGAGGAGGCATGGTTATATAACCGATCACCCTAAACTGGCCCCAGTTTGGAATTACAAATATGTACGTCATTTATCGAATGATGTTATGTATTCTTAGCTAAAAGATATGTTCATTTGAACATTTTTTCTTCAATTCTTTTCAATTCAATGTTATTTTCTGGGTATCAGGAGACCCAATATGTCTTTAACTTCTGCTTCAATCTATCTTTTCTCTTTTTTATACTTTTTTCCCCGTGATTAATAACAAAAGTTAGACTTCTGTGTATTCGTATGTATACACCAGTGCATTTGCATATCCATATACATGCATGTATGTGCAAAAATATTTGTTGATAAATAGGACAGGAGTCTGAAGGTCTTATTCTAAAGTGTTGGCAGCAGTTGCTTCTGAGGACTAGGATTGGAAGATGCTAATGGCAAGAAGGGAACATTATTTTTAGTCAACATACTTCTGTATGGTTTGAACTCTGTATAATAAGCAGATATTGCTTTTGTAATTAAAGGAAAAGAGAAAAAAGGGAAGAAATTAAATTTGACATCCCTACAAGTAATATGAAGCCCTTTCATCCTTTTGAAGGTATGAAGAACAACAATTGTGCCTCCAGGGAAATTTATTTTATCAGAACTTGTATGATTTTTTAATCATGTAATGAAGCAGCTTGCCTTGGATTTCCAGTAGGCTTGCTTTGTTTACATATGCAGATCTCTGCTAATAATTGACGGTAACTGGAAGTGCTGTTTCTTAGACTGGCATCTCATCCCCACACTGGCATGCACATGTGCTGGTTGACATTAGTTTCCCTCACTTTCTGTACAACTAGGACTTCTGTAGCTGATGTGCTGGTTTTTCCGTAATCTCCCTTCTCCTCCATCCTGTGACCAGGATTGTGTTTCCCATACAGTGCCCTAGGGCCACAGGATGAGCTAAGAAACCATGACTTTTTTGTACCCGGCTGAGCTCCAACCTTCCTTGGGGTTCTAATTATTCTAACGTCGTACCCCAGAATTTGATGCAAGTTCTTGATTTGATATGAGCTAACTAGCTGCACAGAAACTGCCACTTGGTGTGTAGGGGGTGTAGCGTACCTACACACATAGACGGGAAGTACAAAAGGCTAATTCAAGTATTATGATCACAGACATTCATGGGAATAAAATATTTTATGTTATTAACATCATGGTGCAAAACAGCAAGTAAATTGCAAGTCCAGTCTTTTGATGACGGTGTAAAATCACACATTTAATGAGAAACAAAAATGGTGAGAGTACACACAAACACTTCAAGATGCTGCATGAAGAAGGCAGGGATAGAGATGGTTTTTATTTTATCAATATTAAATTGCTTCATGAAGTAAAGAAAAATATGGTGAGAAGAGACTAACCATATGCGTTTCAGGGTGAGTGTGATAACTGATAATAATGTAGTGGCAGCATGCAGAGTAGTCAAGAGCATGGCCTCTGGAGTTTCAAATTCTGACTCCTTCCCTTATGAGCTTTGTGACCTTGGTCAAGTTACTTAACCTCTCTGTGCTTGAGTTTCCATGTAGATAAAATGAAGTTAGTAGCAGTAACTATATTATGGAACTAAGAGGTTTAAAAGAGGTCATGTATACACAGCATTTAGAGTGGTGCCTGATATATAGAGGGTATAATAAGAAATAAAAGTTAGTAAATATAGGTAGCATATATTGAGTTCTTCCTGCTTGCCAGACACTGACCTGAGTGGGTTACAGGGTTCTAGTTTATTCTCTGGAGCCCTGTAAGAAGTCTTATGATTGTTCCCGTTTCATAGATGAGGACAATAAAACTCAGAGAGATGGAGCAGTGTGCCCAGGATGGCTGTAGAAGCAGGATTTAAATATGAGCAATCAGGTCCCAGAGCCCCTGCTTCCAACTATTATCATCTACCGAGACAGGAAGGAAGGAGTTGAGGAAATTTCACCCAAGCCAAGCATCTAGTCCATGGTTTAAATTATTGTAGGTTTTATGGGTGTGGGGTTTCCTTTTGGGGGTGATGAAAAAGTTCTGTAACTAGGTAGTGGTGATGGTTGCACAAAAATGTGAATGTACTTCATGCCACTGAATGGCACATTTGAAAATGCTTAAAATGGTAAATGTTATGTTATGTGTATTTTACCACAGTAATAAGAAATAATTGTAAGTACAAGGACAAGTAGTCCCTTCCCAAAGAATTATATGTTGACTGTTAATCTTTGTAGCCAACTGCTGCAACCAGGGTGCACCAAGATAACAGCCCATTTTCTTCTTGACGTTGGCCTCTCTTTCTGAAACAGGTATTCTCCTAGATTTATTTTTTAAAGTATCCAATGCAGATCCTGGGTGTGATTAAATCTCCCTGTGGCAAACACAGAGCAACTGTCCCTCCTATAAGTTGAGAGGTGTAATTGTATTTTCTTCCCGGATGATAAACTTCCTTGCATATTTTAAATGCTAAAGTGAGGAGCAGAAAAGCAGAGAGTCCAGGAGGGATTTTGTTTTTAGTGAGTAATAATTTTACAAGATTAAGGCAATGTGAAGTGAAATGAAATTAAGGAGAAATACTAAGAAATATAAACTAAGCATAATTTGTCTTTAATTTTGGTGTTTATTGAAGTCTTTGAAGAGCGCATTGACTAGTTGCTGGATTAACAAATTTTGTTTTTGGAATTATTCGTAGTTGCTTAGCACTGAAGCTTTAGAAAAATTTAATCCTTTAGTGAAAAGGGGCTAACAATCGACAGTATGCTGTGGTCATGTTGATTTAATTATCAAACAGAACAAAATTGTTGATTACTTAATGATTAATAGTAACAAAGAGATATTAAGGGCAGTCTTGGCTGGGGATTGAGTCTTTAAAAGCTCGTTTGTTTTGTTTTGTTTGAAAATGTTTAACCCAAAAACTTGGATAACAGGCTGAATCATGGAATCATGGAATTTACATCTACAATATGAATCACAACATTTTAAGAGAGAGATGTGTGCCCTGTTTCTTTATTTTGGCCATGAAGATGAGGGTGAAGGTATCTGTTTTATTTAAAGAACTGGTGTTATTCACAAATACCTTGAGATAGTTAAAAGAAATTCCATTTCATGATAAACTAATGCAAATGGAATGTTTAAAAATAGATTTGGATATATTATCTAAAGTGTGTGGTACTTTTACTGACAAAAGAAAAGGTCAAAACAATGAAACAGACTCTTGTTGCTACACATGCCTGGTCATGGAGCCTCAGGCTTCAGCTAACCCTCCAGGAAAGTGGATACCAGATCCTCACTCTCACCCTCCAAACTGTATTTTATTCCTTAATAACTTAACAGAGGAAACTAATGGGATGATGTTATCAGCTACTCCATTCTCTGGTTTCAAGGAACTGTTTGGTACCTGGGAGACATGATACTGCTTTTGTTGAATTTTAAAATGGTGGGTTGGCTGGAGATGTCAGGTCCCAAGGATTTCAGGTCATACCATCCTACCCTATAAAGATCAAGCCAAGAATATATAGATGTTCTCATTTTAAAGACTTGGTGTTATTTATAGCATTTCTTCTTATAACATTTGATTAGGTCAATTTGCTAATTTTAGAAATGGGGAATAGTGAAGCTAAGCATTTAACTTTTTTTCAGTGAAGGATTTGAAATAAGGTTCTTTAGAGACTTTTGTTGTTGCTTTTGTTATATTTAGCTTAGTAGACTTAGAAACATGAAAACCTTAATTTTGTATAATAAAGTTGATTTGTATCCTAAAAAAAGAAGTACCCTGGCACTGCCTTCATAAATTAAGCATCATAGTTTTTATAGCTTGTGAAAGAGAAAATGAGCTTGTGCAAAGGTGAGCTCCAGAGGACAATTTCTTGAGAATATCATGTGGCTTCCTCCCTCATGTCTCCTTTTCCTGAAGCTGCCATTAATTTCATAAGTGAAGAAGTGAAGTACATAGGGAAGTATGGAAAGGTTACAGGCCAGATTTTAATAATTGTTTTATTATATTTTCTAGTTTTGTGAGAGGAAGACATGATGGCAGGTCTAGCTGTCAAGCTGCTTGGATGGCCTTGGAGTCAGGTAAATGCCAAATGACCTTTCTTTACATTTACTGATGGGGAAACTGAGAATCCAGTCCTCCCAAGACTGGAGGATGTAGGCTGTAAAACAGTCCAGCTGAAGAGTGGTTACTATTTTATTTATTGTGAAAAACATACATGAGAAGCTGAGTTATTATTTTTACTTACTTGGTTTCATTCATTCCCAAGATGATAAATGTTCTGTTTATGGAATAAGATTTTATGCTTTTGGAGGTTTGAATCATTGACTCCTAAGTGTTGCAAGATGCATTGCCTCTCAAAATTTCCCTGATATTAGTGTGATTTGGATCTTAATCTGACAGTCTGGAATGGTTACATTGGTCGAAGATGCCAATCTCTGCTGGAAACATGGTACCATAAGCCCTAGTCTGTCATTAGTCATGCCTTGATGATATTAGGACTTGTGATTTCTATTCAAATAGTGTAAGATACATAGGCAGCAGAATTTTACTGCATCTTTTATCATAGATATTGGGAATGGTGTTCATTAAAGGTAAAATATGTCACATCTTTAGTCCTGCCTTCTGTCTTGGTAAAGGATATTTGGTTTTTAAAGATTCTCTCCTGATCCCAAAGCATTTTGTCAGTGTTAATATGGAATAAAAGGTTTCTTATTAAGGTAGGATGGAGAGACCTATTAGGCAAAAATCTTGTAAGATGAAAAAGAAGAGAGGGATATGTCTTATCCAAGAAAGCAGAACTATGTCCTAGGGCTAAACCTGGGCTGTCTTTTCCTGCTCTGGGTTTTTGTTACCATTACTTTGGCATAAGAGGTTAGGGCCTGGGTATAAAGCGATTGTTTAGTTTTCTTCAAGGGACTGCAATGGACGTTCAAAAACTTATTTCTCTGTGAGCTCTAGGTCCTTTATTTGTGGTCTCAGTGCCTTGGATATTTCTGTTGCTCTTTTGAGAAAAAGTTTTTCTATTAAAAAAGTGGTTAGTTGCCAAGGCTGGTGGATTGCTTGAGTCCAGGAGTTGTAGACCAGCCTGGGCAACATAGTGAGACTCTATCTCTTTTAGATTTTTTTAAATTAAAAAAAGTAATTAGTTTGACTCTCCCCTCAAACAATCACACAAGTGCTTTTCTTTGAGTTAGCCACTCCACCTCAGTATACAACACAAGTGTTTTATGCAACTTTCCCATTTTGTCACACAGGATATTAAGAAGGCTTGTACTTAAGGGCCAAGATTTAATCAAGTGATTTTTTAAAACACACTCACCAAAGATTTTTTTAAAATGTAACCTCCTCCTCCTCCTTCCCCTCCCTCCCTCCCTCCCTCCCTCCCTCCCTCTGTGTGTGTGTGTGTGTGTGTGTGCACGTGTGTGTGTGTGTGTGTGATTGCCTTGATCTGTGCTAAGCCATTTAGCAGTTTTACCATGATTACTTTAGCATCAAAATGTAAAGGCCAACAAAGTGAAAAAGGCAATAATTTCTTAGGTTTATCATGACAATTGTTTTTTGACTTATTGGTTTCCCTAAAGGCCTCCTTGGACTCTACTTCCCAACCTCTGGCAGGGTTCTGTGGGCCATAATTCGAGAATGGGTCTAGAATAATGCTTTGTTCTGGACAGCAATCCTTCATGAAGTTTTTTTTTTAACCTTCTTATTTTCTTTTATTATTAACTCTAAACTTAACTAAGTCATCAGCTGTCCTTTGACTCCCATCCTAAGTGCTTTATCTGCATGAAATATTTATCTCTAAGTGAATTGCTCAGCAGACATTCACACTGAAAAATAAGTTAAGACAGAGATTTTCTGAGGAGAAAAATATTAAAGCGCATTGATCCAAACCTTTAGTGACTGGGTAATACTACTGTGATCTAATCACAGTGGCAGAATGTTCCTCAAACGTCGAAACGAACAGCTCCATAATTTTCACACTGTGCTGTGTGACAGATGGCAAAAACCATTTTGATTTTCCCCAATATCCAAGGAGCAGCAAGCAGAGCCTGTGCCTCCCACTTTGCTCTCTGTCTTTGTCATCTCCAGTCGGCCTGACAGCACACCGATTTCTACCTCTGTGATCTGTTCTTTGGATGACGATATTTTCAATAACTATTTAGTATAAAAATAAAATGTGAGGGTCCCATCAAATAAACTAATTAAGGCTTAGAAAGTGTCAAACTCCAAAAGCCGGGAGGAACAGATGAGGCACTGAGTATGAGAGTCACACAGACCTGACAACTAATGTGTTACCACGGCAACAGGAGAATCAATATCCCTCAACTGGGCAGATAGTTGACAGTAATTTTTGCTGGGTCAGAGAATTGGGGAGAGTGAAAACCTCCTTCTGCTATGCAAATAATTGCTATCTCCTTTATAAGCAAAAAGCTTCTGAAGGATTTTGTGATCAAATTCTGACCAAGTCTAGTAGAAGCTGATACTCACGGTCCTGGAGAAGGCCCTCACCATGTAAAAGGGAAGCAATTGAGTCTGTATTTTCTGTGATGCATTCACTACCTTTTTTAAAATCAGGGGTAAAGACATGTGTTTCTTATGTTGTAAAATGAGTGCCTAATGTATGACTGAAAGCTGGCTCATTTGATCTTTTTCTCCTGTTTATGATTAACCGTAAGAATTTCTGTGTATGATCTTCAGGACTGTCTTGTCACATAGGAAATTAGTATCATCCTGGATGTGGTGGTCACATATACTTTGAACATGCAGTCATGGCTACCAGAGAGATTGGGTTAAACCTTGCTTTGTGCTTTGTGGAAGTTTGTCGTTTAGCAGAAAGGAAACCTCGATGTTAGCATCTGTTTTTCCAAACATGCTTCTCAGGCACAGCATATTCCAGAGCCGGTGGATATATAATAATACCTGATTCAGCAGAACAAGAGATTTAATATCAAACTCATTTAAAGAAAAATGATGCTTTCTGCAGTGCATAAAAGAATGGATGATAAATTTCAAAATAAAGAATAAAAATATTGTTATTCTCTATCAGGACTCCTTACTCTGAGAGTCCATATGTCCCTTTCTCCCTTCTTCCTTCTCTCTCTTTTCCTTTCTTTTGCTCTTCCTTCCTCTCTCTGTCTCTCTCCCTCCCTCTCCTTTCTTTTCTTTCCTTCCTTTTATTTCTTTCCGTCTTTCTTTCTTCCAACATAAACTTAATGAAACTGTTTTGAAACACTGACTAAAAGTCAATATACAACTTAGTTGAATAAAGTTCCATAATAGCTTTTTTGGTAATGGTTCTTGATGGTCCTCTCTTACTAAGTGCCATGATATGATATATTGAAATTAAAATATGGGCATGCAATTTTAACACAAGGGCATTAACAGAAATGTCATTCCTAACAAATGAGGCATTGGGAAATCTGCCCTATAACCAGAGAACCATGCTTATTTTTGCCTTTTGCTATAACTTATAAAAACAAACCTCATGATGTAAATGCCTGTGGGTTAGATTTCCAGTTGAGAGGTAGGCGACAGGCTTCAGTGGGGGAATGGGGAGAGGCAGTTTTTGTTTGTTTGTTTCAGACAAAGGATTCCTGGCCTGGGGCGGTCCAGCTGCAGCTGCTGTCAATATTGAGGCAATCAGACTATTTTTCTAACTAGATCAAAACAGAAAATTCTGCCTGCGATTCATTATATCAGAATGGAGGAGGAGGGAGAGGGTAAAGGGAGGAAGGAAGGGAGAGAGAGGAAGGAGGGACGAAGAAAGGAAAAGCATGATTGTTAATTCTTCTGAAAATTACTTGCAGGGTTGCCACTTTCAAATTAGAATAAACTCTATCTGGGTCTGTTTGCAAGATAGGAGCCTAAAGGAATGCGAAAATAGTGCAATGAGTCTCTGCTGTAGAAGTGAGAGGAGGTGGTGGGATCTGGGTTTTTTGAGAGAGAGAACTGCAAACCTCAAGTGTGACTGAATTCAAATCAGGCTTACAAGGCGTGCTTGGTTTCTTATTTGCTGATTACGTCGTGTTCTGTTTTTTCCTCCCTTGGTATTTTCATGATGGTATTGTTTTGAGAACAAGACTTTGGGGTCAACTAGTTGGCTGTTCCTGTTGGTATCTGGGTAAAAGTAATCCTGGCCAGCGTTGGTTTTTTGTTGTTGTTGTTTCTTTCTTTCTTTCTTTCTTTCTTTCTTTCTTTCTTTCTTTCTTTCTTTCTTTCTTTCTTTCTTTCTTTCTTTCTTTCTTTTCTTTCTTTCTTCCTTTTTTTTTTTTTCTCCTGTACTCTCATTCTAGCCCCCTTTGGTGCTTGGACAGGTTAGGATCTGAGCCTTCCCTGGGCCTGTGGCTCTCCCAGTCTATTGATACTGACTCATCGCTTGGGCTCCTCTATCTGGGTAACTTGAGTATATTGGGGGAGGGTGGTGGGGGTGAAGTCCTTTTTTTCTACAACCTGCCTTTCCCCACATGTTCACTTTTACCTTTTCAGTGGAGAACATCGGCACAATAGATGGGGAAAAAATAAGAAAAATAAATAAACCTGAGTTACTGAATAGAATGGCTCTTGGTATTTACTCGTGTTCAGGAAATATTTGCCGAGTGCCTTCTCCACGGCTGTGCCAGGCCCCTGGAGATGAACATATCGAGCTGGCAGGCACAGCCTGTACCCTCAAAGGTCATAGCCGTTGAATCCTTGAGAAGACACTGATCCTGGCATTTTGATATTTTGCTTAAATGTACACTTGGGATGTACCTTAAGTTATTGCTTATTTTATGGGATGTAGCTTAAGTTATTGCTTATTTTATTCTTTTTTAAGATGTTTGAGTGTTGTGTGTATGCAACAATCATGTAGAAAAATGTTAACTTATTGCATTGGAAATATGGCCTAAATTATCTGGTTTTATAACATATCCAATATGTTACATATACTACCCAGGAGAAGTATTATTAAGGTTAAGAATAGTAATTTCTAGGTTGTATGGGCATGGTCAAGTGGTCAGGTAGCTCACAAAATTACCAAACTCGGGCTCAGGGTAGCTCCTCCTCTTTGAGTTAGATTAGCATTTTGGGAATCATTGTGTATCTTTCTCAGGGTTAAGAGGATTGTCCTAAATCCGCATTCTCCAATATAGCAGCTAATGGCTACATGTGGTTGTTTAAATTTTAATTTAAATGAATGAAAATGTAATTGAATTTAAAATGTAGTTCTTCATTTGTACTAGCCAGATTTCAAGTGTTCAGGAGCCACCTATGGATAGTGACTACCATATTGAGCAGCATATAATATGGGACATTTCCATCATTCCAGAAAGTTCTATCAGACAGTGCTGTTCTAGGATACCTTCATTTTTTCAGCCAACCTTTCCTGGGCCTCTGCTATGTGCTAGGTATTGTCCTGGTGAAACTAAGACATAGTCCCTGCCTCTGTGGGTATTTGGCCCGGTGTAGAAGCAGATATTTATAGATAAGACAAGCAGAGGATGTGGTATCATCCATGCAGGACAACAGCGGGTTGCTGAGATATGCTGTAGGACAGATAAGCTGCTTAGATTGGGTGGGGAGGAAGGGCTCTTCTGAGGAGCTGACTTTGAGCTAAACTCTGAGGCATGAGGAGGAGCCAGGCCTGTGAAAGCCACAAAAATATCGTTTGGGGCACAGGGAACAGCAGAGGCAAAGCCATTGAAGTGGGAAAGAGCTGAGCTTTTTCATAGCCCCTCCTCAGGCACAGAACTCTGAGGACTGTGGAGGAGTGGTGGCAACTGAGAGACTGGCATTCCTTCACCCCAGTCACTGCCACACCACCCTGCCCAGGATGCTCTGCTTTCTTTGCAATTAGACTCTCTTCCAACTCGTGTTATAACATTTTCTCAGCTGTGACACTAGGCCTGTCCCCTGGCCTCAGAATGAAGCTAAGAGAAGCTGAAAAGAATACATTTAGCGTCTATGAAGGGTACTTATGTTTCAGGGACCTGGTACACTGTATCTGATTGTGGTTAACAGTGGGCTGTGGAGGCTTCTCGTGCTCATAATTGTGATTGTCTTTCTTTGCAACACTTCTTCCCATTCCAGGCCTCACTGAAGCCTCTCTAGGAAGCTGGGTGTCCATTCCAGAGCCATTTCCTGGTCTCTCAGCAGAGCTTTAAGAGCTCTGCTTGGCTGAATTCATCTCCCAGATTCAAGGCACTGAGGCCTTTGACTCTGGAAAGTGTTCACACCTCCTACAGGCTGTCCTCCCAGAATTCTCAGAAGCCTGCTCTGGAGAGCTCCTTCCCCTCTGGCAGGTGCAGCAGGCCATAGCTCACATTGGCACTGAACAATGGCCTTTGTGTAGATCTCCCTGTGATCTCCAGAAACCCTGATCCAGCTCTTAGGGAAGGGGAAGCAACAAGACTTAGCAAAATCCCTGCTGCATCCATCTCATACAGATAATTAATAACAGCAATCCTTGGAAAATGAGGCTTAAGCAATGAAATCCTTTTCTCTTTTTCAATGAGAGCGGTCTAATAACTGGGGCTTTGACTGTTGTTTCCTGAGGAAACCGTGCAGTGATGAAATTAATGATGTATTAAAACAGGTACATAAAAATGTCACAGTGTTGAAGACAGAGCAAACAGGAAGGTACTTCAGAAAAAGGTCCCCAGTTATCAGAAAAGTTATCTGAAAATGAAACACTAACCAAGCAAGAAAATACTCCCTGAGCATCCCGTGAAGATGAGTCTTTCTCACTGTTCTTTTCTGCATCCCACGTGCATAATGTAAATCTAACTAAAAAGCATGCAAAAGCAAAGAGTGTTTTTGCAAGTGATTGATGGATTGTATTGCCTTCTATGTTATATGTCTCTAACAGACAAATGTATCATTTGTATTTAGGTTTACTCTCTTGTTTATATCAAATATAATTTTCAATGGGAGAGAGTTAATCAAATAACCTTCTGAAATGGTGTTTTGTGATATGGAAAACAAATGTTATTTAAGGAGATGATTCTTTTCTTCTTAAAAGGATATCACATAACCACAAAATAATTCTCTCTGTGATTACACTGACAGCACTGTGGGTGACATTGCTGGGGGCTGGGGGTGGTCAATCTGATGAAACTCCAGTCATTTCACAAGCTGATGTTGGCTGACAGGTCTTCAGGCCAGAATTTACAATTCTACAAATATTTAAGGTGCTTCATTAGTAGAATACAGGGAAGACAGGTATAGAAAGGAACTATGTCATGGATGGGTTTTATTTTTCTAGTAGCTTTGTTGAAATGTGGAGAAGATGATAGATGGGAAAGCTAGTCAAGACAATTTGTTTGGATTTGGCATTCTTTATAAGGGAAGACTGTGTGTGTGTGTGTGTGTGTGTGTGTGTGCATGCACACACAGGCATGCGTGTGTAACAAAGGTGTTCATTACTTGAGAACCAAAGGGTTCAGCTACCTATAAACAGAGGCAACATGTCCCCAAGGGAAGTGAACTCTGCAGCCAGTTGGTTCGTCTATGTGAAACCAATTATTTTTCCCTTCAATTTGATTGATTTTTTTATTGGACTGGATTGTATCATATTTGCCTTAATAAACAGGAGCTCATAACAATGCATTTAAAATCTGTAGTGATATACTCACCACCTATATTTACTTTGTAAATATGTGAAAAAAATCTACAGTTATGAGATTAATGACACAGAAGAGTCTAGCAGGAGTATGTTTTTATTTTGAATAGAGCAGGAAATTTTATTTAAAGGTAATGTAAAATTAAAATGTATTGAGTGGAATCGTCTTCACCATGAGTCAACTTATTTATTGGGATGAAGATGGCTTCTCTGTGTTTCTTGAGGACATGTTTTCCTTTTGTGTATACTTGAGTATTTAGAGGAGACTTGGCCCATAAGGAAATATGAAAACATAATATTACCTTTGTTCAGTAGTTAGTAAAACCATCCGGGATTATTAATAATTTTATAGGTCCTATGACTTTTCATAAAAACATGAATGCTTCCTCTTTCACCACTCCAATCCCCAACCCTGGCAACTTTTTAGTTTTTAGTAATTGTCCTATAGAAATTTGAGAAGAAGTTGTATCTTCCTCTAAATATGTCCTTATGTGGAAATTGGGACAAGCCATTGTAGATGTAATTGATTAAATTGAGGCCATGCTTTAGTAGGGTGTGCCCAAATTCAATATGACTGGGTTCTTATGAGAAGAGAAAATTTAGACACACACACACATAAACACACACAGAGAATGCTATGTGAAGATGAAGGCAGAGATGAGGGTAAAGCTTCTACAAGCCACCAGCTTCTCTTCACAGTCCTCAGAGGAAACCAACCCTGCCAACATCTTGATCTCAGACTTGTAGCCTCCAGAACTGTGGGACAACAAATTTCTGCTTAAGCACCCAGTTTGTGGCACTTTGTTACCGCAGCCCTAGTAAACTAATACAGACTGCAAATGGAAAAACACAAAACAATTAAATCACCACTGCTTTTCACCATTTTCACTTGGTGGTGGTGTGTTACCAGGGTAGAAAATGAATACTTACCAACTAACCAGGTGCTGGCAGTATTTGACTATTTACCAATGTCACCATAGAAAGGCAGAGTTATTAAAGGATCTGCAATCACTGGGTAATTCAGCTCTTGACATTGATGGATGGAACTTGGCTTTTCCTCTCTGCCATAGCTGCTGACTGGATAAATGTTTTATTCATGAGGCCCAGGACAGGAAGGGATGCCAAAGGCTTAAGAATATTTTAAGAAACTCTGAGATGTCAGACAAGTCATCAGGAGGTGTTAAGCAAGGAAGCTGAGGTGCTACATCGACCCAGCTGGACAATAAACCCCATGCAAAGGCTGGAAGCAGCAACAGTGGTCTTGGGAAGCCATTCAATTTTCTTTTCTTTTTTGTATCTTATATGGATTCGCACCCATGGTCACAATTCAGAGAAGCAGGAGTTCTGACTGTGGTTTGAGGGTGTCCTTGTCTCACATAGAATCCAAGGTAATACCATTTAGAGTAGACTCATAGTCATTGAAGTCCTACCTACTCATGGATTGAGATTCCGAATCATTCTTCTGCATTGGCAACTGCCTCCGCTGAGGGTGTCATTGAAATGACAGCATGTAGCTTGAGCATCAAGTCTCATGAGGCTCATTAGCTACACATTTTCATTACCTATTAACAAAATGATATTTCAAATTATTTAGCACAACAGATTATTTTATGCTGTGAGGAGAAAGGGCAATTTAAGTGTAGACCGGTTGCCAATGTGACTCGTTTTTTCTGTATAAAAAGAAAAGTATTTTATACAATAGTGGGTTCTAATAAAAAATGTTTGCACTGACTCAGGCATCCGTAATGATGGGAATTCTAGGTATAGGTAATGAATTATAATGAAAATGCTCCTTGATTCTCTATTATGGCCAGAGGATTTTAATTTTTTATAATAATAAACTTTTAAAATTACTTGGAATCACATAAAAGAACCAAAAATAAAGTGTGGCTGGTACATAGTTGTCAATCTAAACCTCTTTTAATTGCCAAGGAAACATGCACCTAAGTCCAAATGAGTCTTTCCAAATTATATAACTCTGCTAAAAACATACTGGGTTAAAATGAAGAATTAAAATATAAAACTCATCAGTGGATGAAAAACAGGCAAGTACTAGGTATCCATTGTCCTTTATGTTTGGGGAGTTTCAGTGTTAAAGACCCTAAGAACTTTCCCTTGGGTCCTGGTTAGAAAAAAATAATCAAAGAGCAGAAACTGACAGTGACACCACTCTGAGACATGCTATCAAGATACATCAAAATATGCCACTATATTCTCCCCTTTCTATCTGTCAAAGCCATTGATTATTTTCAATAAAGAAAACCAGTGACAGTTGCTGGAATTGTAGAATTCAGCAAACGAACTAGGTGATGCCTGTCACTCTCCTCTAAATAGACAAGAAGAAATTTACTCACTGCATCAGAAGCATATTTTTGGAAGCATATTTAAATATGGCTTCATAAAGGGTAAAAATAAAAGACAGAAAAATGAAATCTTTATTATACCCCAAGTCCCTTTTCCTAAGCTCATTGGAGTTTTCCATGAAACTGCTTATTTTATGTCCCCCTCTCAAGATAAAATAAAACAAAAATAAATTTAAAAAGCAATTTTAAGCCCTTTCCTACTTCTTGGTTAGGTAAGACATACTTGGGTACCTTAGAGTTTTCATATAATCAGTGACTGCCATGGCCTCCTGTAAGTGCAGTTGCTGGTCACTTTGGTCACAGGAGTCATTAAAGGTTTGGGTTGTATGAGAACAATTGAGTAACTTGCTTATAATGTGATCATAAATTCGTTGGTCATCTGGTATCCCAAGAGGAACAGAATCCAAAAGAGGTTTATGGAAGCCATAAAGAATGATTAACACAGAGAAACTCTTGCCAGTAGCAGTAGTACCCCACTTTCAGGGGCAACAGGGGTATGGCCCAGAATCTGGGAGTAGTGACATGACACAGGTGTGCAGGCTGAAGGTTAAGGGCAGTGTGATACAAGTCCACATCCCACCCACCTGGCTTCCATTTGTTCAAAGCCTAGCTTTACAGGCCTTCCCTGTAATTCTTGAAGAGTTCCCCAGAATTCTCTCCAAAAATTCCTATTCTGCTTCTATCAGCCAGAGTCTAGTTTTTGTTTTATCTTATTTTTTTTTTCTTGCAACTAAGAAACCTGACTAATGAAATATGACTTCATTTTGCTTGCAAAACCTCAGAGGACTCACAATATGCTCAGGTTAGAGCCAAGCTGTTAACTAGAACCTACCATATTAATATAGGGTGGCACTTGGTTGTTTTCCTCTGTATTGAGTTCTGTCACCCCAATGCACTCAGTCAACACTGGAGAAAAATGAAAGAAGTTTGTTCACTATAATACAAAATTCCTAGTAATAACAGCAGCAGATAGGGCCAACATTTGAAGTCTTAGCTGTACCAGGCACTGTGCTACAAGCGTACATCAATTTTTAAATTTAATCACCCCAACAATTCTAAGCCAAAAATACTGTTGTTACTATCATACCATTTATGCAGAAACTGAGGCACAGAGAGGTTATGTAATTTGCTAAGTGGGATATAGCTTGGAATTCGTGATTCAGGTTTGAATAAAAGAGCTGTCTGACTCAGAACTTGTGATCCTAACCTTGCATATGCTTAATTGTTCTACTTCTGATTTTTTAAAAGCCATACGATTTCAAAATAGTCCTAACAAAACCTTAAGAGAAAATAAACCTGCAAGTTATTTTTACTGAATCATGCATAAGACAACTCCAGGAACAGGCCATAACTTCATAGGTTTAAGTATGAGTTTGAAAGGAGGCATATTGGCTTATCATTTTAATTCTTTTTATGATAAAAAGGAAGACAATGATCTTTGGAGGTGTGGGAGGACAGGATCAGGTAAACAGGGTATGATTTACAGTTTTTAAACACTTAGGTCTACAAATTATATTAGCTGTTGCCACCTAAAGTTATCTCTGCAGCCACCTAGAGCCATACTCTGAATATTAGTTTTTCTGAGATAAGTGCATTGGTTTCAAAAAAAAACAGACACTGGAGCTATTTGTTAGTACACTGTGCTTCCCTCCAACTTGCAAAACTCAGTGTCCCAAATCTACTGTTAGCCACATGCATGAGCAGCTGCATTTCAGAAGATATTTTTAATACATAAACAATAATTTTTCTACTTGAAATTCATAGTAATAAACCCTGCTTAAGAGTACGATTTAAAGCTCTTCAGAAAAAAAGATGCAAAGGATTAACAATGCTTACGTGGAGAATAAGTCTATTAAAACATACTGGTTAGCATGCTCTGATGAGCATTTTCAAAGAATTTCCTAATGTTTGTTTAGGACAAATGCTATTTAGTTTATTTATAAAATGTTAAACATGTTGTAAAATTAGAACATAGAACCCTTGAAGATTTTCCATCCTCAAGCTAACCAAAAACTTTTTCTTAAAGTGCCCTTAAAAATATTAAGAAACAAATCTCTTATGGAAATATCAAGAAAAGTTCCCTGGGGAAAAACCAGCTTTTGGTCTAAGAAAGACTAAATGCAAAATACACTTATTTCTGAAACATATGGTACACATATAGTTAAATGTACAAACTTATATGTAATATATAAAATGAAATATAGAAAACTGAAATATATCTATACATATACTTAATATGTGTAAATACATACTTAATAAAATATTCTTCAAGTTAAAAATTAAATTGGTAAAATTATAGTAGATTATAACTGGTTTATACTGTTTGTTGCTTTTCTCTCATTATAACTAGTTCTGCTCTTGGATCACATTACACCATTAAATCTTTTGATAATTCGAAAAAAGTATTGCTTCCAGCTGCTGCTGAAAAAACAAACTAAAGAGGCCTTCTAAACTGGTATGAAAAGAGTTATCAAACAGGCTCCATTAATAAGAATTCCCTTTTCTGCACTTGCATTTGCTTGTTGTTGTTTTAGATTTAGCAAAGGCAAATCCCTAAAAGGCTAATAGAATACAGCAGTAATCCATGATTATCACTAATACACAAATGCCAGACTTTGTGTGTGTTAACGAGAGCTGACTGATTTGCCTTCTGTGAGTGCTGTGACTTCAGTCTTGCATTTTTCGCTCTCGTCTCTGTTATGTCTTCCTTCATTGTGCATGGAAATTAGAAAGCTTTCTTTTCTACTTTTACCTGAAAGGAAAAAAAAGTAAAGAATTTTCAATGTAAGCATTTTAGACTTAAAGACATCAGGCTTGAAAGAAGGATGTTCATAAAAGAACTAAACCTTTGCATAATTGGACATAATTCTGTGGAATTTGTTATTCCAGATATGGTTAAAAAGTGAAGGTTCTGCAAAAAAGTTAGGTAAATACCTGGGAGATGGATCTACAATGAGATACTGAGAAACTTTGAGCTGTTTAGGTAACTTGACTTCGTGGATGCAAACGACACTCCTCATCAGAAAAAGAATAATTCACTGGGCAGGCAGACCATTAGTCTGACTTGATTTTCCTTCATTTATTCATAAAATATTTATTGAATGTCTACTACATGCCAGGCTTTGTGCTTGACAGTTAGTGTGTGATAAATGATACAGACATTTTCCCTGGCTGAATGGAACTTATATTTGGTGGCTGAGAGTGATTATGATATTATGTGCTGAATGTAATAGCAGGGTAAGTAGAGAGTGCTGGTCTCAAGGATCTGGGAAAGTTTCCAGGAGGATGGAATTAAGCTGGGGTTTAAGGGAATAAGAAATCAGCAGGAAAAGTAAGGGGTGTGGCTACAAGTGTTCATTCTATACCAAGAGGGATCATGTGCAAGAGCTCGGAGATAAGAGAGACCCTAGGACAACCAAAGATGCAAAGAAGTTCCATACAACTGCACCTGGTTCAGGATTAATACACTAGACACTGTTTAGGGTGAAGTAATGAGAACTGTGAAAACATACTGAGCCTAGCCTTTGCCCAAAAACAGAGGGCTTCCATAACCAATGACGGAGGGCAAAAACAAGCGAAAAGAGGCCAAGAAGCTAGGCTACAGCCCAAGACCAAAGGAGAAACAGCATACATGTTAATGGCTAGAAGCTTTAAGGCAGACAAACTACACATCAAAGAGATGGATATACTGTAGTGGACAGGGGAAGGCCAGCAGTGATAGACAATGTTTTAGAAAATAGTGAAGACTGTTTTGAAGTAGCATCCATTCAGAAGTAGGTCTCAGCAGACTGACATGGTCGATGATGATGAACATGGAAAAAGTATTATTATTTTGAAGGTGAATGGGGTTGAGTGTGGGTAAAATATGACTTTCCTTTAGGAGGAAATTAGGTAGGTTTTATAGACAGCCTTTTGTCAGTTCTCCAAAAGTTTCTACTCCACATAAATTTAGGGGTCATGATTAGATACCCATTATTGTCCCTTCTACATTAATAAAGGCTACTTATTTTTAGAAAGATAAGTTGTTTTAAAAAAATTAAATAAAACATTTCAACAATACTAACAGAATGGTGAATAACATAGCAAACACCCATGTGCCTTTTACCCAGCTTTATTAAATTTGATTTCTACCAAATGTGCATGAGGTATTTCTAAGAAATAAAACATTACAGATATGTTAAATTTCCATGTATACCACTCTCCGATTCCATTTCCCTCTTGCCTTCCAGAGAGGAAAGTTATCCTGAATTTGGGGTTTATCATTTCTGTGTATATATATTTTTACTACTTATATATCCGGAAAGAATATAAAGAATTGGCATTTTAAAATAAATGTGTATAAATGACACTGTACTATATATGTATCATTCTGCATCTACTCAGCATTATGTTTTTGAGAGTTATCCATATTGACACAGGAAGCTCTAGTTGATATTTTTGAACTGATTAATAGTATATTATATCTTTAGTATATCATATTTTAAAGACATGTATGTTGCTGGATATTTACATTGTTTTATAAATTTTTGCCTTTACAAATAATGCTTGAATGAATTTCTCATCTTGTGAAAATGAGAGAGTATAGGTTGGGTATGGGTTGGGTATCGGTAAGTAGACATGAAATTGGAATTGCTAGGTCACAGGAATCACCCATGTACAATTTTACTAAAACTTTACTGCTTTCCAAAGTGGTCTTATCAGTTTACACTCCCACCAGCTGCATACAGGGCTCATATTACTCCATATCTTTTTCAGCACGTAGTATTGACAGACATTTAAATTTGTGTCAATCTAATGAGTATGAAATGGTGCATCAGAGTCCAGCTGGAACACTCTCAGTCTTTCAACAGAGGAAATTTAACACAGACAATTGATTAGACAGATGATAGACTAGCTGAGAAACCAAACTAGATAGTGAAGCAACATTCACAATAGTAGAAGGCCATGGTTAACAGAAATCAGAAACTAGGGTCACCTGTCTGAAATTGACACCAAAGGGGGATGCAGGAGGCGAGGTGGGAGCTGGACACAACAAGGCCTCCGGGGGCTCATGGAGGCTGCCAGAGGTCCTGCAGGAAACAAAGTGGAAAGGGGAAGAATGCCTGTGTTCTCCCTCTGTCTGTCGTTCATTCCTCCCCCAGTGCCTTCCACTGGCCAAACTTAACCTGGAAGCCTGAAATAGTTACATGTGATATGAACAAGAGCAGGGGAAGAGAGGAAAATCAGTATGAAAGTTGATTGGAACAAATGGCACTGCATTGTAGTTTTCAGTTGCATGTCTCTGATTTAGAGTGAACATTTTTCCATCTGTTTGTCGTTTTGTTTCCTTGCCTATGAATTGTTATCTATTTGTTTTTATCCATATTTTTCCTATTGGTTGTCTGTTTTTAATTTGTTTTAGAGACTCATTATATAATCTAGATATTAATCTTTGTCAGTTATATGTAGTGTTAACATTACTCGTAATCTGGCTAATTTCCCCTTTTGTTTAGCCTCTTTTGTGATATAGAAGTTTGAAATCTAATATACAGATTTGGTCTTTTAAGCTTAATGCTTGTGTTTTAGTCAAGAAAATCCTTCCATATTCTAAATCATATTCCTTTATATTGCCTTGTAAAAATTCTAGTTTAACTCTTGATATTTATGTCTTTAATGCACTGGGGTTTATTTTGCGTATAATGTGATATAGATATCTTTAAAAAATTTCATCCCAAAAGGTAACCTCTTATTCCAGACCATTTTTAATACTCTATTTTTTAAATTGCTACCCTTGTCATATATTCAGTGTCCAGGTGTGTTGGCTCCTTCTCATGTGAATCTATTTCTAGAATCTGTACTATGTGTCATTGGTCTAGTTTACACCCATGAGCAACATGCTGTCTTAATTAATATATCATTAAAATCTGATTCCCAGCAAGACTAGTCCCCCAACATTGTCTTATTCCAAACTTGAGCAGGCTATTCCAGATTTTTCAATGCTTTGTATACATTTTAGAATAATTTTATGAAGTTCCATAATAAAACTGTTAAGGTTTTAATTTATGTTTTGCTGAACATAGAGATGAATATGAACAAAGCTGTCATTTTTATAGTTGGATCTTACCATTAACATGGTATGTGTGTGTGTGTGTAATTCGTTTTTACAGGAAACATTTTATATATGTTTTATAATTTCCTCCATAACATTATTACATACATTTGGTTGATTTTTTTCTCAGCAAGTTATAGTTTGGCTTATCATTATAAGTGGCATTTTTACTGAGTTGCTGCTAGTGCAGAAGAACACAGAGAATTCTTATGTATTCAACTTCTATCTAGAAAACTCGCCAAAATGTTTTATTAGTTCTAACTTTGTAGATTCCCTTGGATGGTGATGAAAACGAAATCATACCACATGTGACTTAGGGTAGATTTATTTCTTCCTTCCCAACCCTTTCACTTATTTTTTATGTCTTTACCACACTGGCCTGAATCTATGGAACAGATGTTGTGAAAGCTGTTTGTCCTTAGCTTTAAAAGGTATTCTAATATTCCGCCATTAAAGATGCTTTTGGCTCTAGGGCTTTTGTTAATTTCTTTATCCAGGTGAAGGAAGGTCACTTGTCTTGTTTGTTTGCTAAAAGTGGTAAAAATTGAATTAAATAATCGGTTTTAATTGAATTAGATTCTTTTCCTGCATCTACTGATATGATCACATGGCTTTTCTCAAACAGTACTTTGAAGACTAATGCTCTGCCTGAGTAAAATCTGAACTTGAAAAACATAAAAATCAATACTGCATATTTCCTTTGGACATAGACAGATGTAAAAGCATTTTTTAAAGGACTGTGAGACAACGTACAAAACTGATTATAGGTGGCACTTTTGGAGAGGGGGAGAGAAATGGAAAGGAGGTGGATGGGGATAGGAGTGATGATCGTAGAAAAAGAGCACTTGGCTTCCTCTGTAATGTTCTAATACTTTTTTAAAAGGGGAGCGGTGTTTACATTCAACTTTCATCGTTGTTTTAACAATGTATATATAGAAAAAACAAGTGTATCAAATTAATGATGATAAATTTTTAGTTACAGAAATATGGATGAGTGCCACTCTTTTCTTTGTACTTTTCTATAACTATTTTCCAAAAACAACCAAAAAGCCAGTTAGAAAGTATTATTCACCTTATTAGTGACATATGGTTTAAATTAGGTTCAAAATTTCAAATGTAGAGTGAAAAAGTTGAAAGTGTGAACTTTGTTTCTTTATATTCATCATCAATCAACTAAGACTCATGTATTTTAAGTACCTTATTGAGTATGGTTGGGCGAGATAATTACATAGACCCATTATCTAATAGTATGGATGGAAAATATAGACAGCCTTTTCAACGAAGCATTTAAGCCAACATGTGAATCGAAAGTGAAATATTGCTATCACATACGGACCAATAGCAATGGCTTTTCTTGCTTGCGGGCAATATAGACACCAATTCCTATTTGTTTTATATAATTAAACAGTATATACTGTACTTCTCTCTAGGATGGTCTCATTCTCTCTAATTTTCATGTTTTTCTCTGTTTAAGACCCAGGCACTCAACAATCAAGCTTTTACCTCATGGATGAAGTAAGAGTAAAATGACCCAGCATAAAAATTTGAGTACCTAGTGCTGGATTGTCCAACTGGCTGACAGGCTGACAGTGTGAGCCTGGGCTTAGGGGGCCAGTGGGACAGACACACATGTGCGTGCACACACACACACACACACACACATATGTATATATGTGTGTATATACATTGACAGTTTTAAACAAGAGATTTCAAATTGAAAGAATGCAAGTAATCATAATCAGAAAACTCAGAGTTGGGCTTATGTTTATGCTCTGATATTGATTTAATTTTGAATTACGTGGTGAGGGTGAGTGGATGAGGAGAATGAGCATCAAAGTCCTAATATTTTGGGCAGCTAACCACTTAAATTGGCCCTGTGAACACATCTCCCAGGAGCTTTGTGATAGAATTTTTGTGTTTTCATATAGGTGACTCAACCAGGCATGATGTTCATAAACTAAAGACTGGGTGAAGCATAGCTCAGGAGGTGTGTGTGTGTGTGCGTGTGTGTGTGTGTGTGTGTGTGTGTGTGCGTATGAAATATGTATTTAATCCTGAACAAACTAAAAAAAAAAAAAGTCAGACCCTCTCTGATGAAATATCCCAAATGGGTAATAGATGGAAGATTAGCCTGCAAAGGAGAACAACAACAACAACAACAAAAACTACACCCGGGGCATTTGAGATCTGGAGGGACAAGTTTGAGGCTGTGAAGGAGGCACCTAGGCAGAGGGAAGAGAGAAGCAAAGGCTGGAAGCAGAAGCCAAGGGTGTCCTCTCTCAGCATTTCTCCCCTGACGTCCACATTGACATTTCTGAGCTTGTTCATCCTTCTTAAACTTCCTCCTTTAATGATGTTTTTCAACACTAATCTCTATCGTGTTATGGTCAGAATAAGTCAAAGGGGGAAGAGAGACGGAAGATTGGGATATTAGTGACTCAAAATATTGGATTTCTTGGAAATCTTGCATATAAAGATGGTGGGCACATAGGCTTTATTTTTTATCGGAATATGCAGAGAACATGAAGGTACACTTTGCACACTTTGTTACATTGTTTGAAGTTACAAAGAGAAAGGAATTGGAAATTGTTAGGCTTTAATAATGTCGGGAAAGAAAATTTTATTGAAACAATTCTGAAGAAATTAGAGATACAGATTTATCTTAGCTAAATATCAAGATAATAGTATTTTTCAAATACCACCAATGGCTACTTATGTGATTTTTTTATAAAGATCAACTCAGGTGCTTAAGGGTTAGGCTTTGGAGCTAGATTTCAATGCCAGTTCCACTGTATTCTGACTCATTCTAACTTGCACAAGTTGCTTAATCACCCTGAGCTTCAGTTTTCTCATCTCTAAAATAAGATAATGATACCTCCCTCATAAGTTTTCTATGACGAATAAATGATACAATGTAGTAAAACTTAGCGTGGTGCCTTATGCAGGGCAAAGTACGGTAAATGGCAATGGTGTAGAGGTGGTGGTTATTCAACATTGAGTTTATCAATAGTATATTTTGTGTATGTGTAAGAATGGTATTGTAAATCAGTTGCATGTATAAAAAGCCAAATTCAATGGCTTAATGCTGGTGTATTTTTCTCATGTCCAGGGAGAGACATCCTCGGGCTTGTATGGCTGATGAGTAAATCCTCAACCACTCAAGCTCCTTCTTCCAGCTTCCTGTTCTGCCATCCTTAGCATATGACCCTTATCCTCACAGTCTCAAGATCCTCCCACCCCTTCTGGAATCACACCCCTGCTCCCTGGAAGACCTGGGCCGACAAAGTCAGTCCTTTTTCACCAGGCAAACACTGCTTTCCTAGAAGCTCCAGCCGGTGGGCTTCCTCTAACACCTCATTTGCTGGAATTCAGTCACGTGAGCATCCCTCGTACAAAGGAGCCTGGGAAACTATTTTTTAGATAGTCCTGCCCCCAAACAAAGTTGTGGTTCTGGCAGTAAGAAAAGAAGGGAGGATAGATATTGAGTGAGCAGTGTCTTCCATAGTTTGGCATTAAGAATTGCTGCCTGCCTGTCTAAAGTCTTAAAAATAGGAGAGGGAGGAGGGGAGAGAGAGAGAGGGAAAGAAGACATTGCATATGGCCTGGTTCAACAGAGGAGCTATTGTGGCATGGCGACACCCAGTATCTCTTTAGAAGAAAGCAACATTAAATACTAGGAAAGACTTTTTAGTTGCTCCTAACATCCTCCTATCATAGAGGGGAGCGTAGTGTTCTGGTTAAGAACATAGCACAGAAATCAAACAGTCATGACTTGGAATTCTGGCCCTGACCCTATTTGAATGTGTGACTTTGGGTTATTTACTGTCTCTAAAATGTAAACTCCTCTGACAGCGGAGCTTAGTTTTATCCCTGCTGTAGCCCCATCCACTAGGAGAGACCTTTCCTTATAGTGGGCATTCAGTATTAGTTGAATGGATAAATGGGTGGATGAATAAATGAACTTCTCAGAATCCTGGATTCCTCAGCAGTAAAAGGAATTAATAAAGACCATCTTTAGAGGTAATCATGAAGATATTAAATGAAAGAATATATGTTTTATAGGACACTCTGTTGACTCCGTTGTTATAAACATATAGTTTCACTGGGAGCTTCCCGAAGGTTCCCTGAATCTAAGAGGCTCTGTGGACCATTTCTGAGGACCTCTTCAGGCAGCTATTCATGTCCAAGTCTGTTTTTTTCTTAGATAAGCCACACTATTACGGTAACATTTAAGTTTGTTAATGTACTCAAAGCAAATATCTATGTGGTGGATCCCTAAAATTTATTGGATGGAGAGATGAAAGTATGTGTGACTGTATTTACACACACACATGCAATGGTGACTTTATTTTGAATAAAAGTTTGCTGAGCTTTCAATATCAGCTATTTCAGAACAGGCTTGTTGCTGATTAAGGGTTAGCACACTAAATTAATGGTAAATTAATACTCATTTCTGTGCTAGTACATGAGAAAGACAGGAAAATTAGCTAAATTAGATGTGGGTAGTGATATCCATCATGGCCAAGAATAATGGTACCTAAAAGGATTTTCTGTGAAACTCTGCGTATGAGGGACATTCATAAACCTCAAAACTCTGATGTCCTTATTTAGTTATTTGCAGTGGATGAGTCTTTACAAAATAGCGGTTTAAAAGAAAATCCCCCTTGGTAGCAGGTGCCAAGCACATACAACATTTAACGCTGGCTGACTTACAGTGTTTATGAGAAAATTCTGATTTAAGATTCAGAATGACTTCATGCTGGCAAAGTAGAAATCACCAAATTGGAGTACAATGCAAGCAACCCATAAAAAGCCAAATCACTTTCTAACATTCCTAAGCTAGTTCATGATAACCCCTCATCATCAACTCCTTGTTGTTACAGAGTAGGGTTTTTACCCCAATGCCACAGAGTGAGGTATCTTTTTTGGGAAGAGAAGTACTTGTTCATGCTTTCTAATTTAAATTGTTTATCAGTTGGGTGTAACCATGTTACTCATGCCCATTTAAATTGTGTTCTTCTGTGGCAAGACCTTCAGCACCATCACAATGCAAAAGCAACTGCAACAAGCAACTCAACAAGAGAATGATCCACTTCTATGTAAAAGATGATGCCTTACGGAGGATGTTCTTCTATGTTGTGTCATTGTGAAGAGACTTAATTTCCAACCCCATAAAACACAGATTCCAGAAGACATCAAATGGTACCTGCCTATCCTTCTGAGCTCAGTGGCTCATGGGACCCTCTCCAGCCAACTCTGATGCTTGGGTGTGTGGGCCCCATTGAGTATATGTCTGCTTTGTATTTCTGCCTTGGCCTTTCACCCTGCTCCAGCTTATAATGGGAATATTGACTGACCATTGACTAGGCCTAGGCAGGCAGACTTTGCAGTAATTATGAATGAAAGATGTCAGGGGCAAAGCATCTCATTCCAGATATTTCTACATATAGTCGATACTGTCTTTCGTAAGTGTGACTGAGCTCCAAATGGCTTGCAGTCATAAGGGAATGACCAACTGAGTAGCTATTATTTCATCCAATTGATGCTATGCTTTTTGTGCAAAGGGAAACAGGAATGCAGAAGCACGCACATTTTACACCAGCCTGGTTCTTGCTTTCAATAGCTGCTGCAAAATATTAGCTCTTTTCCCTAGGAAGCCAGCTCCTGGGGAGAGGATATAGGTTGCAAGTGGAAAACCATGTTAATTTTCAATAGAGGTTACAAAAGAATAGAAATTCCTACCCAAACTTAATCGTTAATGCTTTTACTTCCACAGAAAGATGAGTGTTTACTTCCCAGAATCTCTTGAATCTGCTTTAGCAGTAAAATAAGGAATATGGCTAAGAAAATAATTCAGATTAAAACATAGCATATTCTTGGATTTGTGCAACATGCCTGAGTCTGGGCAAAGACACAAATCAAGGCTTCGGTATGATGAGTTTCCTGGCCACTATGAAGTCCAATCCACTTTCAAACAGAGGAGGTGTCTCCTCACATTCTAGGTGCCATTGTGTGTCAAAGCCACTTTACATTTTTATGATTACTATCCAAATATTTACCAGGATTTCATTATTTGCCCACAATTATCTTGATGAGAAGAGCTTAATCATTTTAACAGATAGTGAAAGCAATTACTTAGTACCTTCTAAAGCAATGTCCAGAAGATGCCAGATTTGAGGAGCAGAGTTGGGAGGAAGGGAATTAATACCAGGCAGGTAAAATTGCCCCAAGAGCACACAGCCAATAATGGGCAAAACCAGAAACTGACCCCAGAGCTGATACTTCTCATCACTATGCTCTATAGCCTCTCCACTAGCAATACTAGTAGCACTGAGATTAGTCAATAGTTGCAGCAGTAAAGAAGGAGTAATAATAGCAACAGTAGCATCAGCCATTGTTTATTGAATTCTTACTAAGAACCAGATATTGAGGTTTCATACTAAGCATTTTCATGGATAATCCTTTTTTTATTACCAAAACAATCCTATGAAATAAATGCTATTATCCTCATTTTACAGAAGAGGAAATTGAAGCTCAGAGAAGTGAGATTTGCTCAGATAAGAGATGTTAGGTTACTGAGCTGGGATTTCAACATAAGAGTCAGACTTTTTTGCTTGTGTTCTAAATGATACCCTGTCTTCCCTCCGTAGAGAAAAGGAGAAAGGAGACATCAGCTCTGCTAACATCATAAAAGGGCCAAACACTGAACATGGGGATATTTGAATGTTGGAATGATAGAGAAGTCAGATTTCCTATCAGGTTTGGTTTGCCCTCTCCATTCAGGAGAGTGCTGAAGCCAGGAACTGTGTGAGCCTGTCCCAAATGAGCATGGGATTTCTAGGCTCCTCAGACAGGACCTCAAACCACAGGAATAAACAGATGGTGATGGATTGATGCATATGCTTCGGCAAGGCACTGTGCTGGGTTCTATAAGGCAACTGTCTTCTGTGATGCAACCCTGTGATGTGTTGAATCACACTACCAGTGAAGTAGAATAATTTATGACTCAGAGATGCTAAGTAACCTTGTGTTCTCCCAGTGAGTGAGAAACAAGGGGCAAGATGATTCATAGGTCTGTCTGACTCTAGAGTCTGCAGTACTGGGAATCAACTCTGGAAAGGGGTCCATGTGTTTGTGATCCTGCTCCCCATTCCACAGCTGAGCCTGCATCTCAACTGTGTCATTCCCGTCTTTGCTGTTAACACCCATTTATTAGGTTTCTCAGAACATTGCAATTGAGGTGTTGGCCAGGACTAAAGTCTCAGCAGAAAACTCAACTGGGGAAGGATCTGCTTTCAAGTTTACTCAGCGTCTTAGTAAAATTCAATCTCACTGATTGACAGAGGGTCTCATTGCTAGCTGTCAGCCAGAGGCGGCCCTCAGTTTCTTGACCTGTGACCCTCTCCATAGGGGAGTTCACAATGCAGAGGCTTGCTTCATTCATGCTTGTAAGGGAAAGAGTCTACCAGCATGATGGGAGTTAAAATCTTATGTAGCATAATTATGGAAGTGGCATCCTATCACCTTTGCCATATTCTGTTGATTAGAAGCAAGTCCCGTCCAGGACTAACTGGGAGGGAATTACATAAATTCATTAATACCAGAAGGCAGAGTTCACTGGGGCCATCTTAGGGTCTGTCCGTCACAACAGCCCACGGCTGAGTTCTGCAGTGTTTGGAAATGCAACACTGCACAATACCTTCCGTCGGAGGAGTGCTTTGGAACAGACTTTTTGAGTGGCTGCTGTTGGAAGTACTTCTACATTTACATGAACACAGACCAAGGCAATCCAGCAAAATGCCATTTCCTTAATTAAACAGATTAACCAGTAAACCGAATTGCATTCTGCATGGTGGACTTTAACTAACAAGGCTAATGTAGCCGGTGTGGTTCTCAGTGGAAGGCTTCCCCAGTCTCTTCTCTTTCCTCTCTCTGCTGACCCCACTTCCTCTGCCATTTTCTTTGTATTCTGTGCCTCCTTGAATTTTTCATCTCATATTTTTCTGCATCAAGATGACAGTTTTGTGTGTATATGAAATGTTCGTTTTAATTATACAGGCTTGGTAATAAGTGTATAGTCAGGTTGGCATCAGCCTTGGATGCAAAATCCTTCCTTTCAACTGATTATATCTTGAAAGGATTTGCAGCCCTGGGCACCTAGACATTGTAATGCATCATTGTTCACTAGATGGACATCAGGGGACAAAAATTAAAGCAGAAGCAGGGGACGGTGGCAGCCTTGGCCCTGAAATCAGCCAAGATGAAGGAGGATCAAGTGAAGCCAACAACTTGGAGTTGGAGGGGGAGGGTCCAAGTGCTCAGCCTCTGGCCTTCTCACAGTTTGATGGGATGACAAGCCATGGCTAAAGGTGCCACGAGGCCTTCTCAGGAAAGAATTAAGAAGTAGGCCAAGCATAAGGTGTTAGTCCCTAATGCAGTGCAGGAGACAGGACCTGGCAGAGAAGGCAGACCCTCTCAGAACAGTGAGAAATGAGGAGTTGGCAGAACACATGCCCCAAGAATCACAGAGGCTTAGGTACCCCCTCTGAATATTGACTCCTGAGACATAACCATGTGGCACTTAGAGAGATCCTTGCCTTTGAAACTGAAAGGCAAAAGGCCTGAGAATCAAGTGCTCAGACCACAGAAGCAGAGTAGAGGTCAGATCCACTGAATCTTAGAACTGGAAGGAACTTTTGAAGAACCTCTATATTTAGTACCCTAATGTGGCAGATGAGGAAACTCAAATTTAGACAGGCAATGGACTTACACGAGGCTGCATTGATGAAGGTGTCATGTGCCCTTTGCACCTGTCCATTTGCTTCTCTTAAGCAAGTATCCCAAAGTGCTGCTGCACAAGCAGCTCCACCAACTGGGAATGAGAGAAGCTAGTGTTTTGTTTTGAGTGGATGTTGTAAATGGGTCTCTAGCCACCTCTCCTATGCATGGTAGAGTGTGTTACCTATTCCATCAGATCTCCCAGTGACCTTCCCTCTGAGAGATTTATACACCTCTGTCCCATTTAGGAAATCTCTGTGACTTGTTTTTGGCCAATGCAATGTGAGTGTATTAGGCTATTCTTGCATTGCTGTAAGACAATACCTGAGAATGGGTAATTTATAAGAAAAGAGATTTCATTGGCTCATAGTTCTGCAGGCTGTACAGGAAGCATTGCAGCATCTGCTTCTGAGGAGGTCTCAGGAAGTTTCTAATCATGGCAAAAGGTAAAGAGGGAACACACCTATCACATGGCAGGGGCAGGAGCAAGAAAGAGAGCAGGAAGGTGTGACACACTTTTAAATGAGCAGAGCTCATGAGAACTCACTCACAATCAGGAGGAGAGCACCAAGGGGAAGGCGCTAAACCATTCATGAGAAATCCGCTCCCATTATCCAGTCACCTCCCATAAGGTCCCTACCTCCAACATTGGGGATTAAATTTGAACAAGAGATTTGGGAAGGGACATATATCCAAACTATATGAGTGGGTTGAAGTGAAGTGTGTCACTTCAGAGTCTTTTCCTCTGCCATGAGACAGGCAAGTGTTCTGGTCAGAGGCTGCCTCTCAGCCTGGATCCCAGAATGAAGGTGATATGGGCAGAGCTATAGCCCACTGCCGATGGACATTCGGTGTGAGCCACGTTTGTTACTGGGCTTATTCTGGCTGTCACCACAGCATGATTTGGCCTACCCTCAGTGACTTGACATGGTGGGCAGGCTCCATACACTCACACGTATGTGTACAGTCACCTTTCCTCAGGTCCATGGTCTTTCTCTAGGTTGCCTCCTTTTCCTGTGTGACCAGCCCTGTGAATAACATCCCTTACTCAAGGAACCTGGGATAATCCTGGCCACCTCCCCATGTTCCAGCCAAGTCACCAAGCGCTGCACTTCTTCCCGTACCCTGCCTCTGCCCTGGTTCATGCTGCTCATCACTGCCTTAGCTGCCAAGCGGGCTGCTTTGACTCCAGTCTTGCCCTTCCCTCTCCAATCCAGTCCTCGTAGGTGGCGAGAGGGAGCCAAGCCCACTAGAAGGTTTTTAAGAGGGTTGCTTATTGCAAGATCAGCCTGAATGTGGCCTATAAAGTTCTTCCAGCAATAGCATCCATCTGTCTCTGGCTGTGTTCCTATCAGGATGCATTTCTTCCATCTTGTCCAATTTCTTTCTCTCTGTCTCTGTTTTAATTTAAAAGGCCATTTTTCTGCATGGGAGCTCCACCTCCAACCTGCACCACTCAGCAACCAGTCATCCATCCTCTGCCCTGTCCCCTCATTTACTTGCCTAACTCTGACTCATTATTGGGACCTCAGTTTGGAGTCACTTTGTCTAGGAACCTTTCCCAGACTACTTGAGTATATGCTGGGAGTGAGTCCTCTGGCTCACGGCACCACCCTATCCTGCCCCCTGAAGCTCTGTATGAGGCTGCGCTTCAATTGACAGGCGACTATTCCCCAGTAGACTACACTCACCGCCAGGTCCCCCATGCCTTGCAAAGCAGTTTCTGGCACATGGTAGATGCCCCTTGAACATTTGCTGCTGAATGTTTGTTTTTCATCTTGAAGGCAAAAGAAAACAATGCCCAGACATGGGAGCAAAAGACCTTATCCTAAAACCAAAGGCTGTTTTGGATACAAAATGTTATATTTCATGTGAGGAAAAAATGCAGCATTGGAAAGAACTAGAACCCTCAAAAATACATGAAATGAGCTACGTATATCATTAAACATGGGGCATGGGTCTGTCTGTTCTGAGTGTGCATAAAATCACAAATTTTTCATTGAGACGTAAATATTTAAAAACAGACAAAAAAAGTGACCGTGAGTGCCAGGAGAGTTTGGCTAGGAGTGCGAGGTGAGGAGGGGCAAGTGGTGAATGAGAGCGTGCTGGATTCTGTGGTCCCAGGCAGGCTCTGTGAGGTGTGGGTGTGCATGAGAACAGTGTTTTATTTTTAAAGATACTTCCTCAAGAGATTGTTCATTAGGGAGTCCAACCTTTTCCTTGCTGTTCTCTGCTGCAAACATGACCTGATTCTGGAGATGGAGTTTGGAGGGATGTTAAAATCTAAGAGTCAGTGGAGTTGAAGAAGGCAGGAGTTGGGGGGTACAAAAATGTCCCACAGGCCTTATGGTTGATGAGTGAGTCTACATAGTTGTGGTTGGTCTTCTGGGCAGACAAACTGGTGTTGGTAATGGTTTTCATTCCAATGGCTCTGAAGGAGTGATTCTTGGTATACAGTACACTGATGTGCATTTGAATTGTGGTCTGTTTCTGCCACCAGAGCATCGCCACTTGTGATTGGTCCAGAGACTAAGGCAGTTAGGGAACACTGAGCCTGGATCTACCCAAATTCCTCAGGTAGGAGGTGGGGTTGCCATTTTCTAACTCTGAACAATCACATGCCTCTGCATGATACTGATGATAAGCATCTACTTGGACAAGGCTACCAGATTTAAAAATCTTTGTTGGTAGGTAGATAGGCAGGTAGATGTCTTAGTTTGTTTTTTAATGCTATAGCAGAATACCTGAGGCTACATAATTTATGAAGGGAAAAGGTTTATTTGGCTCACAATTCTGGAGGCTGGAAGTTCAAGATTTGGCAGCTACATCTGGTGAGGGCCTCAGGCTGCTTCAACTCATGGCAGAAACTGTGCAAAGAGATCACACAGCGAGAGAGAAAAACCAGGGAAGCCAGACTCTTTGTAACAACCCACTCTCCTGGGAACTAATCCATTACTAAGAACTCATTTAGCTCCTGGGAGGGCATTAATTTATTCATAAGGGCTCCACCTCCATGACCCAGACACCTCCCATTAGGCCCCCACCTGCCAACACTGCCACATTAGGGATCAAATTTCAACATGAGTTTTGGTAGCGCAAACCATACCAAGATAGACATACAGGCTGACTGATAGATGGCTGGCTGGATGGGATGGATTAGCAGGTGGATATAACTATGCAGAGAGATGTAATAGAAAAAAGAACACTTTATAAGGAGTACAATGAGGGGAATATGTTCTTTTACGACCCTTGTTTGCAACTTATTAAAAGTCAACATGCTGGTTGGGTGGTGTTTTATAATTGCAAAGCAGAAGGTCTAAATAAATAGGAAGTTCTACCAAAGATTTAATTAACCTAACCTGTAAAACCTCTTTAATTGATCTGTATAATCAACAAATGATTAATACATCATTTAGAATGAGGTGTCACAAAGGGGAGGCTGATAAACTTAAAACCCCTTTGTCTAGGCTTAAGAGAATTTCTCAAGAAGCAAGAGAGCTCATTTCTCCTGTGATAACACTATTTCTCTCCACTTATAAAATGACATCAGCTGCATAATGAGCAGATTAGGCACAGAATCACCAACATAGTACTGCACCTGCTAATGCAATTAGCCCCGTGTGCTTTCCTCCTGGGAGAAGCAGACACAGGTTATACGCAGAATGCAAGGGCAGCACCTGAACTAAGTGGGCTGCTTTGTCCATAACAACATGTATGTGGTTTGGCTGATTTTAGAGAGCATGAAGGAAGGGGAAGAATGGTTATGATTCTCTCCCCAGAACCAGTAGTCCTTTCTTCATGTCTGTATAGACATGCATAATATGTCAACCTGAACACCTTCCTTTTGTGTGAAACACATCTCTCCTGCTTCTTTAGGGGGTCGTTTTTTCCGTACTCCAACTACATGATTCTCATAAGGGCTTCTAAACACAGTACCCACTCTCAGGAATGGGCACAAGATTCAAGCGGGCCAATCATAGTAGGCCCAGGCCATGAGTCAAGCCAATTAGAATTCTTCTCAGGAAATTTTTAAGAGGGTGTCACTTTTTTTCTTTAGTTGTATAGCTATGAGGATTGGCTATTTGGGAGAACAAAGCCAGCTTGCAGAAAGGAACATGTGATGGTGATACTGAATGTTAACTTGGTTGCATTGAAGGATGCAAAGTATTGTTCATGGGTGTGTCTGTGAGGTTATTGCCAAAGGAGATTAACATTTGAGTCAGTGGACTGGGAAAGGCAGACCCATGCTCAATCTGGGTGGGCACCATCTAATCAGCTGCCAGAGAAGCCAGAATAAAAGCAGGCAGAAGAACATGGAAAGACTAGACTGGCTTAGTCTCCCAACCTACATTTTTCTCCTGTGCTGGATGCTCCCTGCCCTCGAACATCGGACTCCAAATTCTTCAGCTTTGGTACTTTTCCGCTTACACAAGTGGTTTGCCAGGGGCTCTCAGGCCTTTGGCCACAGACTGAAGGCTGCACTGTCAGCTTCCCTACTTTTGAGGTTTTGGGACTCAGACTGGCTTTCTTACTCCTCAGCTTGCAGATGGCCTATTGTGGGACCTCACCTTGTGATCATGTGAGTCGATACTCCTTAATAAACTCCCCTTTTTGTAAACATCTATCCTATTAGTTCTGTCCCTGTAAAGAACCCTAATAGAGAATAGAAGTAAGAAACAGCTAGAAAAAGAGGAGTCCAGAGTCCAGATAATACTTAAATCATCAAATCTCCCCGGCTTCCCTGATCCTTTCCTTTCTGAGACTTGGCTGCTCAGCATGTCCAGACCTGTGCACTTCTTCCGGCATTCTTTCAGTAAGTACTTAACGTTCTCAGGCTGTCTGATCTAGGTTTTTGTCATTGGCAAAGAAATGAGTCCTAAATAGCTTTTCTTCTTTCACACTCACTTACCTAATGAGTAACTGAGTAGGTAATGAATACCTACTTACAAATGCATAAGGCCTCACATTTGCCCTAAAGGACCTGATGCTTTGCGGGGGAGACTGAAAGAGACAACAGTGGCATAGTTTGGTTAGGAGGATGATGTGACATGAAAACATTTGTCAAAACATGAAAACCCAGTTTGGGTTGTGATACATTAAGTTTTCTTTCTTTCTTTCTTTTACTTTAAGTTCTGAGATACATGTGCAGAACGTGCAGTTTTGTTACGTAAGTATACAAGTGCCATGGTGGTTTGCTGCACCTGTCAACCCGTCATCTAGGCTTTAAGCCCTGCATGCATTAGGTGTTTGTCCTAATGCTCTCCCTCCCCTTGCGCCCCCACCCCCTGACAGGCCCCAGTGTGTGATGTTCCCCTCCCTGTGTCCATGCGTTCTCATTGTTCAACTCCCACTTATGAGTGAGAACATGTGGTGTTTGGTTTTCTTTTCCTGTGTTAGTTGGCTTAGGATGATGGCTTCCAGCTTCATCCATGTCCCTGCAAAGGACATGATCTCATTCTTTGTTATGGCTGCACAGTATTCCATAGTGTATATGTGCCACATTTTCTGTATCCAGTCTATCTCTGATGGGCATTTGGGTTGGTTCCAAGTATTTGCTATTGTAAATAGTGCTGCAATAAACATGTGTACATGTGTCTTTACAGTAGAATGATTTCTAATCCTTTGAGTATATACCCAGTAATGGGATGGCTGCTTCAAATGGTATTTCTGGTTCTAGATCCTTTAGGAATTGTCACACTGTCTTCCACAATGGTTGAACTAATTTACAGTCCCACCAACAGTGTAAAAGCATTCCTATTTGTCCACAGCCTCGTCAGCATCTGTTGTTTCCTGACTTTTAAATAATCACCATTCTAACTGGCATGAGATGGTATCCCGTTGTGGTTTTGATTTGCATTTCTCTAATGACCAGTGATAACACTAAGTTTTCTTAAAATGATTCTTAGGTTAAATACTTTCCTTGTATTCTACCATGTGAATTGGTGTTTTTTATTAAAATATTTTAAATTTTTTAAAGCTTTTTCAGTCAAACAAGTATGGAAAATGTCAAATTAAACCAAAATAAGTAGAATTCTTTGCTGCAGAACTTGTTGCTGATGCACTTTGGAGTATCATAGAGACAAATTGAGTATGCAGGGATTCCCAAAGTTCCTGAAGCAAATGCATTTTTCTTGGAATGTCTGATCAAATTTCAGAGAAGCAGTGTTGACTTGAACACAGTTTGGGATCTCCATTCGATCATTATGAGCTCCCCAGTACTTCCTGAAAGAATGTTGGGGGAAGCGCACCAGTCTGGACATGCTGAGCAGCCAAGTCTCAGAAAGGCAAGGATCAGGGAAGCTGGGGAGGTTTGATGACTGAAATGTTATCTGGACTCTAGACTCCTCTTTTTCTAGCTGTTTCTTACTTCTATATTAGGGTTCTTTAGAGGGACAGAACTCATAGGAGAAAGGTATATATAAGCTCTCTACTCGATGATTATGAGCTTCTCAGTTGGTGTAGGCTAAGATCCTGGCAGAGGTAGGCATGGGAGAAGCTCTGGATTAGTTGAATCCCAAGGCATCATCCTCTCTCTGCTACCATTGTGGGAAGGGTACCAGAGCAAATCTTCCTTCTTGCTGGGATTAAGCAGCATGCTAAGCCCTCAAAAGGAGTTCCTATATTACAATATGAAGAGCTGTTTTACTTTCTTTACGCCTAAGGTGGCACTACACGATGAGCAATAGATGTCATCTATATGGATGTTTAGAGGCATGAACCATAGAGGAAGATGGCAAAAGCTCCCACTCTTCTTTACCTCCTTTGAACCTTAAAAAAATTCCATAGAAGTTTGCATTACGATTTTCCCCTTTTCATTGCAAATACTTTTATAACAAGATATTGCTTCAACTACAGCACACTGCTGGGAAAAAACTGCAGATGGGAAGGCTGAGGCTAAATGCCACTGACAGGCAGGGGAGCTTCCTGTTGGCTCCAACATTTAGCTCTGATGGTTCGATGGACATTTGAGAATTGGAATTTATGAAGTAGAGGAATTTCTGCATATTCACCTTGATACTGTAGCATCAGAAGGTCACCAGAATGCAGCCCCCACTTTTAAGGAAGTGGAAGATGAAGGTTTCCATTTATACTCTGGTTCATTGTCTCAATTTGGTACATTTTTATGCTTTTGCTACTTATTGATTTGAGCAACTGAATTACTCTTTGGCAAACAGGGCTGCATTAATGCGTTAAAAGCTCATTATGAGGATAATGGACACAAAGTAAAAAGGAATCAAATGATGTGAGTGTTAAAGGTTTTTCCCTAGACAGCTGAGAATAAATTGAAAACAAATTCAATTAAAATAACATTCAGCCTTTTTTATTTCTTCCATGGAGTGCTTCCTCTGAAGGAGGTGCCTAAAGCTAACATGCTGCTTTGAAGGGCTACCCCGTCCTGCACCAGACAGACGTGGGAAGACCAATGCAGAACGTGTGTCCATGATGGGCTGATTTAGGAAGCTGTTCTCTAAAGCCACACGTTTCTGCCTCCTGCAGATATCTCTATGTCTGTTTGCCATATCCCTTTCTGCTTTCTTTTGGTTAAAAATCAGAAGACCCCTCAAAGCAAGGCAAGCTTCCCATCATGTAATAACCTTCCCGCATCTCAGCCTTATGCCCCAAGCTGAAATCTGGGTCTATCCTTACCCCAACCTTCGCTGCTGCTTTAGTTTCACAAGCGCAGTCAGGCTTCCTCTATCCACAGGGATTTTCAAGCCAGCCCTAGCAGTCATGCAGTTTTTCCTTCCTTTTCTTATTTACTGTTCTACTCTATCATTTTTATTATGAAAGTCCGACTCCCTCCTTTAAGAAGACAAAGGATGGAGTGGTGTATTTTATAAGGAAATGCTCGCTGTTTCTTCCTTCCCTCTAATCACTGCTGCCCTTCCACAGGTAACCAAGGGCAGTAGCTGGGTGTGGATTGCCAGCCTATACATTTCCTTTTCCCCACTTCCCTACATCCAACCCATCTCAAAGCTCTTTAATTCTATCTTTAAAATGTTTTTCAAAGCAGTGCATTTCTTTCCTTCTTTCCTAGTCATTGTCACCCATTAGGTGTATTTATTTCCTAGGGCTGCTGGAAGGAAGCACCACAAATTGGGTGACTTAAAGCAACAGGATTATATTATCTCACCATTCTGGAGGCTAGAAATCTGAAAATCAAATGGTCAGTAGGGCCAGGCTCCCTCTGAAACCTGCAAGGGTGTCCTTCCTTGCCTCTTCCTGGCTTCTGGAGGTCTCTGGCCTTACTTGGCCTTACTTGGCTTGCAGCTGCAGCACGCCACACTCTGCCTTTATGCCATCTGGGGTTGTCCCTGTGTGCCTGTCTTCACATGCCTGCCTTTTTATAAGGACACCAGGCATTTGTTGGACCCTACTCCAGTATGACCTCATCTTAACAAATTATATCTGTAATGGACCCTATTTCCAAATAAGGTCACATTCCAAGGAGTAGGGGGTTAGGGCTTCAACACATTTTGGCGGGGGAGGAGGGGACACAATCGAACCCATAGCACAAGGCTACAGTGGACTAGCCTCTTACTTTCTCAGAGTAGAACCTGCCCAGCAGCCAGAAGAGTTCCTTCAATTTCATGGAGATCCAGGCACTCTTCTCCTTAAAACCCACCCTTACAAGGCTTCCGTTGTACCTAAGGTAAAATCCAAGCTCCTGATACAGTTGACAAGGCTTTTTTATCTGGATCCCGCTCAGCTGTGCTGCTCAAAGCCTTTACCTGTAGCCCCTCTCCCTTCATTCAGCCCCCTCGCCCTCCTCCCTCACGCTCCTCATTCTTTGCTGAGTTAGCCCTGCTCCTCCATCACATCATATTTTGAATGCTTCTCCTTCCTGGTGGCCTTCCCTGACCCCTCCAAAATCTTGGCCGTATGTACGCAGCCTTTTTTTCCTCTCTCACTCTCCTACGTGCTTATCTCACCTGTACTGATGTCATCCTCAGGGCATTTGTTTAATGTCTGTCTTAAACAAGTGTTGACGAACTAGGGCTAATGGGCCAAATTTGGCCTGTGGTCTATTTTTGAAAGACCCTTGATATGAGAATGGTTTTTTATATTTTTTAGTGTTGTTAAAAACAAGCATACAAAAAATACAAAGAAAATATGCTTCAGAGACTGCAAGTGGCCTGCAAAGCCTTAAATATTTATGCTCTGGCTCTTTATAGAAATGTGTGATGATCCCTGGTCTTACCTACTATCAACTCCCTGGGAGCCAGAATCTTGTCTGTTTTATTTGCTGCTGTGTCTGGAAAATCTTGCAAGGGGTCTGGCACTTACTAAGATCCTTGCTAGATATACAGTTGTGAAGTGAATGAGTTATTCAATGAATGGTTGGTTCTCAGTGACTGTTGATTTAGGAGAAACCAATCTTTTCGTAACAGCCAGAGAGACTTCTCTGGTAGTATGTATGGATTTTGATAATCTGGCAATTCAGTCATTTAATAAATAGTGAGGACCAGTGACATTTTAGACATTAGTTGAGTAACCAGGGAGGGAGACTGAGCTCTTCTCTTGGGAAACTCATCTGAAGAAGAGATGCAAAATGTGATGAAGGGATTTAACCAGGGCATCACTTGTGAAAGAGAAATTTAAACAGTGTATTCCTGGAGGCTGGGTGTGATGGTTCACACCTGTAATCCCAGCACTTTGGGAGGCCAAGGAGGGTGGATCATGAGGTCAGAAGTTCGAGACCAGCCTGGCCAATATGGTGAAACCCCATCTCTACTAAAAATACAAAAATTGGCTGGGCATGGTGGCTCACGCCTGTAATCCCAGCACTTTGGGAGGCCAAGGTGGGTAGATCATGAGGTCAGGAGTTTGAGACCAGCCTGCCCAATATGGTGAAACCCCATCTCTACTAAAAATACAAAAATTAGCTGGGCATGGTGGCATGCATCTGTAGTCCCAGTTACTTGGGAGGCTGAGGCCAAAGAATCGCTTGAACCCAGGAGGCACAGGTTGCAGTGAGTCAAGATTGCTCCAAGGCACTCCAGCCTGGGCAACAGAGTGAGACTCCGTCTCAAACAAACAAACAAACAAAAAACAAGTGGATTTCTGAAGGTTCAGTTCCTCCTTGGTGGTAGGGAAGAGAAGAAGGGGATGCTGTCATCTAATTTTATATTATCAATACACAAACACTGTTCTCCTAGAGACAAATTTTCCCCAGATGGGCTGGTTGTTGCTTTGCCTCTGGTCCAAACAGGACCATCTCTCATGAGTCATTCTCACTTTGTTGCCCTCAAAGTGCAGGTAGTTGTGGAAAAAAACAAAACTTTAAGCATCCTCAACTCCAGCCTAAATGAGAAAGCTGTTGTCCTGTGCAGCCTATGGAAACTCTTGAGGAATGAACCAGAGACCGCGTCCCTTAGTAGACAGCTGAGCAGCCCTTCCTTATCCAACCACCATCTTTCACCACAAGGCATGTCCTTATGGCTGTCATTTAAAATCCCACCTCAGCTTTTATTTTTTCCAGGTTGCTGCAGTTTTAATGCCTATTTTCAGAAGCAGGATGAATCTGAGATACACAATCTGCCAGTTGACCTAGCTTCTTACAATTCAGTGATTCATTTCAAAATCTCTCCCTGTGAATCTTGAGAAATCAAGCTTAAGGATAGTGTTAAGTTGTACAGAAGGTCTTTGTTCTTCCCACTTTTGGCTAAATTAGAATCGGTTTGTCTTGGACTTATTCTACGCCTTTCTACTAGAACTTACCGAGATCTTTTATTTCCTAACTGTATTTAAATTTTCTTTTTAATGTAAGTCCTTGAGAGTTGGCTTTTGTCCTCCAAACAGGTAGTAGCCTCATCATACAGCTGGAAGTGCCCTTCTTCCCCTCAGTTCTTCCTGCAGCTCCCAACTTGAAGTCCACCCCCCTCCTGGAGGCCTTCCTTCAGCACCAGCAGCTAAACACACCTGTTTTTGAGGCTCCCACGCCTCCCCCAACAAATGAAAAGCCAAATCAAGGGCCCAAATTTGCAGAATAATTAAAATTATATCATTTGTCTATCACAATGAAAGATACAATGGGACTCAAATTCACTGACACACAAGAAGATGGAGAGTTCATTAAAAGAACATGTAGCATAGAAGCTGAGTCCTGCGGTGTGGTGGTGAGGTCCTGGCACAGGACTGATCAGAGCCGCAAGTGTGACATCTTTCGGTCTGTAAGTTGCCCCCTGCACCTTTGCAAGGCTCCGCAGCATTGGGAATAGGAGGCCCTTTGAAATGAGAGGCCTGGCCAAACACTGCTGGGTTTTCTCTGTGTTCAGTGGATCTTTTTCCCCATTGTTCACCAGCACAGTGTCCTGTTCATTTCCTTTAAAGCATATCTTCCAATTTGTAACTATTTTACTTACTTTACCTGTTTGCATTCTGTGCCCTTCCCTTGCCCCCACCAGAATGTAAACTCCATGAAGGTGGGGTACATGTAGTATGTAATGCAGTCTCCTGGTCTCCCCAGCAGTCTCAGTGCCTGGCCTCCTGTAGACCCTGTGAGAGTGACAGTGCCATTCGCAGGGCCTGTTGGTGGTAGGGATGGGTAGGTGTGAGCAGTCCACCACACCTGAGGGCATGGAAGATGGTCCGCTAGTCCTGCCGTGTTGGGCAGTGGTTTAACACCAAGGCCAACCCCCAGTCTGGCAACTGAACTATTTCATGCTGTTTATCAGCAGTGCCCCTCCTCAGCTCCACGAGCTGCATGGGTCTGTGGTTGAGCTAAGTTTATTCAGTTTCAATAATAAATATAAATAAATATGAAGACTAAATAAATGGATAAGACTTTTGTCCCTTGGTCTTTGTTTTCCTGTTGGTCTCTATCTCTTTCATGTTCTCATATGACTGTACTGACCCATCCCTGATTCTCGCTGGGTTCCTGTTTCCCAGAACCTCCTTCTTTCACTCTAGCCATCACTCATCTGTGATCTCTCAAGTTGGATCCCCATTGTCAGTACCGGGGAGCCTCTGCTTGTGATCATAAGACTCCATCATGTCAATGACCTCTCATGCTCTTGCATTACGGTAGTCCACCCTTATCTTCAGGTGACCATTCCAAGACCCCCAGTGGATGTCTGAGACCACGAATGGTACAAAACCCTGTATACCTATATATACTATATTTTTTTCCTATACATACATGTCTATGATAAAGTTTAATATAAATTAGGCACAGTAAGAAATTAATGACAACAATAATAAAAATGGAACAATTACAACAATATCCCAGCATCACTACTCTTATGCTTTGGGGCTTTTAATAAGTACAATACAGGTTCCGTGAACACAAGCACGCAGTCCCTTGGCAGTCGATCTAATAAACAAACTCGCTGCCAAGTGACTAATGGGCAGGGAGTGTGGACAGTGCAGACACACTGGACAAAGGGAGGATTCACATCCCAGGCAGGACAGAGCAGGATTTCATCACACTCAGAGAGCATGCAATTTAAAATTGATGAATTGTTTATTTCTGGAGTTCTCCATTGAATATCTTCTGACTTCCAATTGACTTTGGGTAACTGGAACCATGAAAGCAAAATTGTGCATAAGGAGTATTACTGTGTTTGGTCTTTCCATGTTAAATTAAGTATTTAGATCAAACATAGGGATTGGAAATGTGAATTCTGGAGCCAGGCAGCCTGGGTTCAAGTCCCAGCTCCACCAGTGGCAAGCTAGAAATCCTTGTGTAAGCTGCTGGGACTGTCTGTGCCTCAGTTTTCTCACCTGTAAAATAAGGATAGTAATTGTATCTTCTTCAGAGAGTTGTTGTAAGGATTAAATGCCTTAATCCATGAAAACACATGTGACAATGCCTGGCATATGGTAAGTGCTCAACATGGGTCAGCTTCTGTATGGTCTACACATTAATGCATTTGGCTCAGAAGCAGTCTCCTAGAGTCCTCTTCCTAGGTGCTAAGAGCCTTCCATTGTGTGTGAGGCTTTCTCTGTGTTGAAATGTGTGTTTAAAATAAGGACTTGGGCCGGGCGCGGTGGCTCACGCCTGTAATCCCAGCACTTTGGGAGGCCGAGGTGGGCGGATCACGAGGTCAAGAGATCGAGACCATCCTGACTAACACGGTGAAACCCCGTCTCTATTAAAAATACAAAAAATTAGCCGGGCGTGGTGGCGGGCGCCTGTAGTCCCAGCTACTCGGGAGTCTGAGGCAGGAGAATGGCGTGAACCCAGGAGGCGGAGCTTGCAGTGAGCCGAGATCGCGCCACTGCACTCCAGGGTGACAGAGCGAGACTCCGTCTGAAAAAAAATAAAAAATAAAATTAAATAAAATAAGGACTTGACAAGAGCTGCTCACTGCCCAGGAGAGGTGGAACCTGGCGCAGTAAGCCCTGGGGTTGGACAGCATCTCTGTTCACCCAGCTCAGTGGGGGTGGCCCCTGCCTCAATTCCTGGTGGGCTGCATTGTCTCACACATGGTGGAGGCCCTGGGGAGAGGAAGGGACATAGCCAAGGAGACCTGGAGCCTGTGGCGGCCTAAGCCTCCAGCAGAGGCCAGAAGGCAACAGGCTTTGATGTGCTGCCAGGCTAAGAATGGGGCAAAATGCCAAGGAACAGAGTGATTGGCACCTCAGGCCTGCTGTCTCTGAATTATCATCTGCTTCTAGAGTTGCAAAGGCAGGTGTTGTCCTGAGAGACAGGCAGGGACAGATGCCACACATGCAGGAGCATGGCAGACGGATTCAAGCTGTGACCCTCCAGAGACCACAGTGATGGCTGGGTCCTCCATGCCCCCTTGGATCTCAAACCACCGGGCAGGTGACTGTCAGCCTTCCTGCACCTTTACCACCCCCGTAGTTACGGGTCTGTGGGCAGCTTCTCCCGAGCAGTTCTCCGAGTGGCCAGCAGATGGCGGAATTTCTCTTGTGTTCCAGACAGAGGCTTTCAATTGGCGTAGCATTTCCACTGCTGAGAACCAGGGAGAATTAAGTACTGGTAACATTTTGAAAATAAAATGTAGCAGGCAAAATACCTTGGAGACCACAAATTGGGAGAGCCTTTTAATTTTTTTAATTTTTCAGAAAAAAGATGAAATATACATTAGAATTTACAAAACACTTTTATATTCATCATCTCACCGTAAAAAGGGAAAAGATGAAAATCAGTTTTAACCCCCTTTTGGAAAACAGGTAGGCTGCAGCTGAGTCTTCCATCTGCATGATTGTTAGACTGTAAATTGGATCACTCGGTGCTAGTATGTGACAATATTATTATTGCTGTAATGATATTGATAATGAGAATATCAGAAATAATAGCTGCTATTTATTAAATGCCACTATGGGCTAAGCATTTTACATGCATTATCTTGTTTAATCCATAGAATAACAACACGATGCAGGGATACACAGTGATTTACTGTTGAATCTTGAGACTATAGCAGCAGCCTCGTGCTTATTGTCCCAGAAGTAACTCAGCATCACCAGACAAAAGCCACCAAGAGTTAACTCACAGCGGGATTCGTCCTCTCAAATAAAAACATGCCAACCTGTCCCTTTTGCTTAGAATTTAATTCTGCTACTATTTTCCTCTGTCCTGCTTAGCAGAACATACTACATATTACATTAATAATAACAGCAACAATAATAACAACTATCATTTATTCAATGCCTAGTATGTGCCAGGTGCTATTCTAAGAAAATCTTAAAACCTCACAGCAGCATTACTGGGTAGGAACTTTTAATCACCACTTTACTGATGAGGGAAATAAAGCCCAGAGAGGTCTGGCAGTACTTCTAAAGTCACACAGCTAGCAAACAGCAGTTAACTCCAGGGGTGGGAATCTGTCACTAAGTTAATGGCCCTCGTGTCTTAATTGTCTGAATGAATTTCCTACTGTATATTCCTTGGTTTCATCCCAGCGTCATCATTAGTCTGACGTTCTGCTTGTAAGAGCATTTTCTTGATGTTCCATTCTTTGCCTCCATGGGATTTTTTTTTTTTATGGTGAGTTTTGCCTCTGAGCTTGTGTCCATGCTAATTCCAAACCAAAAATACAGTCCCAGTTGGTGAGTCCAGATTGGTGGTAGGGACACACTCCATATCCCAAGATAACCCTGTATTTCTAAATTATTGGAGGGATTTGACTGTTTGGCAGAGCAAATGGGCATGCAAGATGTTCATCTCAGCAGAGTTATTTTACGTCTTTTTTGAGTGTGTCTCTTTTCTCTGGCTCAGAAGAAAGGGCACTGTAGGATGACTATAACTAACAGTAATTTATTATATATTTTAGATAGCTAGAAGAGAGGCTTTTGAATATCCCCAACAGAAAGAAATGATTGATGTTTGAGTTGATGTATGTGAATTATCTTGATTTGACCTCTATACATCGTACATATTGTAACTTCATGTTATACCCCATAAGTATGTACAATTATTATTTATCAATTAAAAATAAAATAAAAAGAAGCAAAGGGCACTTTGCTTCCTTCCTCAGCAGGTGTCTCATGGCCAGCACTGGCCGGAGTGTCACAGTTCTGAAGCCTTAACTTAGATCTCTCTCTGTTGTTCTCTCCCCCTCTCCCCTCTCTCCTTTGTCCCTACTCCACTTTCCTTCCTCTCTTGTGTGCTCTATTTCCAGACACACTTTTGGGTACCCCATTTGGATGAGAAAATACAGGTTAGGTGTACATATCAGCTTCCTGTGTGCTGTCAAACTTTCTTTATAACATTTGGATTTTGGAAGTGCCTCATGGGTGTATAGGATGGATTTTTGCCAGAAGGGCTTATTTTCAGGCCTCGTGAATACCTCTATCAGGTGAAGACAGCTGTCTCTTAACAACTCAAGTAATAGTGCCTGAGGCCTGGTTAGAAATCCTGTTGCCTCTGCAAATGGGACTGTGGCTGGTATCTGGGTTCCCCGTTCTCAGCCTTCACATCCCAGTTCCCAAAAGTCTCAATTCCCAAGGCTCAGGTGGACCACTTCCTTCCTTTCTGCTGCCAGAGAAAGACATCCTGTTTTAGGGGCTACCCTCCAAGTCAGGAGCTGCCATCAGTACTCAGAGGGTAGTACCAGCTGCAGAATGCATTTCAGAGCTCAGGGAGCCTTGAGGCAGGACAGGCTGGAGGTTTCCTGCAGTCAGTTTACCGGGAGAACGTTTTCAGAGTGGGGTCTGTGGAATGTTATTGGCTACCACATGTACATAGGCATACGTGCGCTCTCTCTCCCTCTTTTTCTTTCTCTTTTTTTCTCTCTCTCTCTCTCACTCTGTCACACACACACACACACACACACACACACACACAGTCACACTGCTACAACCAGGATACAAAATGGTTCCCTGGCTGAGCAAGCCCCGGGAACATTGGATTAAACTGTTTTCTCTCAAAGGTCTTAATTCTAAAAAAGGGTCACAGCTTGGAGGGTTTTCTACATTTTTTTAGGCCAAGGAGTCTCTTCTGGCAGACCATGTCATGGGGCTGGTCATCTGTGGAACACACTTTTGGAAACTCCACACTTGAGATATAGTTGTAAGTGCTAGTTCTTGTCTAAAGGCAGAAAAGTACCTCTTTGCCAAACACCCAGCTCAGCCCTTGAGGAGGGAGGCAACGGGATGTAGCTGTGCTGTGTGCCACTCCCTTGGAATGAGCAATGCCCAGGCAAGACCAGGCCTCTGTGTCAACAACCCATTACTCTCTTTTGTGCACACTTCTCAGTGTGGGCTTCAGTCCCCACCCTCCATGTTTTTCCTAGGGGTCCACAAGTTCACTCTGTGAGTCATTGTCACTTAACCTCAGGGTAGCTTTTGGGGCTGGCCTTATCTTCTGAGAGTTCCCATTTTGGCAGATCTTCTGAGCTCTTCCACCAGCATCATGGTCTCCATGTATGCCTGGATGCAGCTCTTCTAATGAGACTGATCCCCAAAGCTTGGAAACCTCCATGGTACTAGTCTGGCACTGCCAGCACCATACCATGGTGTTCCTCCCAGAGCAGGGCAGTACTGACACTCAGGACATTACTGGGATTGAATATCAGACACCATGACTTCCTTTGTATGGCCCTGCCCATGCCTCTCTGTCCTCAGGCCACTTCAGGCCCTGCGGACCAGATACTTCTTGCCTCCCTGCAAATCTTTCATGAAAAAAACAGCCCCGCTATAACAGGGCTACAAAAGGCAAAGGTAGCAGTCTAGTTTGGGGTCTTCTTAGAAGCAGTAGGTTTGGGGATTGGGTTGGGGGAGGCCTCTAACATCTTAGCCCAGCATCTTGGGACAGTGGATGTTACTACCTCATGACTGTTGTTAACCTGACCTTTCCTACATCTGCCCTAATACAGAAACTAGGACTCTGTATCTCATCTCTGTCATCCTACAGTGAGGTGAATGCAGAGATCCTGCACTGATGTGAAGCCCATCTGGGATCTCTAGACACAAGGCCACCGGCATGAGCATGGCAGCCCAGGGAGAATACAGATGGTGTACCTCTATGCCAAACGGATCAGAATGCTTCATACATGTAGCACAGATTAAAGGCTCCAATGACACCTTGAGTCAGGATTTTAGGAAATGAACAGAGATTCTAAGTCTCTCAAAAGCCACTCCAGACATAAAAACAAAATACAATAAATTATCCTAGACTGGAACCTTTACTAAAGGGAAAATATTGGCCAAAGGGCATCATCCTAACAATTGCCAAAGTTAGAGAATGCACTGTAGGTTACATAAAAATGGTACCTCAAAGGTAAATTTCCTGAATGTGATAAATGCACTGTGGTAACGTAAGAGAACATCTTTATTCTTAGGAGGCATACCCTGAAATATTAAGAGGTTAAGGGACATAAAATATGCAACCTACTCTCAGTAGTTCATAAAAAATACTAATAAATATCTACAAGATAAATTCTTTAAAATTCATTAATCTGGGTGAAGAATACATTATTTTTGTATTTATTTGTCACATTTTTCTGTAAGTTTGAAAATATCTCAAATATTATCCAAGGGGGTAGTTGTTTAGAGATGAATTTCATCTCTGTGATGTAAAACATGCAAAAATATATCCCAAAACCAAGACCTGCAGAAACTGAGTTGGATATTTGCCCTGGTCTCCTTAGCCCAGGGGTCCCAGTGCTCCATGAGGCCACTACCCGGAGCTAGATGAAAAGCCAGGCCTCCTGAACTGGTCCTTGATGGGGGATCTTAGCCTTTTCTCCCTTTAGAGGAGTTGATGGCCAGATGTGGGGAATTCTGGCTGAAAGTAGAGGCATAAATGCAAAGATAGCACAACACTATTTTGGTGAAAGTTGGGAAGTCTTTTTGCTTCACCTAACAAGGTCTGCATGTTTTTATGAATGCTAACCTTATTACAAGGTATATGAACTCCAACCTGGCATTCATAGATCCCCAGAGCCCATGATAATGACTCAAAGGCATGCTACAAAGTAAATGATCAAATTCTATGATCATTTGTTGCCCCATAATTAGAAACTGGCCATCCAGGTATTTCCCCCAATGGTGCCTCTGACCTGCACCCAGACAGACCTATGACCTGTGAGCTGCTGTCCCCACTTGCCTCCCCCATCACCCAGCTCTCCCAGCACTTAGTGCCCAACCACTGGGTGGAAACTTCCAGTCTTCAGGATCCACCTTGACAACTCCAACAAGTCTGCTTCTGTGTGTTCCTCAGGCTGTCAGCAGCAGGGGTGACAGAGTATAGGGGGGCACCATGAAGTGGTGAAAAGAGCCTCTCCTCCATAGCCTGTCACATTTTGTCGCTCAGACCTCAAGGCCACCCTGTTCACACCCGGAGTCTCCCCATTTATCCTAGGAACTGCGATTCTGCTTTGAGCTGAAATGTTGCCAAGCCTCACATGTAAAAAAATAAATAAATACACAAATAAATCAAAATGAAACAGAAAAAAGACACAAGGATTCTGTCTGCCTGTCACCCCTATGACTGTACAGTCTCAAACTCAGTGCATGATGCCTGCTGAGAGACAAACCTAACACTTTCTGCTTCATCCCCTAGTACTTCCCCCAACCCAGATTTTTCTTTGTCGCTGTATATGAAACAAAAACCTGCTCTGCATATTAGTGGATTTAAACAGCTCTCAGGAGATGATGGTAGAGTAGAAATATTACCAGAAGTTGTAGCTGTTCCAACCAAGTGAGCACCTTTTTTGTGTCTGGCTCAGTGCTGAGTGCTTTATGTGATTTATCTCATTCAGTACTTCTAATCATTAAGTTCTATGTCATCCCCATCTCTCAGATGAAGAAACCAGGAAGTTAACTGATGTGTTCAAGATCTCACAGTTAGCAAGAAGTGGAACCTGAACAATTGTCTGGACACATCTGACTCCAAAGTCCATATTCTTCACCCACTGTATGATTTTGCTCCCCTCCCTGTAAACTATGGAACTGATGTGGGGCTGGGTGTTTTCTTCTAGCGTTTGGACTCTAGCAAAGGCTGCCCTGCCCAAAATGACCTGTTCCCCAGAATTTCTACAGGGAGAGGCTATAATACCTTTATGAGTCATATTTACCTACACTAATGACTGTTAACAATATTAAAGCTGAAACTTTAAAAACGAGTCAACTTGCAATAATCTAATGGAAGCCAGAACATACCTAACTCATTCCCATTTTAGATTTGACTTTGGGATACATTGAGTATTTTGAAAATGACAGACTCCTCTATTTTCTTGGCTCCGGGTGATTAGACTGAGTTTGCCTTCTGTGGGTTCCCCTGAGTCAAAGGAAAGAGAGGTAGCTCAGAAGCATATTGCATCACCAAGAAAAGTTGGTCTGAGAGTGAACATCTATAACAGAAAGCCCAGAATGTGAATTATTCAAAATTAGACAATATAGATTGCACATGCTTCTTGTTAAATAGATTTCAGGTGAGGAACTTGTTGCTTCTCTGTGCAGTTGAGTTCCTCATCCATGCCCAAAAATATAGGTAGAATTTATGTTCTGACAGATGCTTATTTATCCCGTTTTGTACCCATAATCTACACTTGTCTTAATTTCCTCTCAATTATGCTCAGGCATTAACTAATAATGACTAACTACAACCCCAGATAATTATTGCTATCTGTTCCCTTTGTAAATATAACTCCAGCACAGAGCTAGAAGAATAATGGCATATTTACAGAAGGCAGCTAATTAAACTGAGTTCCAATTGCTTTCACTTTGCCAGAAGGAGCCATTTTCACAGCAAAAATTGGGTGGATGCTTGCATGCTTACCAGGAACAACCTGAGGTAACATAATTCAGGGTTCCCGAGGCAAAAATTCAGTGCAAGACAAATATACACAAGCAATAAAAATCTCATTAAGGAAGATATGAAGATTGTTTTACCATAGTCCAACCATTAAAAGGGGGTATCATTTTGGTGGGTTTATTTAAGGAATAGTATATATTTCATTGTTTCATAATGGAAGTAATTGCAAAGGACTCTTAGACAATCCTTGAAGAACATTTTTGTCTTCTGTTTGAATCTTTCTTTTCTAGTTTATGAAACTACTTCACCATCTTTAGCCTCATCATTTCTAAACTTTCTAACAGATCTGAGCATTGTTAAGCCCAATACCCAAAATTGTGAAAGTCCAAACACCCACCCTCACCCCTTCTCCTCCATCTGCTCCTCATTTATTTCAGGAATTTGGTCTTAAGCACAACATGATCTTTCATATAGAGTATGGATGCTTCTGTGGTGTGATTTCTGGAGTTTAACTGAACTCATTAGCAACAGTCACACGAATGCAAGTTCCTCTGACAAACTTGGATTGGAAAGCATGTCTTCAGTTTTCTTTCTCTTCTGGGTTTATAGGTTATTCAAACCCAAACCAAACAAACACCTTCCTGAAATAACAACAGAAAAGGAACCCGACACCTTGCATTGTAAAGATGCCAGATGTTGTCTTGTATTAGTCTGTTTTCACGCTGCTGTTAAAGACATATCTGAGACTAGGTAATTTATAAAGATAAAGAGGGTTAATGAACTCACAGTTCCATGTGGGTGGGGAGGCCTCAAAATCATGGTGGAAGGCTAAAGGCATGTCTTACATGGCGGCAGGCAAGAGAGAATGAGAGCCAAGTGAAAGGGAAAACCCCTTATAAAATCATCAGATCTCCTGAGACTTATTCACTACCATGAGAATAGTATGGGGGAACCGCCCCCATGATTCAATTATCTCCCACTGGGTCCCTCCCAAAACACGTGGGAATTACAGGAGCTACAGTGCAAGATGAGATTTGGGTGGGGACACAGCCAAACCATATCTCATCTCTAAAGGAAGAATGTGTCTTCCTTGTCCTAGCTTTAGGAGAGAAACTCAGGAACGTTTTAGTGCATACTTACCTGGATTATTTAAACAATATTTTCAGTTGCAATGCTTTGCTGTGTTTCTGGATGCTGTGCTGAGTTTTCTTCCTGCCTGTGTGCAATTTCTGAATTCATTTCTATCTACTGGAAGTAGTGATTTGGCAGGCATCAGCACTTTTTCCATGTTTAATTAATTCCTCTAATTTTGTGGTAAATGAGAATAATGGGACTTAATTTTGCTATTTATGTAAAATTGATTGGTAATTATGGGGAGCACAGGAGATTTGGCTTTACAAACAAAAATTAAGTGACCTCTCCATCATGGTTCCTTGGCATGCCTCATTCACTCATCAGGGAAAAGCAGAAATGGCAGCAGAGCAGATGCTGGAGGGAGACGAGGGCAGGTTTTGACTTTTGCAGAAGTTGGAATATGGAAATGTGCAGGGTCTTGTTGAAAAGTCCAAATGAACTCAAGCCAGAATCATTCAGAAGATAAGATGTATAGGACAGAAACCTGTTTAACTGTTTTTATTATGTCATATTTGGCATGATTTGATCACCTAATTTCAATATATTCCTATCTTTTGTGTTCTGACCAAACCAGGGATGGTTGGCAGGAATAAGGTCTCTTCCTAGAGGTGCTTTATGTTAAAGGAAGTTCTCATAAGATGTGGTCTCAAGACAGAAGGTTTTTACAATTATTAATTTCTCTCTTGAAACTGGATGTAGCTCCAGATCTCTGATTCTTGGTAAATGATACTTACATTGTAAAAACTAGTTTGTTATAGGTTGATATCTAGACTTAAATGATGTCTACATGTCTATGTCTGTATCTGTCTCTATAAGTGCCTCTCTACACACACACACACACACACACACACACACACACACAGAAATTTTGCTTTCAACTCAAGGAGTCTTGGATAAGAAGACAACATACATGAAAATTATTATCATCCCTAAGTATTAAGATTTAGTTATTACCATGATGGAATTTATTTTTAAAGAAATGTAGGCCAGGTACGGTGGCTCACGCCTGTAATCCCAGCACTTTGGGAGGCCGAGGTGGGTGGATCACGAGGTCAGGAGTTCAAGACTAGCCTGACCAACATGGTGAAACCCCATCTCTACTAAAAATACAAAAATTAGCCAGGCATGGTGGCGCATGACTGTAATCCCAGCTACTCAGGAGGCTGAGGCAGGAGAATCACTTGAACCCAGGAGGTGGAGATTGCATTGAGCTGAGATCGTGCCACTGCACTCTAGCCTGGGTGACAGAGCGAGACTCTGACTCAAACAAAAAAAAGTGGCCGAGCTCAGCGGCTCAAGCCTGTAATCCCAGCACTTTAGAAGGCTGAGGTGGGTGGATCACCTGAGGTCAGGAGTTCGAGACCAGCCTGGCTAACATGGTGAAAGCCTGTCTCTACTAAAAGTAATAAAAAAAAAAAATTAGCTGGGTGTGGTGGCAAGCATCTGTAGTTCCAGCTACTTGGGAGGCTGAGGCAGGAGAATCGCTTGAACCTGGGAGGCGTAGGTTGCAGTGAGCTGAGATTGCACCATTGCACTCCAGCCTGGGTGACAAGAGCAAAACTCTGTCTCCCAAAAAATAAATGAAAATTATTTTGAATGATTTTGTTTTCCTTCTTTTTGGCACCATCAAAATTCAGTTCCTTGATGGGCAACATTCAATCTTCTGGCTAGATGACAAGCAGTTCTGGTAGGGTTGTCATAAAGAAAAAGAGGCCGGAGGTTGCAGTGAGCTGAGATCATACCACTGCACTGCAGCCTGGGCTACAGAGCTGGAGTGAGACTCCATCTCAAAAAAAAGAAAAAGAAAAAGAGACAAATCATGCCCCATTACTGTGCCAGTAGCATAGCATAGACATTCTCAGGTGAAATCAAAGAGACATTACATCCTGGAAGCTGATGTCCAACTTCAAAGACTTGATAAAATGAATTCTTGTGATTTAGCCACACAGAGCTATGGAAAATTATGGACAATATCTCAATTAGTTGATACTTATTACCTACATATTATAACTGTTTATTTGAGGAGCCTGGACAGTAATAGCTGAAATTTTCAAAACTATTACTTAGAAATAATAAGAAATTATTACTTTGAAATAAGATGTGTTTATCTCAGTACCACCCTTCATGGGGATCAGATTTTACCTTATAATGGAATAGACAGGAATATCTGGCAGTATTAATATTCATTTTCCGCCAAGATATTTTTTTCTTCAATAAAGTAATTCACTTGATCTGTGCTTTGTAAATCAATGCAGAGTTTCAGAAAGATTCACATTTAAGAAAGCTTTTGCCTTGGCTAAAACAAGAGCAGAGTGCCCAGAACATAAACACTAGCAACAGGTTCTGCCCTGGGTTGGTAATTTCCCGCCTGTGACCCATTTGGAATCAGATCATCAGGGATCAGACTCAGCATTCTACGTGCCTTACAACATTCCATCCATTGAGGTTTAAGGTGGAAAATAGAGTTGAGACAACAAAGAGGCCTAGGGGATCAATTGCAAATATCACTGCATAATGAATAATATTTCCCTAATTTTTTTTTGTATTGATTCTACACCTATGGTCTCCCAAAACAGTTCTGATAACTTTAAAACTCAGAGGCTCATACTGCCTTCCTGGAAAAGAGATTCAAAGTACCCAGGCAAAAACCCAAATTCATTCTTTCAGATTTATTTTTCTTTCAAAAACCTACTTTCTGGTAAATCAAATCAGATAATCATTTCTGCTTGTTAAAACTATTAAATCAGGAGGTTTGGGGATAGTAGCAACAGTGGCAGCAAAATGTTTGCGTCTTCCTGAATCTTCACATAGAATCAGACTGAAAGACTACTCAGCAAAACCAAAGCTCATGGTTTCCGAACAAAGCAAGGTGACAGGGTATACCTCAAACCTCAAAATGCAACCCAGTATCAGCATTTGTCTAACAGAAAACAGAGGAAAGCAATGGGCATCTGACAGACCAAAGAACAGGAGAACCCAAAAGAGCCAACAGACACTAGCTGGAATGCACAGCAGGCGGATTTCAAAGTGGCAGCAAAAACGGGGAGGGGTTTTGCTGCATCCCATAACAGATGAGTGCCTGTCAGGTCTTAAGGAGCTGGGGCAGTCTTATCTGCATGAACTCTCCACTCTGACTTCCCAGGGTCCCTCCAGGACAGGACTCTGCACCAACGAGAAACTGTTGGGAGTTGAATCAAAATTTAGCAGTACAGGGACAATAGATACAACAGAAAAACAAGATCTGGATAAAAATAGGAGAGAGGAACAGATACAAAGAATCTCAAAAACAGGCCACCGTATTTTTAATACTACGTGAAAACAACTGAAAAGAGAGTTCTATTAAGTAAAAGAAATCTTCTCTGAACCAAGCTTTCTTCTAAAAGTTCAAGGAGAGTAATTTTACATAGATATGAGCGAAAGAAAAGTATCCAGGTCAAATCCCATACAAAATTATTATAACAAAGAAAGAGAATAAATGGTAGAAGATATCCTTATACAGGATGAAAACATTCCAGAGATAGATACTCAAAAAACAAAGATAAAAAATTGGGACATTCTGTTTTTTTTTAAAAAAAAGTCTAAAATATGTTGAGAAAATGATATAAGATATGAAAAAAACAAATCAAAATTAAAAATATTCAAATTAGGTGACAAAGCTCAAGGAATTAAAATAAAAATAAAAAGTCATTTAAAAAATAGTGGCTAAACTAGAAGGAACAAAGGAGTAAATAAACACAATATAATGCCTTAAGAAAAATGGAAGATAAAAGGAGGGAATTTTTTAAAATCAAAAAGAAATGAAGAGATAAAAAGGATTCACATTAAATTGACAAATATTGAAGAGGCAAAGAAGATCCAGTATATAGATAATGGGAGTTTGTGAGAAAGAAAACTGAAGCAAGGAAGAAGAACAAATCTAAAAATATAATTAAGAATTTTATCCTGGAGTTAAAAATTTTTAAAGTGCATATTGTGAAAGACATTTTTTCAATATCAACCAATAGCGAGATATAGCCCAATAAAATGTCTGAACTTTTTTTAAAAATGGAAAATAACATTTGAGCATCCTAACAAAGAGAACCCTTGACTTACAAGGGAAAGAATATCAGATGTCATCAGACTATTTGACAGCAACATTTTACTTCAGAAGAAAATGGAATTAAGAAGGCATAAGGAAAGTCATCATCCACCACAATTGACCTTCTAGTGTAAAGGGCATAGACAGTCATCAGTATCCAAATTGGAAAGAAAAGTCACATTAGCCTTGTTTGCAGATGACATGGTCTTATACCTAGAAAAAACTAAAGACTCCACCAAAAAAACCTGTTAGTACTGAAAAACAAATTCAATAAAGTTGCAGGATACAAAATCAACTTACAAAAATCAGTAACATTTATATATAACAATATCAAACAGTCTGAAAATAAAAAGAAATCTCATTTACAATAGCTACAAAAATATATAAAATAACTAGGAATCAAGCTACTCAAGGAAGTGAAAGACCTACAAAAGGAAAAGTACAAAGCTCTGGTGAAAGAAATTCAAGAGGACACAAAAAAGTGGAATGATATTTCATGCTCATGGATTGAAAAAAGTAATATTATTAAAATAAGGATACTACCAAAAGCAATTTACATATTCACTGCAATCCCTATTGAAATATTAATGACATTCTTCACAGACATAGGGAAAAAAATCCTAAAATTTATATGGAACCACAAAAGACTCTGAAGAGCCAAGGCAATCCTGAGCAAAAAGAGCAAAGCTGTAGGCATCATACTACCTGACATCAAATTTACTATAAAGCTATAGTAACCAAAACAGCATGGCACTGATGTAAAAAGAGACACATAGACCAGTGCAACAGAATAGAGAACCTATATATAAATCCACACATTCACAGCCAACTCATCTTTGACAAAGGCACCAGAAACATATAATGGAGAAAGGGCAGTCTTTTCAATAAATAGGGGTAGAAAAACTGGATAACTATTATACAGAAGGAAACTATATATTGTAAATGAAAATCTAATCAATAGATTAAAAGACTTAAATCTAAGGCCTGAAACTATGAAAGTACTAGAAGTAAACATTGGAGATATATTCCAGGACACTGGTCTGGGCAAAGGTTTTTTGTGTAAGACCTCAAAAGCACGGCAACCAAAGAAAAAATAAGTGGGATTACCTCAAGCTGAAACACTTCTGCACAGCAAAGGAAACAATCAACGAAGAAAAGAGACAACCTGCAGAATGGGAGCTAGTATTTGCAAACTATGCATCCAACAGGGATTAATGACCAGAGGAGTTCAAACAACTCAGTAGCAAAAGGAACAGTCTAACTTAAAAATGAGAAAAAGATATGAACAGACATTTATCAAAAGAATACATATAAATGGCCAACAAGCATGTGAAAAAATGTTCATCGCTAGTTGTCAAAGAAATGCAAATCAAAACCACAATGAGATCTCATCTCACCCCAGTTAAAATGACTTGTGTCAAGAAGACAGACAATAACAGATGCTGGTGAGGATGTGGAGAAAGGGGAACCCTCATATACCTTTGGTGGGAGTGTAAAACAGTTAAGTACAGCCATTGTAGAGAACAGAGTGGAGGTTCCTCAAAAAACCAAACAAAGAGCTACCGTATGTTCCAGCAATTCTACTACTGGAGAAAAAGAAAAAAAAAATATATATATATATATATTTGTGTGTATATATGTGTGTACACACACACACACACACATATATATATATATACTTTTTTTTTTTTTTTTGAGACAGCGTCTTGCTCTTTAGCTCAGGCTGGAGTGAAGTGGTGCCATCTTGGCTCACTGCAACTTCTGTCCCCCTGGGTTCAAGCAATTCTCCTGCCTCAACTTCCCAAGTAGCTGCCTCAGCCTCCCATGTAACAGGCCAGACGTGATGGCTCATACCTATAATGCCAGTGCTACTGGGAGGCCGAGTTCAGGTGGATAGCTTGAGCTCAGGAATTTGAGACAAGCCTGAACCACTGCACTCCAGCCTGGGCAATAGAGCGAGATTCTGTCTCTAGAAATCAAAAACAAAAAAAGGTAGCAGTGGTAAATGTTATGTGTGTATTTTACCACAATTTAAAAAATTAAGAAAAAGGAAAAAAATAAATAGAAATGTAAGATTTCAGGGGTTACCTTTCCCATTCTCTCTCTCTTTTTTTTTTTTGTCAAGGAATCTAGTAGAGAATTGTCTTCAGATTACCAAAATGACTAGAGACCTCAATGTTAGAACTGGCAGTAGGCACTAAATGTATTGTGGCAGTACTTGTGTGTCTATGACTAAGAAGAGAAAGATTCTGGTAAGTAATGCTTGTATGATTTGAGAATGCAGACATAGTACCACAATAAAATGAGGAGAAAGATGGGAGAGCATATGTAAAAAATGTTCTATAGTCAGGAATCATTATTGATGGCTTTAGTGTTGTTATTCCAAGACTCATGTATGTATACAAGTGTAATGTAGGAAAATTAAAGTAAATTTCTTAAGCTCCCAAATTTGAATTAAAAATATCATTATGAATTCATGATATATTTAGACGTTGAGCATTGATGACTTCTACATTCAAAAAAAAGCGAAAAACAAGACATGATGCGTCTCCAGGTGAAACAACCCAGTACCACCATTAGTCTTGCCAAAAGCATCAAACTTGAATGTAATTAAGCCTCTTGATCCAGTTGTTAGTTTGCAAGAAATACCAAAGAGAGAGGCTCATGTTGAATTGTCTGTGTGTGCAACCAGTAAAATCCAGACTGCAGGAAACTCTACATGTATGGCACAGGTTCTTCAACAAATACATAGTAAGGGGAAAACATGGTTGGAGGGAAAAATATCTCAACTAGAATACCTTCTTCACCTTGCATTTATATTGGAAGAATAATAGAAGAATTTAAGAATTGCCTTAAAACTCCTGAAATTTCTTAAACAATTGGTTGTATGATAAGAAAATGTAGGGAAGATTTGAGGATTCAACTCATGGCCATGATAGCAATAGCTATTATGCATGGAAAGCCTACCATGTATCTGGTACTGTAATAAGAACCTTCAATGTATTAGCTCTAATCTTTATAGCAATATAGCAATTCTGTGAAATAGTAAATATAATCCCCATTTTACAGTTGAGAAAATAGAAGCACTGACAGGTTAAGAAAATTTCACAAGATAATTAATACATAGCTGAGTCAATGGGCTAACCCAGGCCGGTGGACTTCATAGCTCATAATTTTTAACTACATTGTATAAAAAATTAACTTGAAAATGTGTATTAAGAAGCCTATGTTGTAACCTTAATGCTATCATTTGGGAACTTAAAAAGGTTGTGTTAATAAATCTTTTGTTACAGTTCAGACATAAAGCTAAAAAGGATGGTGTGGGATTTAGCATTAGCCAAATGGTATTGGCATCTAATCATCAGCGTATCAGAGAGAATTTATATTGGACATTAATTTTTGGCTCTGTAGAGATGTCATATTTTTGAACTCTTATTCTATGCTTTGAGAATTGTCAAGCACTGCTTCTAAACATTTTATCACTTTCAGTCTTATTTTGCATCTCTCATTTTATGGAAATTTTGTTTAGCAACATACTTAAAATCTTGGTTTCTGATAGAATCAGAACAAGATTTTGATGATGCCCCTGAAGGCAAAGTGAGAAATCATTAAACTGTTATTAGTATTCTATAACTGATCCCTTATACCATGGAGCTAAGCTTCTTGAAGAAAATAACTTCTGAGATGCTGACCCAGTGTAACTGTGTTCTCAGCTTAGCACAGCCCAGATATTTCAAGCATGGTAAACAGGGAGCTGTCTCCAAAATGGCACTGATTTTAGGGAATTTCTCAGTTTGATTGGGCAGCACATACATTACAATCCATTTCACTTCATGATATCTTTATTCAGATGCCACCATGGGAGGTAGCATGATCTTAGAGTAGCATGGACCACCCCAGAGATTTCTGGAGGGGATTGCAATAATAATATTTCAATTTGCTATAAGGCCAAGAGTTTCATGCAGAACCTTTCTCTTTCTTTCTACTTCTTTTCCTGTCTGACTCATTCTCACTCAGCTTAAAGCCCATCTTGAAATGGTGTTAAATCTAATACCACTCTCAGATTTCATCAATCTTTGAAGTTGGCCAGGGCTACGTAGAGTACAAAGGCAAGCAAAAATGGGCCACTATAAATTAGAGATTGGAAAATACCTATTAGAACACCAAGATTCTGACAAAACTTTCCCCTCCAATATACAGGGCTTGAAATTGAACTGGTTTTCTCCTTGGACATGCCTCAAAGAATTCTAACACCTCCTTTGTAGTGGATTGTAATTCCTTGTGCATCCCTTGCTCACATTACCTCCAATTCTTTATTCCTGATTTTTAAATGGAGGTGATAACTTTTGCTGCATTACAAATTTACCAGGATTCCACAATCTGCATGTTGGTGATTTAGTCCCTGTTCTGGAGATTTTAGGATGCTAACAAATTGACGTAAATAAGCTTGGACCCCTGCCAAGGAATATAGCGAGCCACTGAGCAGCTTTTCACATGGAAGGTCAGTGCATTTTTAACAAAATACAGAAAAAAGATGAGCCTTGGGTATGTTTTAGATCCAGGAAAGATGAGGCCAGGGAAAACCGTCTTCCCTCCCTTAGAAGACTTTGTGGAAGAGGGGGATTTTTAGGAATTGCTTAAATGATGGATGAGCTACCACCTGTTTCACAAGGATTCTGTGTTGCTGAATAAAATACTTTCAAATCACTCAGGTATTACTGGAAGAGATACTATACAAATACACAGCCAGATCTGTGTTCGAAGTGGCCCTTTAACTTTGGCCAGCCACTTATTCTTTAAATAATCTAATCTCCTCTTCTGAAAGTTGATTTGTGTATATTTGTACTTTTATATGTGGAGTATCTAATTGTGGTTAATATGGGCAATAATTTTAAGAATGATGTAAAACAAGATCCATAGCATCACTGAAAAATGTGACGGATTTGCACAGTGAAGTGTCTTTGGGATTGATTAAGACTGTTTTGCATGACTTGGTAAAGGTAAAATGTCATCTCTCTTTTCTTCAGACAAATAGATTTGGTTATCTTTTTTTTTTTTTTTTTTTTTTTTTTTGAGATGGAGTCTCACTGTATCACCCAGACTGGAGTGCAGTGGCACAATCTGAACTCACTGCAACCTCCACCTCCCAGTTTCAAGCAATTCTGCCTCAGCCTCCTGAGTAGCCAGGATCGTAGGCATGTGCCACCACGCTCCACTAATTTTTGTATTTTTAGAAGAGACATGGACCTACTCTTAGCACCTACTCTTAGGACCAAATTAGGACCATAACAAAAAAATTTATTGAAAATGATCATATTCTCTTTTACTATAAACTTTCAGACTATAATTTCTTATAGTGGTCTGGTCTTCCTAATTATGTTTGAAATCCTGACTTTTATTTCTTTTTCAATTCTTAGGGGAAACTAATTTAATTAGTAAGTTATCAAAATCTTTTGATCTTTAGTAAGTACTCGTTATGTTGGTACTTTATAAGCTAAAAATAAGAAAAACAACAGGAACCCCTGAAAGATTCAATGAAACTTTCTAATTCTAGACCTAACGTTTGTTGAGTGACTTGAATAAGTCACTTAACATCTCTATGGTTCACCTTCCCTTATGCCCAAAATCTAACAAATCTCTCTCCTCTTATTACCCCAAATGCCAATGGATGGATAAATGAATAGGTGGGTGCAAGGGTGATACATGGATGGATGCACGGTTGGATATGTGGACAGATGCATATTTGGGTGTGTGGACTGATGCATGTTTGGGTGCATGGAAGGCTGGATGGGTAAGTGCATTGATGGGGTGCAGGGTTGGGTGCATGGATGGATTCATGGATTGAAACCTGGTTTAAAGGAAAGGTGGAAGGACATACAAAAGAAAGTGTTTTTATTAAAAAATGAAATTAATTCAACAGAAGAATGAACTGAAATAAAGCTGGAAAAACTGATAAAATTCACAGAAATGTTTCTTTACCCCTGAAAGGAACTACTGTGCCTAAAATACTTTTTAAAATTTTTCAGAAAATGTGTTTGTGCCAAGCTCCATGTTGGATAATATCTCAGATGTTTTCTTTGGTAAGAGGCCTCTATGTTTTATATGGCAGAAACTTTATAGCAAGAGTCGTCCATTTGTATAATAAGATGATTGCAATCCATAGAGACAACCTCCTGCTATTTATCTTACGGTCCAGTCTAGTTCGTCGCTGGGTCTGTAAGGAGAGGTACTGAACATCAGTTTGAAAGGTTCCTCAGAGCATCCAGAGCCCCCTGGTATAGGTAAAGCTAAGCAGGGGAGCCATTGTTGTGTTACTTTGTTTTGTTAGATTAATGATTCTTCTGTTAATATTTAACCTTTTGTCAAATTGTGATGCATAAGGTTGTACATCTAGATCAATACAAATGAATAATGAGACAGGCATATTTTTTTCATCTCATTTATTTTCCTGCTAGTACACAACAGTGTTTTATTGACAGTGTGTTTCACATGGTCCATTATTAATTAAACTTAGAGAAGGACATATCCTTTGCCACATGAAAAGAAACACCAATGTTTCCCTGCTTTGATCTTTCCTGAGGACTTGGAATAGTAAAGAAGTCTCTTAGGACTGTGGATGGAGGGGAGAGTGAGGTATGCTTCATGGAGTGTTTGAAGATTGGGCACTATGTAATATGCCCTGAGGGGCAGCTCTGAAAGGTTCTGTGTGTTTTTATGGTTAGGATGTTATTGGCAATGATGCTAAATAAGAAATGCAACAGTAGCTGGGAATTTCTTCAAATGGCATGGTTTTAAATTACTAGATCTCCCAGAATAGAAAAGAATAATAAAGTACAGATTTCCTCAATCCCTCACAATATCATTTTGCCAGTTTTATATTTTAAAAGCATCCTCATTTATGCATTCTCTCAATAAAATCTGTCAGGGCAAAGTCCTCACTCCATACAATGTAGTAGTAAGAGCAGAAGCTTCACCATCATGTAGGGGTTCTGCGGAGACATTCTTCTTTCAAATCCACATTTCTCACCAGGGCTCTGAACTCCCTGCTTTGTATTTGTCTGTCTGTGTGTCTCTCTGTCTAGCTCCTTTGCTTCTCTCCTGAACATCTGCTCTCTCTCCTCCCTCTCTGTCATCTGGACCCCTCATCCTCTGTCCAAATGATGCAAGGATGCTCTACTCTCTCCAAGTTCACATGCCACTTCCAGCCACTTATAGGGACTGATGAGCAAATTTTGATTCCAAGTTCACGGAAGAAAGAAGCTGTTCGGCCCTGCTTGGGCCAGATGGTCCAACGTTGCTGTACGTCACCCATCTCCATGGGTGTGGAAGGAGGGGTGATTGTGGGAGGAGGGAAATAATCATGACCTAGGCAGACCCTCCAAGATGTGTCTACTACAATAAGGTACCTCATAAAGGTGTGCTGAATGGAAAGAAAGACAAGGAATTGGAATAAATAATGTCTATTTAATTGTAAATTGTACTTTCTTCTTGAGGGCGTGTAAATTTAAGAAACAGAATAATTATAACAGCATTTTCATAAATTAAGTAGTATTAGGCTTAACCCGAGTCACGGCTGGGTGCCCAACACAGCAGGGGTTTAATAAAGGCTTGTTAACTGTCTAGAACTCTGTTGAATTTAATTTAGCTTGATTTAGCATTTCCCATATGCAAAGTGCTTGACAACAATTGCATTTCCTGATATTTGCAGTCTTCCTGAGAACCTGAAATGCTATTTCTCATTTTATAAATGTGAAGCTATAATTGCCCAGTGAGACTCATTTCTTTGTGGGAGGAGGGTGGAAATAATGGTTAAGGACACCAAATTAGATCCAGATCTTGGCTTATCTGCTCACTAGTTTTGTGACGTTGGTCAAGTTACATAATCCCCTTGAGCTTCACTTTCATCTCTTAAACTGATATGATAGAAGTTACCAGGCCAAGGTTTCATGAGAATTAATTGAGAGCTTAGAACGCAGAAGGTGCTCAGTATGTTAGCTCTTAATAATTGCAATAGTTATTGTTGTATAAGATTTTACTGCATGTTAGGCAACAATTTCTTAAAGAAGAGTCCCAGGAATGCTGTAACATAAATGGCTTAAGAGTGCATGCTGTTGTTTGCCTGATAGCTCCCTGTAACTGATACGCTCAGGTTACAGGCTTAAGTATATGTGTTTTATTCTCTGCATCACACACAGAGTTCACCCCTCCTCTTGGGTGTTGGTCTGTTGGATCCGCCTCTTCAAGAGACAGACCGAGCTCTGAAATATTGACTTGAAGGGCTGCGTAAATTATTACCTTGCTGCTCTTACCTAAAGAAGAGAGAGCAAAGCTAAGGGGCAGGTGATGTGGTTTGGCTGTGTCCCCACCCAAATCTCATCTTGTTGCTCCCATAATTCCCATGTGTTGTGGGACGGACCCAGTGGGAGATGATTGAATCATGTTGGGGGGAGCCGTCTTTCCCATGCTGTTCTCATGATAGTGAATGGATCTCACAAGATCTGATGGTTTTAAAAACGGGAATTTCCCTGCACAAGCTCTCTATTTGCCTGCTGCCAACCATGTAAGATGTGACTTGCTCCTCCTCGTCTTCCACCATGATTGTGAAGCCTCCCCAGCCATGTGGAACCATAAGTCTAATAAACCTCTTTCCTTTGTAAATTGTGCAGGCTCAGGTATGTCTTTATCAGCAGGCTGAAAATGGACTAATACAGCAGGTATGGAGAAGCCATGCACATGTCCAAGCAGAGCATAGGATCATTGTGTGAGCACAGGAACAGGTTCAAAACAAGGCTGAGCAAGGAGAGAGGGCTCAGGCCTTAGTTAAAAAATGGCACTGGGGACCTGGAGGAAGCTGCCAGGGGAAGGGCTAGGGGTTTGGTGGGGAGAGGAGCTAGAGTTCAAGGCATCATGCTGGGGCTGAAGCCATTATTATGCAAATGTGATACTGGTCTTAACAGTGATCAGAAAGCATTTATATGCTAATTATTATAATCATATGCTAATTATTATAATATTGGTTATGTGTTGACTGGCTTTCTTCCTGCTAATTGGAAGAACTCAAAGTTGTCCTAGTAATGTGGCTCATGGTACTGTCTTCAGAGCAGCTAAGTTTAATCAGACCATAGCATCAGTGTTGGTACATTCATGTACCATTTTATATAAGGTGCAATCCTTATGATTTCATTATTAATCATGGCTGCAGCGCTGTCTTGAAATCATCTGAATACCAGTTAGCCACTTGTTGATTACTTCAGTTATTCCAACTTTGTTGAGCAGGCTCCAGTGAAACCCAGATTACCTAGACCCTACAGTCTAGAGGTAGAAATAGCTACATGCACCATATATGCACATGATGAATGTTTTATGCAGCTTAAACTTGCTTCTCACAGATTTGGGAAGCGAAAAGTGTAGTGCAAAAAATACAAGACATTTGGCAGATACACCCATGTCTCTTTTATCTATGCTGTCAGGCTAAAAACTCTTGACTGAGCTGTAGAGGGTCAACAGATGGCCAAAGCATCAACCAGAGAAGCAAGTTCAGCCTGAATCCAACTCATTAGGATTCTAGGTCAGGCTTCAGGCAGGAAGCCTGAACTCACAGGCCAGTGGAAATAGACAGGTGTTGACACAAGTGACCTTCAACATCAAGACCTGATTGCTCCTGCCATTGAGACTGGCAATGTGGAAGGAAAGGGCAATGATATACCTTCAAGCTGGGATTATAAAAGCAGCCTATGGTTGCAGTCTCAAGTTGGAAGGAAACAAATGTGTTCTACAAGGGTCTGGCATTCACAGGAAATTGCTATCTTGGGAGAGAGTTGCCAAGCTAAGACTCTCAAATCTGGCAGGGTTTGCATAGTTAAGTCCTAGATGAGAGTTCATGGTCAAACGTTTTCTTTACAGTGTAAAGCCATTTTTTTAAGGGAATTAGCAGCACTGAACAGTGCCCTTGTGATTTCCTGTGCTGGGGGAAATGACAATTGAAGCAAAACATTGCCATTCTACAAATTCTATATTTATTCATCCAATCAGTCAGTATCTTGCAGGCACCTACCATGTAAGGGACCACTAAAAAGCTCTGAATTACAGCAGCGCAAGGTAGAGTTGATGCTCTTCTTCAAGAAAAGGAGAAATAATGGGCTAGCAAGAACATAGCAGAAGAGATGTATTCACCGTGTACCCTGCTCCCAGGCATGAGAGAGCACCAGCATGTGTGGTGTCTGATGAGGGCCTGCTTCCTGGTTCTCATGTGTCTCCAGGGGTGCAAGGGCAAGAGCAGCCTCAGGTGTACTTTATAAGGGCACAAACTGCATTGATGAGGGCTCTTCCCTCATGTCCTAATCACTTTTTTTTTTTTTTTCCTGAGACGGAGTTTCACTCTGTCGCCCAGGCTGGAGTGCAGTGGCGCAATTTCTGCAACCTCTGCCTCCCAGGTTCAAGCGATTCTCCTGCCTCAGCCTCCCAAGTAGCTGGGATTACAGGTGGGGGCCACCACACCTGGCTGTGTATGTGTGTGTATTTTTAGTAGAGACGGGGTTTCACCACGTTGGCCCGGCTGGTCTTGAACTCCTGACTTCAGGTGATCCGCCCACCTCTGCCTCCCAAAGTGCTGGGATTGCAGGCACGAGCCACTGCGTCCAGGCCCCTAATCACTTCTGAAAGACCCAATTCCAAATACCATCACATTGGGAATTAGGTTTCAACATATGAATTTTCCAGGGACACAAACATTCAGTCTAAAGCAGCTCCTTGAGCCATGAGCAATGCACTTTATTCCTCAGGCTGTCGCTTCACCTTCAGCCCTCAGGTTTTTGCAATCCTGTCTACATGGCCTCTCACTTTGATTTCCTTAGCCATTTCTGGTAGGCTACTGGGAAGGAGTTAAAACGGCTCTAGGTCAGCCTTCCACCTTCAGCCCCACATAATCCACATCTTATTCCTAGTAAAGTCTCATGCTTTTGTTACCTGGACATATTCTGGAAATGGAGACCAATCCCCAGCTGCCATCTCTATTTAACTCCCACCTACTCAATTGCTCAAGCAATTGTCAGATCCTAGTCTATCGGGTCCTTGGCTGTGGAAAATATGCACCAGGTTCTCCTTTAACGTGCTGCTGGGCCCAAGCCTTAGTCCTTCTCCGTGGAAGGTGGGTGAGGACTTGTAGCACGCCAACAGCTCTCTCCAAAAATACCCTCTCCCAATTTTCTAACCACCCAGTCCTTTTATAGCCTCATTGGAGGCAAGGGATTTAAAAGTCGGGAAACCACGTTCTAGACAAGTTCTTTGAAAATTTTGCTTATGGTACCTCCTTTGGAATCTGGTCTGTCTTGAATCTTGGTGCCTCAACTAAAACTTCCAATGTAACATTCTGCTACGTAGATTTGGTAACACACTGCTGGGCGTTTGGGAGAACCAGGCAGAAGAGAAAAGAATGTCCTCTGTACTCCTTGATAATGAAAAATGGATATTGGTGGAGAGACAGGGCAGAGGGGAATTCCCTGGCAGAATTTGGGACGAGTCTAAAGGAGGAAGAGAAATGAAACAGAGAAGGGAGAAATCAAGAAAAATGTAGACTTTCAATGGAACATCTGAGAAACACTTGTTGAGAAGATGGGTCACTGCTCCGGTTTGAAGTCATAATTGTTCAAGGAAATATGCCCAGTTAGAGTCTTTGTCTCCATCCCAGGGCTGCTATTTTGGTTTCAGGGAAGCAGCTCAGTGATTCCTGAGAACATACAGTTTACGAAAGAGCTGTTAGGTTTGTGAGAACACAATTGAACTGTGGATTCCTTAGTGGTCAGACCGATCATTAGTTCCCTCCATCCCGAAATGGCTCTATTTGTCTTACATTATAAACCAGCTCATTGAAGAACAGAAGGCTTATGCCAGGCCTAATAATCAACTCTGCCACTGGAAAGCACTGTCGTTTGGCTTCTGGATTTTTAGTTTTTTCCCTCTACAGGCTTAAAATTTGGGGGCCTGTCTTGGGAAACCATGCAGGTGAAGCTCAGTCATTTGTGTCTGAAATGAGATGTCTATTGGGATAATTGCAATCTGGTCCCAGAACAGACCATGAACACTCCCCAGTCTCACCCAGGGCAGTGATGAGGAGTTATGTGTACCTGTGGTTCCTAGACCAGAAAGCATAGCGGATGCCCACACTGTAACTCTCCAGATTGGGGCTGCTGAATAAATTTTATGAGTGTCAAGATTTCAGTGGTGAAAAGTTTGGCATTCTCATTTACCAATTTCAATTATCCCATTAAGAAAACAGTGGCTAATGTGGATGAAAAATGAAAGGCCAATTTTAATCCACCTCCCAAAGCTTTCTCATTGATTGGGACATTCTAACTGTCTTTTACTCAAGGCCTGCTCCTTAGCGCCACTGTTTTAGCTCCCTACATGTTTTCTTCCTCACATAGTGAATACATTTGGGGTATTTTTCCAAGTCACCAGTCCCCAACTTTAACTGACCTCACTATCAAAATGTAACCCATCCCCTTCCACAGGAGCCATTCTATAAAGTGTGAACCCACGCCCCAGCCTCAATCACATTAGACCAAGTTTGAGTGACATCCTACAAGCTGGACCAATCAGAATTCCTTCCTTCTAAATTTGGAATTGAGATCAACAGGTAATCAGGGAGATTATCTCCATTTGTCTGGACATGTAATGGCTATACTTAGGAACCCTGGTGAAGCCTAGAACAAAGTGAGGCAACCTACAGGGAGAGCAGAAAATGATGTGGATTCATAAAGAAAGAGAGACAAGGGAGAGGGAGAGAGTGCTGAGTTCTTGGCAACATCCAGTGCCCAGTTGCAACCTTTCCTGAGGCCTGGCTGCATTCTTGGTCTTCGTTTCCATGTGGAATGACAGCATGAACTGGTTTGTCCAGTTTAATGATAATGGTGCTCCCCCTTTCACCAATTTAAAGTCCACAGACACCCTATTTCTATGGGACTTCAATTTTAGTCATGTAAGAGAAACTCTCTTTAGCCTAAGTTATCTCAAGTTAGGTTTTCTGTCTTGCATGAGGACCAATGCCTATTGCAGCCTTAACAAACAGACATTTTAGAGAGTTATCTCCATTTTGCAGATGAGAAAACTGAGGCTCTGGGGGCTAGGCAAGTTATCCAAGGTCAAACATATAATAAATGGTGGAGCTGGGATTTGAGCCAGATCTGACCACCTCTAAAACCCATACAGTTTTCACTGGACTTTAGCATTTCTCAAGGACACTGACTTTAGTTGTTTTTGTAGTCAACAGCAATTTTGTCTATCTCAAAGCCTCTAAAGACAGATTGGGTGTCCAAAAAAATGAATCCCAAACTTTTCTGATTAAATATCTGCTTTCCAATTGCTCTTTGAAATATGAGATAGAAAATGGCAATGCTGATGAAGATGAAATGAACTCGGGCAGAAGCCTGAGCTGAATTTGGGAAAGATGATTAGTGGATCGAATGCTGGAGAAAAACAACGAGGTTGTTTGCCTTTTTCCTGCTGTCCATGTGTCATTGAAAAGGTGGACACATTCCCACCTGAGAGGACTCTAATTAGAAGGTCTTTTGGATAAAAATCTGAATGCAACAGAGGGACCATGAATTAAAGTATATGTGTTCTCTGTACTGATCTGGTTTCATTAGCCACTGGACCACATCTTTCTCTATTATACATCAGGGATCATTACTTAGAGTGGCAGTCAATGCAGCCACTGGCTGAGACTAGAAGGCCCATTAGACACTGATTCTTAGACTTTTTTCTCCCCAATCAAGTAAAGTCATGACTTTCAGAAATGAGTCATTATATACGTTTTTAATTAACCTTAACTGGGTGCCAGCTTTCTTCATATAGGTCAGCTTTGACTTACCGAATGTAATGTGGCTAGATTTTTTTTCTTCAGGGATGACATGGCTCTGGTTAGTATTGCAAATAAGTTTTTGAACTAGACTTGCCCAGCCCAGCATCGTTTTCTCTCAGGAATCCAGCCCAAATTCCCACCAGAAGGAATCTTCCTTTCTTCTAATCACTACCACGCACAAAATCCATCTACCTTTTGTGATATATTCATCACTGGCAAAAATCAGGGACCATGGAAGCTAAAAAGCGCTATGCCAGTAGGACTGGCTGTTGGCATGCTTTTCCAAGTAAAGTGCTTATACTTTTCCCTGTCTCTCACTCTGTCCTCTTAATGGCAGAGGATGTGGTGCTAATTTTGCTGGTCAGCAATCGGAAGAGATCAATAGCGAACAGAGGTGCCAATTTGTAGAGGAGGTGTTATTTTTAAACAGCCTGCCAAACTCCAGAATTAAATTGAGGCTTTAAGGGCAAAGAATGGACAAACCAGGTCTAATAACTCTTTATTCTTTCCAGTTTCCCATATTTTATCATTGTCTTGTTTTCTAAATGTAAGTTGCTCTGGCTGCTTTCAGAGAAGAATGGGGGAAGGATGGGAGAGGGGTAAAGGAGAGACGGAAGGGGGAGAGAAGGAAAGAGTGTGAAAAGCTGCATGAATTATCAGGGCCCAGAGGATGACATAATACCAACCAATAACTTTAAATTTTTGGCAGTGTCTGTACTGCTGACTCTGTTATTGGCCAGTCCCCAGTGAGGAAGATTATTTAATGCAAATTTATCATTTCACTGTAACTCTCCAGCTAATACAAATAAAATTTCAACATTTGCTCAACATTGCAACCAAAGGTACAGACAGAGAAAAGACATCATCTAATGCCTGGGGTAATTTCTCCTCAATCAGATTTCTTTCCCAGGACAAAGTCATTCAGTTTTGCTGCTGTATAGGTCAGGCCTTAGGAAAGAGGTCCCAGATCCATTGAGCATTCTCTATATTCATATGATGTGCCCTGTATGTGGAATAAATGATGCTGGGTGTGTGGGAGATGGTTTGGTTCTGAGGAAAACAGTGTAGAATAAGCGAGATGATTCCTGGTCTTCCAGTCCATAGGCCAAAGTGCACTATCCCTATAGGGAAATATATGAAGGGAAGGGCCACCGGGGCAAGTGGGAGGGACACTGGTATTTTCAGAACGTTCCTTCATATTTTAATTTGGAGGAAAATGCATCCCTTTTGTGTTTTCACTACTAGATTACCCTGAGGAGGGATAGTCAGAATTTTGTTTTTTTTACTTTTAAGTTCAGGGGTACAAGTGACAAGCACAGGTTCATTACATGGGTAAACTTGTGTCATGCAGGTTTGTTGTACAGATTAGTTCATCACCCAGGTATTAAGCCTGGTACCCATCAGTTGTTTTTCCTGATCCTCTCCCTCCTCCCACCCTCCAGCCCCGATAGGCCCCAGTGTGTTTTGTACCCCTCTATATGTCCATGTGTTCTCACCATTTAACTCCCACTTACAAGTGGGAACATGCGGTATTTGGTTTTCTGTTCCCTTGTTAGTTTGCTAAGGATAGTGGCCTCCAGTTGCATCCATGTCCCTGAAAAGGACATGACATGGTTCTTATTTTTTTAAGCAACTATTTAAAATGGAAATGGGAGGCAAATCCTCCTTAGCCCAGATTTGAGAGGAAAGAGCAAACGAGTAGACCATGCACAGTAAGTAATTTCCAAACGATTCTTTCTCTTCAGCTTGAGATATTTCCATGAGGTGAGAGTCACACATTCTTATATATATTTACACCCAAATTACTGTACCAACATTTAGATCTTTCCCAAGTAACAGTGTGAAACCAGCAGCTCAGAAGTATTTATAACTGAGATGCATGATTGGTGGCACAATAATTGTTTTATAAAATACTACACCTATCATTTTCGACTGCTGACTTAAGGTGGATGATCTGTATAAAAAATAAATTATTTGTGTTAAGGAAATGGTGATGAAATATGGGCTTTGTGTGTTAGTCATTAATCTTTCCATTTAAATGCAAATTTTCATTTCAATCCCTACCTGAAAATACACCTAATAAGAAACAAATTTGATTTTCTGATTTATTATTTCAGACAAAGCCTTTGGAATATGCATTTTCTTTTCATGGGAAAGAGTGGGTTCTATTTACATTTTTCACATGTATTTTAAAAACTCAGCCAACCAAATATCACTTGCAACTCAAACATGAAAGTTATTTGGTTGACCAAGAGACATCTAGACGTATGGTTTTGTGTGTTTGAGAGACAGGTGTTGAAGTGGATATCCACTCTCCCTTGGTGATCCCCAAGTCATGGATTACTGGGGATCTTGGAGTTACTGCTGGAGTTTGAAAACCCTGGTGTTCACCAAACATTATCTTAATAGTAGAAAAAGTATATCTTGCTATGTATTTTAATAGTAATTATTAGTATTGCATAGCAGGAGGTATCATATTAAACTCTAAGCTAGGTTCATTCAGCTGATCCTCACAGTAGCCCGTTGACATAGCCATTATTTTTATACTCATTTTATAGATAAAAAGGTGAGACCCAGAGAGATTAAGGAACTGGTCTAAGTTTATATGGATGTTAAATTAAGGATAGGTTGACACCAATACCTGTGAATTCACCTGTAGACCATGCAGCCTTTAGAGATTAAGTGTTATTTAAAGGCATTTCTGATGAATTGTTTTTCAAAATCAATGTTTAAAAAAATGCGGTCCTCAAGCATGAGAAGGCTAACAGCCCATGCTCTTATTTAATCAGGACCTACAGTTAATCAAGTTGGTTGTTGTCAGCTGAATTCTTCCTAAAACTAGGAGATCAAAAGAGATGGGCAAGGGAGCAACCCAGAGTGTGCAGTTCATTCATGAACTAACTTACTTTTCACTCAGAGAAAATGATACAAGCTTTGGGTCAGGTGCTCAAGTATTCATCAGAAGGTTGAAGAAAAGAGTCAACTACTAACAAGCCACTCTGTGAATATAGTTTTTCTGTTTCTTACAAATGGCCAGGTCAAGATGTCCCAAAGGAAAAAAAAAAATTTACAAGGTGAAGTAACCAGGAGGCTGAGGTAGGTGGATCACTTGAGGTCAGGAGTTTGAGACCAGCCTGGCCAACATGGTGAACCCTGTCTCTACTAAAAAAAATAAAATAAAATAAAAATTAGTGGGGCATGGTGGCAGGCACCTGTAGTCCCAGCTACTCGGGAAGCTGAGGCAGGAGAATCGTTTGAACCCGGGAGGTGGAGGTTGCAGTGAGCCAAGATTGCACCACTGCACTCCAGCCTGGGCGATAGAGTGAGACTCCATCTCAAAAAAAAAAAAAAAAAAAATCAAGAAGGTGAAGTACAGATCAAGGTAGAAAATGCAGTTGCCAAGGGGTGCTTCCCTCTTTAGTAATATAGGGGAAAGAAATACTTCTGTAGGCTGCCACCCTGGAAAAAAATGTTAGTACTGGAGTGTCATCTAGCAGTGTCCTGTTACGTTACTCAGCTCCTCTTCTATCAAACCTATTACCAGCTTCACAGGCTTGTGGGAAGGCTAAGTTAGACAACTTCCACCTAGTAAATCCTTTAGTGCAGTAACTGATAGTTGCTCTTGTCACTGCTACCAAATCCCTTCCCCACCCTCACCCCCACCAACAAAGTGGTCAATGCAATGAAGAGAAAGAGGAAAATGCAACTACTTTTTTTTCTTTTTAGGCTACAATGAGACATCTCCTATGGCTCTAAGAAGCTAGGAACATTCTGTGGTCTTTAGGAGAGCCATTTAGTGGCTGCAAATTTGGTCATTATAACAAGAAGAGTCCTGCCTGCTGTGCCTCACCCGTGCTCCAGAAATCACTCCGGTCTCTGACCTCTTCAATCTTCCCTGTTTTTATTTGGTGGTCGGTCCATGCCCTGCCCTGCTCTGAGCATTACTAACCCATAAGTGAGAGCTGGGAGGGGAGTCAGCCTCTAAAAACCCAGATAATTGTAGAGGTTAAAGCAGTTCACGGCATTATAATTAACTGCTGTATTAGGTGTTTTACAATCCTGACACCACCACAGACAGAAAATGTTTAATCAGAACTGAAAGCACCTTGGAATTAATCCATTTTCATGGTGGAAATTGCAGTGAAGGTATGAAATCAGGCCCAGGCGGGAGAACTAGCCCATTTTCCTTGCAGGTTGCATGCTAGTCACTGTCTTTCCTACAGCTGGTTACAGCTTTACCACCCAGAACTTTCTATGCTGTGCAACAACTTTTTGTGACTACAGCAAAATCCATTTATCAGTCTTACCTGGAGTCAGGGTTCTCAACACGATTTCACCTATCAGAATTCTGTAAGCCACAACCTGTCTACAAAAACAGCCTAGCATGTGGCCAGGTCAATCTGGAATGAGGCTTATGTCACCCAGTACTGACACTGATGCATCCCCTCTGATCCTCCCAGCAAAGGCACTGAGGATCACCTGTCCCCGCTCCCCCTGGCTAGCACACCTGACTGAACAACAGGAAGAAAGGAGGAGCTGGCCATATTCCAAGGTGTCTGAGCCCTGAGTTACAACTGCTTCCTGCTCTGTGATTCCATCCATAGGGCCCATAGCAAAACACCTGCCACAAAATTGACAGTCCCCAAGTGGTTACTCTTTTACAGGCACCATCATTTTGCTACTGGGCTGGGACAAGTTACTTACCTGCTCAAATATCTTACTTTCTTTATTACAAAAATAACCTTGTGGGACTTAGGTAAGAAACAGAGGTAACAGATATAGGATGCCTAGGACATGGTATGTGCCTGAAATCATGAATGAGTAGCATCGTGCAACAGAGGGTGCTCACAGGTGTCTGCTTGTATTATTGCAACAAATATTTGATAAACTTTGTCCTAGAAACAGAATAAAGATGGTCCTCTGGATTGAATAACTGCATTGGTGTGCTCAGACAAATATATTTGTTGATTTCCAAGCCTCTGAACTTTTGCACAGGCAAACATTACATAATTAATTATATTTAATAAAAGTTAGAAACCTCAAAAGATATATTATTTAAGTCAAACTTTAGTGCTTACTTTAAGAATAGGATGTTTTGTCCTTGGTGGTGACTACCTTGCAGGGAGCCCATTTGGACAGGTTGTACCCATTCTGCAAACAATAGATTTCTGCCTGTCACTGCCCAGCTGATGGACAATTTAAAAATGGTTTCTAGTACCTGTGAATTGCAGAGCTACCTATGCAAACACTTTACCGTCTCCTAATAAGAAGCAATGAGGTCTGCAATGCAATCAGGTCTGGAGGGTAGCCGGGTAATCTATTTGCACAGTGTGTCTGTCCCTGTCTGTGAAGGTGTTTATTTTTAGCTCTCCACTGTTTCTAGCACCATCCCTCCTTTGGAGCCTGACAGCCCATTTGAGGGGCCTTAAACAAGCTGTTGAAAGCAAGAAACTGCTGAAAGTAGGAGTCAGCCGAGCAGCCAAGAAGGTGATTAGAGCAGGATTCACCTTAGGTGTCCGAGGTAGAAAGGTGGATTCAGCTTCGGCTTCGACAGAGTGTCAAGCAAGTTGGTCAACAAACTTTTAAAAGCCAGCCCCAGTGACACTCGCCTGGAGCTTTAAAGAAATAATGCCTCAGAGGACCTTGGAGTGTGAGGGCCCCTGGGTACAAAGGATGGCACTGGGCATGTGACTTCTCACAAATGGCAGCAAGCTAGACTCCTGAGCTCAGACTGCAAATGCCAAGGGCAGAAGCAGGAAAAGAAACGCTGAGTCAGTGACGTTTCCACAGGGCCAGCTGGTTGGTGCCTGTTTGGGCTAATTTGGGGCATCAGGAGGTCTGTGCTTAAGGTCACATTCATAATCGTGATAGTTAGTGTCAGAAGGTGACACAACCCAGACAGTCCCTGGACACCTGCAGGGGACAGAGCTCCAAGGTTATGAAAGTCAGCAATGACAGATCTTGGAGCAAGTTAAGTCCCACAGGGTCAAATTCTTTGCAGCAATGAAGGTAAAAGAGGCTGAGGACATTGCCTTTCTAAGTGGTACCAAGTACACTGAGTGCCCTAGATAAATATTAAATAGCAGTGATGACATCATACCACATCAAGTGTGTCGTTAGGACTCAGTAAGTCTGGTTGAGCCAGCTCAGTGTGACCATCAGCAGAGGGCCTGACCCCAAGGATTTTTAGTGTGGAAGGGGAAAATGGGAAGCAAAACAGCAAATACCAGAGACTGTAAGAGCAGCTGCATCTCTCAGGCCTCCCAGGCCCACAAAAGAGTTCATGACCACAAGCACTGGTCAGCAGGCTCTCTGCCTGGGTGTTTTGATTTACAGCAGGCACAAAACTGCAAGTAGTTTCACAGAGTACCCAGGGGAGGCAAAGGAGATGAGGGACCTTCCTCACCAAGGTTCACAATCATATATGGCCCTTTAACTGGGAGGCACTTAAAGCCTTGGAGGCAACGGAGAAGCAAGTGGGGAGTTGACTTCTCAAGAACATCACAAAGGAAGAAATACCCTGCTGGTAGATGTTGCAGAAAGTATTCTCAGCTAATGGTGGGGTTTTGAGGAGTTGCAGAAACCAAACATTGACCTCTGAAAATGGTGGAGCATTTTCCCTGAGAGTTTCTTGGATTCTTCTTTCTGTGCCCAATCTTCAGGTGGTGGGGTATCCATCAAGAGGTGGAATGATTTGTCCAGGTCATGCAGCCAATCTGGCTGAACCCTGTCATATCTCTTAGCTGATGGTGAAATGTTTTGGACCTCTAACTCTAAATAAGTGACATAACTGAACATCAAGTCACTGAAAGCTAGGGGTCAGTCATGGGAAGAGCATGGACTTTGGAATCAGAGTGAACTTGGACTCAAACAACAACTCCACATTCACTAGCTCTGGGACCTTGGCAGAGTCGTTTAGCCTCTGAGTCTCAGGCTTCATGTGTATAATGTGGAGAAAATACTGCCAGCTTTGTCAGGCTAAGAGAGAATGTGTGTCAAGCACTTAGTACAGAATCTGGCAGAGTTGCCATTCAATTAACTGCATTTATCAATCCATGTTAATTGCAATGAAAACCAACAGGGAATTAGAACCAAAATAGCTATCTTTCAGGTCAGAATCTACTGATGAACTGAAACAGAGGAAGAACCTACAATTGTAGACTGTGTTTTAAGGTGCCTAACATCATGGCAACTATTTAAGTATGTATGGTGGATAATTCTCTAGAGTTGTATGTTAAAAGTGAACATCATTATCTCCTAAATATTTACAAGTTAATCCATTACATGAAAGGGTAAGAGAAAATAAAAGATTCTAGGCCAACGAAAAGAACTGTGTATGGGTAGGTGTTTTTTTCAACCAAACTGAGAATGTGGATAGGGAAAAATAAATGAGAACAAGAGAGACCATAAAGATACGATACTTCCAGCTCTGAGTAATGCAAATTGGAGAGGAGGACGGATTCCAACAACTGGGATAGATCAGAAGGGAAGAGAAGAATAGAAACCACTTGGCAGAAGATCTGAGAGTCAACAGCTACCACAAAGGTGGAGGTGAGTCTCTGGAGACATCCAGTCTCCACCTGCTGCCTCACAGCGTGATCTTCTGTGAAGTGGGAATCACTAGTGCTACTAGAACAAAGAGCTCATGCGGGCAGCCAAGCAGCCTCCATCTGCTCAAGCTGGAAGCAGGAGACATGGGGAACACACAGGCTATTAAATATAAATAACCCGTATCGTCATAAATATTTTATATGGCTGCATACAGAGAAGGTACCATATTTTATACCCTCGCTGTGAATCTAAATATTTTATTGTTGCCAATTTTGCCATTGACCTCAGCTACAGTGAGGTATTTGTGGAGGTTGACATTATTTGGTTATATGACCAATGATCATTCCTGTTACCATGTGACATGATCATCTCTCCCGAGGAAATAATGGGCATCCATTGGCAAACACTGGACACTGATGGGTTTGTTTGCTTTTAAGTGATTCTGAGAGATGCACAAGTATGTGCACATATTAAGGAGAGGGTTTACTTTTAGAATGAAGAAACTTGAGGAAACTTATTAAGGAAGTAGCTTTCTGTGCTTGATTCAAATGAATAAAAGACAATACATTTCTGAGTGGGAGCCTTGAAAAGATTTCTATTTTGTGTAAAATGAGAGTGAATTAATACACAAAATGTGCTATATCCATATGATGGAATAGTATCTTGTGACAAAAAGAAACACAGTACTGATATATGCTCCAACATGAATGAGCCTCAAAAACATGCTAAGTGGAAGAAGCCAGACCAAAAATAAGAACATGTATAATTCCATTTATATGGAATGTCCAAAACAGGCAAATCCATAGAGACAGAAAGTCAGTCCCAAAGCAAGAGGGTCTCAACAAGAATCAAAATCCCAACCTTGCCTAATGTCAGAGTGGAAAAGGGGAATAATTAATAATGTGCATTGTGGTTTCTTTCTGGGAGAATAGAAATGTTCTAAAATCAGATTGGGGTAATAGTTGGACAACTCTATAAATATAACAAAAGCTGAAATGTGCACTTAAAATAGATGAATTTTATGGAATATAAGTTATATTTCAAACTGTTAAGGTGGAAAAAGGAGTGTGACTTTGGCTGGATGCTACTGGAAGACCTCTTTGGAAAAAAGGTAGGGATATACGTTTTGAAGCCTCCCAGAAAGGTAATAAAATGGGGGCATGGGGACTGGAAGGCTGAACTGTGGACTCTGTTCCTCATGATTACAGAAGCATCCTTCATCCCCTGACAAAGATGTGACCACAGTTCCCACCAGTTTGCCCTGTTCATATCTGGATACGTGTCCTTGTATGTGCTGAGACAGATGATCCAGCTAAAGGGAGAGTGAGCAAAATAAAACTAGATCAGACCAGTCTCACAGGGTGGGGAGGGGAAGCATTAATAGCACCAAAAGGAAAGAAAACTGGATCACAGGTGGCACAGTCCCAAGGCAAGAGGGTCTCACCAGGAGTCAAAAGTCCAAATTGAGTGTAAGCCAGAGACAGCTGTAATACAAGTAGCTTTGAGTTCTGGTAGCAGCAGAGAGCAGAGGTGTCAGGGGTCACTGCACAGCACAGTAAGACGTGCCGCGCGCTGCATCCTCCTGTCAGTGTGACATCCTGCCAGAAGCTGCAATCCAGCTGATTATTCATAAATAGGATTGGGAAACACACTTGGGTATTTTTCCCCATCTGTCTAATTAAATGGTAAGTCCCAAAAGGCAGAGACCAAGTTGAGCTCCAGCTTGTGCTCTCAGCATAGTTTTTGGTGCTGGATAAATAGCAAACAGTAGTCTTGGAAGAAAAGACTAGCATTTTCTACAGGGCCTTTGTAGCTGACGTGAAAAGAAGCCCTTTGAGTGGAGTTGCAGAAGTTCCTCATTGTTTACTTATTTCTTAGTAAGAGGCTCACTCTTGTCAATCACATTTTTCATTTGTAGTAAACTAAGCTGACTGAGGATTATAAATGAAATAGTTTCATGTTGGAGTATAACCATGTAAAGCCTCAGATGGGAAGTAGTTCTTGTTAAAACTAAGAAGCAACTGAGGAGTCACTGCCTCACATCACTTCCTCTAGAAAGGGCTGGCCCAACTCAACCCAACACCTAGAGAGGTGCTGTCCAATAGAACTTTCTGCGATGTGGACAGGCCCTATGACATAGAAGACATATGTAGCTAGTGGCTGCCATACTGGACAACACAGCACTATAGGCTTTTTAGTACAGAAGATTCCGCAGCTTTTTGACAACGTGCACTGAAGTTTATTCTTATATAACAGTGACAAATTGACATTAGGTGGCGGGCACCTGTAGTCCCAGCTACTCGGGAGGCTGAGGCAGCAGAATGGCGTGAACCAGGAGGCGGAGCTTGCAGTGAGCTGAGATTGTGCCACTGCACTCCAACCTGGACGACAGAGCGAGACTCCATCTCAAATAATAATAATAATAATATCATGTTGATCTGTCAATTCAACAAGTATTTACTGTGGACTTTCTAAGCGCCAGGTCCTGCTCTAAACTATGGAGCTATCTCTGTAAAAAAAAAAATACAAATAAAAAAAAAACTGGCAAGGCCCTTGATTTCAAGAAGTTTATAATCTAATGTGCAGAAATAAACAAGAAATATGAAGCAAATAAAGGCATGGTTATAAATAATAATCAGTGTTTTCAAGGAAGCACAGGGAGTGTTGAGAGGGAGATTGAGCTTCTTTCAAGGCAGAAGTCAGGGAATGTCTACCCAAGGAGGTGGGATGGAGGCTTCAGTTGGAGAAATGGGTGAGAAGGATTGTTTTAGGCAGAGGGAACATCATAGCAAGAAACCCCAGGTGGGAAAGAGCTTAATGTGTTTGAGGAACTAAATTAAGGCCAGTGTGGCTGGAACACAGTGGGTGAAAGGAGAAAGGAACAAGATCATGTTGATAGGTTGGGCAGGAGTCACTTGTACTGACTCTATTTCCAGTATATCAGAAGGTCTTGGGAGGATTTCAAGAAGAATGACATCAATCAGATATAATGTGAAAGTTTACTCTGACTGCAAAATAGAGAGTACTTGGAGAGGGGCGAGAGAGAGTAGGGACACCAGTTAGGAGGCTGCTATGGTCAAAAAGTGAAAGGCAGCTGGCGATGCTATAATCTAAGACATGAGCTGAGCCATGAAGATGATGGAAGTGGAGTGGATTTGAGAAATGATTCAGGAGGAGTAATAGAACTGAATGATTGATTGGACATTAGAGCAAGAAGATGGAGAACTCAGAAATACTTCTCAGGTTTCCAGGCTGAGAAACTGGTAGACTTTGGCCTCATTGGCACTATTGGGAATGGAATGCAGATCTCTCTTCCCACACTAATTCTTTGTTGACTCTGCACGCCCACAGTTTTTTTCCTGATCATGGAAGGCTGGTGATAACAGGGACTGAACACGACCATCCCATTTAGCACCGAGGCATTTCTGTTTCCAGACCTATCACTTTAAAGCATCTTTTACCCCTGAAGCAAGAATGAGCTTGAAAAACATTTTATATTAAAAAAATAAAAATAAAATGCCTGTTACATAATGGCTTCATTTAACTCTAAAATCCATCGTGTTATAGAACTAGAAACTTCTAGAGGGTTTGCTTCATTGGTTCCCAATTTTTCAGAAATGTGGGACCCCTCTGTAACAGTGAAGTCCGCCTCTCCGTATCATGGTAATAAAACTGTCTATCTGCTTCATTTAAATGAGATATGGGCTGAAAGAAAGATGCTAAACACATAGCCTCTGTGGAATTAGATTAAATTTTCCATTTAACCTGCTGAGATTATGAAAACAGTCTGACCCACAGGGCTGAGGGAGTTGCAGCAATTACCATCCCATTAAGAGTTACAAAAACAGTGGGATTTTTGCAAAATCATTGCCCCAGGCTTTATATCACCAGCTTTCGAACTATGTCCCAGAAAGATTAAGTACTTACTTAAATTTAAGGGACTACTTAAAGAAACCACACCCTCCTACTTCTTGACTCCCACTTAGCCTCACTATGCAAGGGTGAAGGGAGAGTCTGCAGCCAGGTTGAGTAATATTTTTCTCATCCTGAATCCTGCGCAGCCCATCTCCTTTTTCTGTGCCTGATAGAACACTTACCATGGGTCCGGCAGGGACTGTACCAAGACCCTTCATGCATTATTTCATTTAATCTTCACAAAAATTTCATGAGATAAGCTTTCTTTTTTTATGTTATTAATAAATGAGGATATGATACTTTAAGTTTTAAAGAATAAGCATTTTATTTTTGGTACATATTTATTGATCAAGAACTACGTGGTGACAAAAGTGCTATAAATTTTAGTGATTGTAGATGAATTTGTATTTCATTCATTCCAACAATCTCTATCTGCTTGGGAAATTAGTTACCATGTCATTCATTTAATATTTAAACAGTATGTAGAATGTTATGGGTTTGAGGCTTCTTGCAATTAATTATTATGGCCCCCCCCACCAGGGGTCCTTGGGTCATGATTGACATATTCTGATCAAACCAAAACTACTTGTTCTAGATTAGAAAATTGGACTTTAAAGAGGACAAGTGACTGGGCCAAGGGCACAGAACTTGTTGATAACAGAGTGGAGGCATGCACCTGGTCCTTCCATCTTTCCATTCACAATCTTTGCCACTATAGCTTCTGCCCTTATAAGGTGAAGATACTAGAAAAAAAGGTGATTACATCAGGACTGGTGGGAGAGTTGTAAATGCTATGAAGAGGAGTTGCCTAGAGATTTCTGCAGAGAAGGATCGTGAGGCCCAATCTGTACTTACTGGAAAACAGTGCAGTGATTGATTAATAATGTCTACCATGAGTTCATGTTTGGGAGTTAAGTCACATGTGCTATGTATTTGAATGTGACTGGGTCAAGTCTTTGTGGCTTTTAGGTGGCTTTAGGCTGGTTATCCTCATGGCATGGAGCTGTGCTCCATTTTCTTCATGGTGGTCCTGGCCATAAAAGCCTTAAGAAGTCTGGCGTAGTGGCATACAGCTGTAGTCCCAGCTATTTGGGAAGCCGAGGCAAGAGGATGGCTTGAGGGCAGGAGTTCCAGGCTGTAGTGTGCTATGATGGCACCTGTGAATAGCCACTGCTCTCCAGCCTGGGCAACATAGCAAGACCTTGTCTTTAGAAAAATATAATTTTTTTAAATTGGACTTTTAAAAAGTCTTTAGAAAAGACCAACAGAATTCCACTAGCTCTGGGCACTGAAGGAAAATTTCCATCTCCTTTCCATCTTACTCACCAGCCTATGTTATTTTGCTACAATCAGATACTAGTAAAAAAATTCTACGCAGTTAAAAATTGAGCACTGTTGCAGTTCCTAGATGGCTGAATAGGAACAGCTCCAGTCTATAGCTCCCAGCATGAGTGACGCAGAAGATGGGTGATTTCTGCATTTCCAACTGAGGTACCGGGTTCATCTCACTGGGGCTTGTTGGACAGTGGGGGCAGGAGAGTGGGTGCAGTGCACTGAGCATGAGCCGAAGCAGGGCGAAGCATCGCCTTACCTGGGAAGTGCAAGGGGTCAGGGAATTCCCTTTCCTAGCCAAGCAAAGCTGTGACAGATGGCACCCAGAAAATCGGGTCACTCCCAACCTAATACTGTGCTTTTCCAATGGTCTTAGCAAACGGCACGCCAGGAGATTATATCCTGTGCCTGGCTCAGAGGGTCCCACACCCATGGAGCCTTGCTCATTGCTAGCATAGCAGTCTGAGATCAAACTGCAAGGCAGCAGCGAGGTGGGGGGAGGGGCGCCCCCCATTGCTGAGGCTTCAGTAGGTAAACAAAGCAGCCAGGAAGCTTGAACTGGGTGGAGCCCACCACAGCTCAAATGGGCCTGCCTGCCTCTGTAGACTCCACCTCTGCAGGGCATAGCTGAACAGAAGGCAGCAGAAACCTCTGCAGACTTAAATGTCCCTCTCTGACAGCTTTGAAAAGAGTAGTGGTACTCCTAGCATGGAGTCTGAGATCTGAGAACGGACAGACTGCCTCCTCAAGTGGGTCCCTGACCCCCGAGTAGCCTAACTGGGAGGCACCCTCCAGTAGGGGCAGACTGACACCTCACATGGCAGGGTACCCCTCTGAGACGAAACCTCCAGAGGAACGATCAGGCAGCAACATTTGCTGTTCAGCAATATTCATTGTTCTGCAGTCTCTGCTGCTGATACCCAGGCAAACAGGGTCTGGAGTGGCCCTCCAGCAAACTCCAACAGACCTGCAGCTGAGGATCCAGACTGTTAGAAGGGAAACTAACAAACAGAAAGGACATCCACACCAAACCCCATCTGTAGGTCACCATCATCAAAGACCAAAGGTAGATACAACCACAAAGATGGGGAAAAAACAGAACAGAAATACTGAAAATTCTAAAAATCAGAGAACCTCTCCTCCTCCTAAAGAACGCAGCTCCTCACCAGCAACAGAACAAAGCTGGATGCAGAATGACTTTGACAAGTTGAGAGAAGAAGGCTTCAGACCATCAACCTTCTCCGAGCTAAAGGAGGAAGTTCGAACCCATGGCAAAGAAGTTAAAAACCTTAAAAAAAGATTAGAAGAATGGCTAACTGGAATAACCAATGCAGAGAAGTCCTTAAAGGACCTGATGGAGCTGAAAACCATGGCACGAGAACTACGTGATGAAAGCACAAGCTTCAGTAGCCAATTCGATCAACTGGAAGAAAGGGTATCAGTGATTGAAGATAAAATGAATGAAATGAAGCAAGAAGAGAAGTTTAGAGTAAAAAGAATAAAAAGAAACAAACAAAGCCTCCAAGAAATATGGGACTATGTGAAAAGACCAAATCTACGTCTGATTGGTGTACCTGAAAGTGACGGGGAGAATGGAACCAAGTTGGAAAACACTCTGCAGGATATTATCCAGGAGAACTTCCCCAATCGAGCAAGGCAGGCCAACATTAAAATTCAGGAAATACAGAGAATGCCACAATGGTATTCCTCAAGAAGAGCAACTCCAAGACACATAATTGTCAGATTCACCAAAGTTGAAATGAAGGAAAAAATGTTAAGGGCAGCCAGAGAGAAAGGCCGGGTTACCCACAAAGGGAAGCCCATCAGAATAACAGCTGATCTCTCAGCAGAAACTCTACAAGCCAGAAGAGAGTGGGGGCCAATATTCAACATTCTTAAAGAAAAGAATTTTCAACCCAGAATTTCATATCCAGGCAAACTAAGCTTCATAAGTGAAGGAGAAATAAAATCCTTTACAGACAAGCAAATGCTGAGAGATTTTGTCACCACCAGGCCTACCCAACAAGAGCTCCTGAAGGAAGCACTAAACATGGAAAGGAACAACCAGTACCAGCCACTGCAAAAACATGCCAAATTTTAAAGACCATTGATGCTAGGAAGAAACTGCATCAACTAACGAACAAAATAACCAGCTAACATCATAATGACAGGATCAAATTTTCACACATAACAATATTAACCTTAATTGTAAACAGGCTAAATGTTCCAATTAAAAGACACAGACTGGCAAATTGGATAAAGAGTCAAGACCCATCTCATGTGCAGAGACATATATAGGCTCAAAATAAAGGGATGGAGGAAGATCTACCAAGCAAATGGAAAACAAAAAAAGGCAGGGGTTGCAATCCTAGTCCCTGATGAAACAGACTTTAAACCAACAAAGATCAAAAGAGACAAAGAAGGCCATTACATAATGGTAAAGGGATCAATTCAACAAGAAGAGCTAACTATCCTAAATATATATGCACCCAATACAGGAGCATGCAGATTCATAAAGCAAGTCCTTAGAGACCTACAAAGAGACTAAGACTCCCACACAATAATAATAATGGGAGACTTTAACACCCCACTGTCAACATTAGACAGATCAACAAGACAGAAAGTTAACAAGGATATCCAGGAATTGAACTCAGCTCTGCACCAATTGGACCTAATAGACATCTACAGAATTCTCCACCCCAAATCAACAGAATATACATTCTTCTCAGCATCACACCACACCTATTCCAAAATTGACCACATAGTTGGAATGAAAGCACTCCTCAGCAAATGTAAAAGAATAGAAATTATAACAGACTGTCTCTCAGAACACAGTGCAATCAAACTAGAACTCAGGGTTAAGAAACTCACTCAAAACCGCTCAACTACATGGAAACTGAACAACCTGCTCCTGAATGACTACTGGGTACATAATGAAATGAAGGCAGAAATAAAGGTGTTCTTTGAAACCAACAAGAACAAAGACACAACATACCAGAATCTCTGGGACACATTTAAAGCAGTGTGTAGAGGGAAATTTATAGCACTAAATGCCCACAAGAGCAAGCAGAAAAGATCTAAAATTGACACCCTAACATCGCAATGAGAAGAACTAGAGATGCAAGAGCAAACACATTCAAAAGCTAGCAGAAGGCAAGAGATAACTAAGATCAGAGCAGAACTGAAGGAGATAGAGAAACAAAAAAACCTTCAAAAAATCAATGAATCCAGGAGCTGGTTTTTTGAAAAGATCAACAATTTGATAGACCTCTAGCAAGACTAATAAAGAAGAAAAGAGAGAAGAATCAAATAGATGCAATAAAAAATGATAAAGGGGATGTCACCACCGATCCCACAGAAATACAAACTACCATCAGAGAATACTATAAACACCTCAATGCAAATAAACTAGAAAATCTAGAAGAAATGGATAAATTCCTGGGCACATACACCCTCCCAAGACTAAACCAGGAAGAAGTTGAATCTCTGAATAGACCAATAACAGGCTCTGAAATTGAGGCAATAATTAATAGCTAACCAACCAAAAAAAGTCCAGGACCAGACAGATTCACAGCCGAATTCTACCAGAGTTACAAGGAGGAGCTGGTACCATTCCTTCTGAAACTATTCCAATCAATAGAAAAAGAGGGAATCTTCCCTAACTCATTTTATGAGGCCAACATCATCCTGATACCAAAGCCTGGCAGAGACACAACAAAAAAAGAGAATTTTAGACCAATATCCCTGATGAACATTGATGCAAAAATCCTCAATAAAATACTGGCAAACCGAATCCAGCAACACATCAAAAAGCTTATCCACCATGATCAAGTGGGCTTCATCCCTGGGATGCAAGGCTGGTTCAACATACACAAATCAATAAACGTAATCCAGCATATAAACAGAACCAATGACAAAAACCACATGATTATCTCAATAGGTGCAGAAAAGGCCTTTGACAAAATTCAACAGCCCTTCATGCTAAAAACTCTCAATAAATTAGGTATTGATGGAACATATCTCAAAATAATAAGAGCTATCTATGACCAACCCACAGCCGATATCATACTGAATGGGCAAAAACTGGAAGCATTCCCTTTGAAAACTGTCACAAGACAGGGATGCCCTCTCTCACCACTCCTATTCAACATAGTGTTGGAAGTTCTGGCCGGGGCAATCAGGCAGAAGAAAGAAAGAAAGGGTATTTAATTAGGAAAAGAGGAAGTCAAATTGTCCCTGTTTGCAGATGACATGATTGTATATCTAGAAAACCCCATTGTCTCAGCCCAAAATCTCCTTAAGCTGATAAGCAACTTCAGCAAAGTCTCAGGATACAAAATCAATGTGCAAAAATCACAATCATTCTTATACACCAATAACAGACAAACAGAGAGCCAAATCATGAGTGAACTCCCATTCACAATTGCTTCAAAGAGAATAAAATACCTAGGAATCCAACTTACAAGGGATGTGAAGGACCTCTTCAAGGAGAACTACAAACCACTGCTCAACGAAATAAAAGAGGACACAAACAAATGGAAGAACATTCCATTCTCATGGATAGGAAGAATCAATATCGTGAAAATGGCCATACTGCCCAAAGTAATTTATAGATTCAATGCCATCCCCATCAAGCTACCAATGACTTCCCTCACAGAAATGGAAAAATCTACTTTAAAGTTCATATGGAACCATAAAAGAGCCCGCATTGCAATCCTGAGCCAAAAGAACAAAGCTGGAGGCATCATGCTACCTGACTTCAAACTGTGCTACAAGGCTGCAGTAACCAAAACAGCATGGTACTGGTATCAAAACAGAGATACAGACCAATGGAACAGAACAGAGTCCTCAGAAATAATACCACACATCTACAACTATCTGATCTTTGACAAACCTGACAAAAACAAGCAATGGGGAAAGGATTCCCTATTTAACAAATGGTGCTGGGATAACTGGCTAGCCATATGTAGAAAGCTGAAACTGGATCCTTTCCTTACACCTTATACAAAAATTAATTCAAGATGGAGTAAAGACTTAAATGTGAGACCTGAAACCATAAAAACCCTAGAAGAAAACCTAGGGAATACCATTCAGGACCTAGGCATGGGCAAGGACCTCATGTCTAAAACACCAAAAGCAATGGCAACAAAAGCCAAAATTGACAAATGGGATCTAATGAAACTAAAGAGCTTCTACACAGCAAAAGAAACTACCATCAGAGTGAACAGGCAACCTACAGAATGGGAGAAAATTTTTGCAATCTACTCATCTGACAAAGGGCTAATATCCAGAATGTACAAAGAACTCAAACAAATTTACAAGAAAAAAACAACCCCATCAACAAGTGGGCGAAGGATATGAACAGACAGTTCTCGAAAGAAGACATTTATGCAGCCAACAGACACATGAAAAAATGCTCATCATCACTGGCCATCAGAGAAATGCAAATCAAAACCACAATGAGATACCATCTCACACCAGTTAGAATGGCAATCATTAAAAAGTCAGGAAACAACAGGTGCTGGAGAGGATGTGGAGAAATAGGAACACTTTTACAGTGTTGGTGGGACTGTAAACTAGTTGAACCATTGTGGAAGTCAGTGTGGCGATTCCTCAGGGATCTAGAACTAGAAATACCATTTGACCCAGCCATCCCATTACTGGGTATATACCCAAAGGATTAGAAATCATGCTACTATAAAGACACATGAACATGTATGTTTATTGTGGCACTACTCACAATAGCAAAGACTTGGAACCAAGCCGAATGTCCAACAATGATAGACTGGATTAAGAAAGTGTGGCACATATACACCATGGAATACTATGCAGCCATAAAAAATGATGAGTTCATGTCCTTTGTAGGGACATGGATGAAGCTGGAAAGTATCATTCTCAGCAAACTATCGCAAGGACAAAAAACCAAACACTGCATGTTCTCACTCATAGGTGGGAAATGAACAATGAGAAAACTTGGTCACAGGAAGGGGAACATCACACACTGGGGCCTGTTGTAGGGTGGCGGGAGGGGGAGGGGGAGGGATAGCATTAGGAGATACACCAAATGTAAATGACGAGTTAATGGGTACAGCACACCAACATGGCACACATACACATGTGTAACAAACCTGCATATTGTGCACATGTACCCTAGAACTTAAAGTATAATTATATATATATATATATAAAAATTCTGAGCACTATACAAAAACCTTCCTTGACAAAGAAACAGAGGTTATGCTGAATTGTGAAAAATTTTGATCGTGATAATTGGGAGTACCCCTTGACATTTTTTCAAAAATTTAAGTTGAAAAACTAAAAATATAACTTTTCAATGTTTCTCTGCTCCCATTTACCTCCAAACTGGCAATTGATTGCCCTTACATCTGAATACACAGCTGGGTCTTGAAGTAGCATTAGGAAAATAGAATTTCCAGTAGAAAGCCTGAGTCTACCCACAGACGGGGTATTGACCAGAAATATAAGGGCAAAGTAAATTCCATTACTTTCAGTAGAGTTTAACCTATAATCTTCACCCAAGCATATAGGCACCTCAGAATAAGAGAAAGAACTTATAAAAAAATTGATTGTGTTACCCCCCAAAAAGAGAAAGCCAGCAGCTGGTTTTGGGGAGGGCTAAAATCTGTTTCTGTCAGCACAGGAACTACCATCTTGGAACCGTGAAAGAAATGAAAATCAAGGCGAAAGTTAAGTACTTTTTTCCGATGACCTGGTGTAATGATTAAAATGCTGAATTGCTTTTTTAAAAGGTTTTTCCACTGAAAGAAAGAATGTCAGAGCCTTCCCCCTGACTCAACCTCTGCTCCCTTCTTTCCAAATGACTGTGAAAGAAAATAAAATGGAATATATATTTAAATATTTTTTTCTTCATAAACAATTCGATCTCTTTTATCTGAAAGTTTTGCCAATGTTTTCATCAGTTCCCTCAGAGATGGCTGTGATTCCACTTTTTCTTTGAACAAAGAATAAATTGAGTTTCTTTGCAGTGAAAAATAGAAGGCTTGCTAAAAGCACTGACTTCAAAATAGTGCTTATTGCACATTTAGAGAAAGCATATTGAAAAACAGTGCTCATGCCGCCTTTACCGAGAAGCCCGCTTTGGCTTACATTAAGCTGCCAGCATCTTCTGGAAAAAACAAACAAACAAACAAAAAAACCTTGGCGATATGCTAAGCTAGAGACGGTGTTGGTATTTTCCTTTGAAAATACCTCTGTTTCTCAGTCATTTATTTGTGCCTCCATTAGCAATTTATTTTTAATTCTGCATTCTATGGAAAAAGCATATTGCTGGAAAACAGGCACATCTTACATGCATATGCCTGACATTTTAAAAAATGAATGTAACGCCCTCCACGCTCAAAATAAACAAGCTGTTTTTCCCTTTCCCCACACAATATTTATGAACCTCCAGGAGATTGCTAATGCATTTAACACCGCCAGCACACTAGTCCTTGCCATGTGACTCCTTTGTTCTTTTGAAAGAACTGTGTCCCTGGCTCCCAGAGTCCCACCCTGACTTCCCAGGATCAGGAGTCACTGGCCATCAGGTAGGTGACCTTCTCCTGGTGACCTGTTGGATTCAGAACAGCAATATTTCAAAGTTAACCCAAGAAAATTCTTGAAGCTTGCATATTTCCAATGAACAGTAGTGTTTACTTTTTCGATAGTGTTAATCTGCCTTCTCTACGTTCTGCACATTAAAGAATAGTTAAAATCATCAGGCAGATCTGAGATGAGTCCCTATTCCATTATTCTCTGAAATCCCGGGCAAGAAACTTTTCTGAGTCTTAGCTTACTCATCCATATTTAAAATTTATACTGAAATTTATATGTATACACACACCTACATTAAAAAGTTATTTGTAGGGATTCATGAGAAAATGCTTGTAGAGTGCTTAGCACAGGGCTGGACTTGCTAATAATTATTATTTGCTAAACCAGTGATTAGATAACATTATTGACATTTATAAATAACTTCACATTTTACAAAGCTGCTATCCTGAACAGCATGTGAAAAGCAATTGGTGTCCACATTAATATTGTTTTTCTTTAAATGTCATTTTAATACTACAGATCAATTACCTGGGCTAGATGTCTTAGCCTATTCCAAAATAGATAGACTGTAACCAATCCTATTTCCTCCAGGGTCCCGACCTACTGGGCGGTCGTGATGTTCTAAAGAAAGATGGCCACTGCTATAAATATTAAGTGCTATGGTTTGAATGACCCTGTAAAACTCATGTTGAAATTTAATTGCCAATGTAACAGTATTTAAGAGGTGATTAGGCCATGAGGGCTCTGCTTTCATTAATGGATTAATGCTGTTGGCACGGAGTGGGTTTCTGATAAAAAGGATGAGTTCAGCCCAATTTCCTTTCTCTGCCTCCTGTGCTTGCTTGCCCTTCTACTGTGTTTTGATACAGTAAGAAAGGCCCCACTAGATGCTCACGCCATGCTGTTGGACTCCACAGCTTCCAAAACTGTGAGAAATCAATGTCTTGTCTTATAAATTACCCAATCTGTGGTACTGTGCTATAGCAGCAGAAAACTAAGACACTAACTTTGGGTTGAGTCTTAGGAACTCAAGCCACTGTAAAAAAAAAAAAAAAAAAAAAAAAACATTTTCTTCTAGTAATTAAAACAAAAAAAATCTGCTAAGCAAATTTTTTATTTATTTAGCTTGGATTAACTTAAAGTACGTTTTCAAGTTGAGTGCTAGTATTTCTTCAATTCCAGAAAAGTATAAGCCTTATCTTTTTGAAAATTGCTTTCCCCTACATTCTTTTTTGGAGCTTCTGTGAAATATAGATCTGGACTTTTCCATCTGTCCCAGTTGGTCTTCATCTGTATTGCATTCTGAATGTTTTCCTCAAATTCAGTTAGCCAATTTTTTTTAGGTGTATCTGATATGTTGTTCAACATGCTGATTGAGGTCGTAAATTTAATGATTGCAGTCATCTCTTAGTATACCCAGGGATTGGTTCCAGGACTCTCTTGTATACCAAATTTCGTGCATACGAAGTTTGCACGTTGGCCCTTTGGAAGCTGCATACACAAAAAGTCAGCCTGCCATATAAGTGGGTTTCTCATCTCACCAACACTGCATTTTCTATCTGCATTGGGTTGCAAAAAATCTGCCTATAACTGGAACTATGCAGTTCAAACTCATGTTGTTCAAGGGTCAACTGTATATAACGTATTCCCAATTATTTGGTTCTCTTTTAAATTTTTATGATCTTTAAAAAATAATGTCTTGTTCTTTCACTAGGGTTTCTATGACGTCTTTATCTTTGATGCTTTTGAACACATTGATTTTATACTTTCAATTAAACTATTACCTCTAGTTCTTGAGGTACTAATTTCCTGTTATACAGCTGGTTCTCCCTCATGGTTCTGTGTTTTCCTGGGCAGATCATCTTATTTTTTAAAAATTAGGCTTATCATTGGAGATGGGGGGTGGGAACTTCTTTGCAAGTTCTTTATGTCCTGGATTATAAAAATATTCCTGTGGACCAGTTAAACACTTGATTCTCCTGCACTTTTCTATATTTATGTTTATGTTCATTTCTCAGCTTGAGATTCTCATTTCATAGGTTAATTTGGACCCTACATCTGATCATGTGATTTAGTCTGTGGGTTTTACTCTTTCTATGTGTAACTATTTCTCCACCTATAACTCCCTTATAGTTTTATATGGTGCAATATTAGGCCAACAGGGTAATTTTTCTAGTCTTTTACTCATAGAAAGAAGAATATTTGAAGGCTCCAGTATTTTTGTTTTGGGCTTACTTCTAACCTCCAGCCTCTCATTATCCAAAAGGTCACCATGGCATCATGTCTATTTAGATTTTGTGGCCCTCTTTGTTTCTAGACATCTGGGGATCCCTTGCAAGCTCTACTATGTATATACTTGTTTTGTTGTTTTTACGTTTCACCCTTCTATTCCTCGTGCAACAGGAGGATCGGTTCAGTGCACTGAGTTGACCTAAGCATCTTTTCTTAGAGAGCACTTCTCACTACTGTATATCACTTAGGTCTGCCTGCCTATAACTCAGCAAAATTGCCCACTCAAAGCACTGAGACCAGAACCAATTTAATGCCTTGATTACAACTCTGGACCTTTTGGTGAAGCAATGCTTCCCATTTTATTTAATGAGTTGTCTTGAATTCTAGGTTTATTTTGTTGAAAAACCCTAGATGTTTGATCATTTAAAAATACAAAAAACAATTTCTCACAAGGATGCCTTTTTACCTGAAGGATAAACTGGGAGGCATTTCTTTCTGCAAACCAGCTCCAGATGATCTCAGCATCTAAAGAAATTTAAAAAGTTGTTTTCCCCCTAATTTAATCAGCATTACAAGCCAGTGATGGTGTTTTCAGCAATAAATAGATCATCTCACTACTGGCCTAATGTTTTCAGAGAGTATCCTAGGTGATGCATAAATTATGAAATTGTTATGAAAACTTTGACTAGAAGGGCTTAACCCCTTTCTTATTGATGAGGTGATATCCAGGCATTTTTATTGTCCTTAAACTATAGAAATATAATTTGGGCTCTAGAAGTGTTCTGTTGTAACAAAAATGAAATAATCCAAACTTTTTCCCTCTCTTAATAAAAATTCCCCATGACCTGAAATAGTCACATTTCCCTATGGTGGAACTAGCATGAAGGTCAAGAGTTAGAACCTGAGAGATGGTGTGGGAGGGAGTGAGGCAGGTAGAGAAAGAAAGATGTGTTTAGGTCTTTTGTCTAGCTCATAGTACAGTACGGCCAGGACTAGGGTAAAGCAAATGAGATCCTTGCCCTGGGCAGGAAATGCAAAGCAAGTCTAGGAAACTTAGTAATTATTATAGTATTTTAAATTAATATTAAAAATATGTTAATTCACTTGATTCAATCATTCCATAATGTATGAATATATCAAAACATCACATTGTGCTTTATAAATGTAATACAATTATGATTTGTCAGTTAAATAGTATTAATAAAAATAAATTTAAAATTAATAAAACAATATTTTAAAAAATCAAATTGGCAAACTGTGAGCCATGGACTGTCACCTGCTTGGGTAAATAAGATTTTATAGGAACCAGGGCTGCATCATGATGAGGTAAATGAGACAGAGTTGTCCAAATGCAGGGTCAATGAGGTATAACAGTTGTCCCTTATTATCTGCTGGGGATTGGTTCCAGGACCCCCACAGACACCAAAATCCTGTGATGCTCAAAACCCTTACATAAAATGGCATAGTATTTGCACACAACCTATGCACATTCTTGTATATACTTTAAATCATCTCTAGATTACTTATAATACCTAACAGAATGTAAATTCTATGGTTAGATTGTAATTTTTATAATTTTTTTCTTGCTGTTATTGTTTTTTTCTGAATATGTTCAATGCATGGAGGGCCATCTGTAGTGTCCTTATTTAAAATTTGATATTTTGTTCATCATTGGATTTTTGCATTGCTTTTGATTTTTTAAGTCATTGCCTTAAAAATATCATTTATCTCGACTACCCCCTTAAATTTTGTGCCCAAGAGGAGTGCCTCACTTACGTCACCCTGTTCCTAGCCCTGAGATGGGAAGATATCACAGAGAAATGGTGATGTCTGAGCTGTTACAGTTGCATATACAAGCATCATAGCAACATTCTGGGATGTATGATCTTCATCAGGGTGTTTAACTCTTGGTTTTCCCACCATGAGATGGGGGCAGTAAAAGTACTTACTTTACAGGGTTATACTGAGGATTAATTGTAGACTGCTCAGCACAGTGCCCAGTACACTGGTTCAGTAAGTATCTTAGTCCATTCAGATTGCAATAACAAACTACCATATACCGGGTGGCTAATAAACAACAGAAATTTATATTCTTGTAGTTCTAGAGGCTGGAAGTCTAAGTTCAAAGCGCTGGTAGATTCAGTGTCAGGAGAGGACCCACTTCCTTGTTCATAGATAGCATCGTCTTGCTGTCTTCTTATATGCCAGAAGGGTCAAGGCAGCTTTCTAGGGCCTCTTTTATACAGGGAATAATTCCATTAATGAGGGTTCTTTCTGCATGACCAATCACCTCCCAAAGATCCTACCTCCAAATACCATCACATTGGAGATTAGGTTTCAACATATGAATTGGTGGAGTGGGGCAAACATTTAGTTTATGGCAGTGAGCATAAGTTAGTAGCAGCAATAATAGAAATGAAAGATAAGTTTTTAAAGCTCTAAGCAAAGGCAGATTGGTTAGGGCCTTGATTAAGATTTTTTTGTTATAGTAAAATATGTATAACGTAAAAGTTATTTTAATGATTTTAAAGTATACAGTTCTGTGATGTAAGTACATTCACATTTTTCTGCAGTCATCACCATCGTCCATCTCTAGAACTTCCAAAAATGTCAAACTCTATCCAGGAAGCTTTTAAAGGACCACTGGAGGTTGTGGAGCAGGAACCTGGCCTAAAGAAGCATGTGGCTAAAATGAATCTGAGAAAAGCATCTAGATGATACAGAGGAAGACAGGAGGCGGGAAACAGGAGGGTCCCACAGTGGTCTGAGTAGGAGGTGGTGGGCTTTGACTAGGAAGGTGACAAAAGAGGTAAGGAAGAAGAACAGAAAATGGAACCTCATTAGACAAGAAGGGAAGAATGGAAAGGAATCAAATGGGTGAGGTGATATTTTGAAACAGAATACAATTAACTGAAAAGTTCCATTAGGCATAGAAACAGTAGAGCTGGGGGTCAGACAGCTGCTTCTCTTGCAAAGTGGTCTGCTGCCACCGGCTCCTGCTGGCAGAGCTGATTCTTTAATTTTCAGAAATGTTATGAGCCTACTGTTAAACATTGCCATAATTAAAAATTAAATTAAACTTAAAATTAAATAAATTACATTAGAAACAAAGGTTATAACTGAATACCCATCACTCCTTAATTACTTTACTACATTTCACTATTATCTCTGCTTCTGAAGTTATTTAAATCTATCCTATCTGTATAGTAAAATACCATATAACAGCATGCTACTGCCCATATCTTCTCACTGCCACATTCATTGACATCCTTTTGGTAACCTGAAACTGGCTGAGGTGGGAGTATTTACACCAGGAAATTGGCAAGGGCCGCAAATTAGGGCTTGATTCTTTGTTGTCTATCGCAATGTTGATAATGCACTTAAAAGTGTGTTGCATCTGTAGCTATTATACTAAAACTGTATGTTAAATCAAGGTCGAATGGCTAAGAAATTATAATGAGTTCAGCAAAAAACGAAAGCAGTCTGAGAAAATCAATTGGAACTTACAGAATATTGTATATTTTGTTATTTATAACTTACATGATATATGTCCTTTTATCAGTAAAATTTGTAATAAACTTATATTTGTATAAATGCATACTGTTGGGGAGTCAATTGTTGAACATTTACTAGTACACCACTGACCATACTTTTCTCTGATAAAGAGATTTATTGTATAACATCTGTTTATATTCCTTCTGAAACTATTCCAGTCAATAGAAAAAGAGGGAATCCTCCCTAACTCATTTTATGAGGCCAGCATCATCCTGATACCAAAGCCTGGCAGAGACACAACAAAAAAAGAGAATTTTAGACCAATATCCCTGATGAACATCGATGCAAAAATCCTCAATAAAATCCTGGCAAACCGAATCCAGCAACACATCAAAAAGCTTATCCACCATGATCAAGTGGGCTTCATCCCTGGGATGCAAGGCTGGTTCAACATACACAAATCAATAAATGTAATCCAGCATATAAACAGAACCAATGACAAAAACCACATGATTATCTCAATAGATGCAGAAAAGGCCTTTGACAAAATTCAACAGCCCTTCATGCTAAAAACTCTCAATAAATTAGGTATCGATGGGACGTATCTCAAAATAATAAGAGCTATCTATGACCAACCCACAGCCAATATAATACTGAATGGGCAAAAACTGGAAACATTCCCTTTGAAAACTGTCACAAGACAGGGATGCCCTCTCTCACCACTCCTATTCAACATAGTGTTGGAAGTTGTGGCCAGGGCAATCAGGCAGAAGAAAGAAATAAAGGGTATTCATTTAGGAAAAGAGGAAGTCAAATTGTCCCTGTTTGCAGACGACATGATTGTATATCTAGAAAACCCCATTGTCTCAGCCCAAAATCTCCTTAAGCTGATAAGCAACTTCAGCAAAGTCTCAGGATACAAGATCAATGTGCAAAAATCACAATCATTCTTATACACCAATAACAGACAAACAGAGAGCCAAATCATGAGTGAACTCCCATTCACAATTGCTTCAAAGAGAATAAAATACCTAGGAATCCAACTTACAAGGGATGTGAAGGACCTCTTCAAGGAGAACTATAAACCACTGCTCAATGAAATAAAAGAGGATACAAACAAATGGAAGAACATTCCATGCTAATGGGTAGGAAGAATCAATATCGTGAAACTGGCCATACTGCCCAAGGTAATTTATAGATTCCATGCCATCCCCATCAAGCTACCAATGACTTTCCTCACAGAAATGGAAAAATCTACTTTAAAGTTCATATGGAACCAAAAAAGAGCCCACATTGCCTAGTCAATCCTAAGCCAAAAGAACAAAGCTGGGGACATCATGCTACCTGACTTCAAACTATACTACAAGGCTACAGTAACCAAAACAGCATGGTACTGGTACCAAAACAGAGATATTGACCAATGGAACAGAACAGAGCCCTCAGAAATAATGCCACACGTCTACAACTATCTGGTCTTTGACAAACCTTACAAAAACCAGCAATGGGGAAAGGATTCCCTATTTAATAAATGGTGCTGGGAAAACTGGCTAGCCATATGTAGAAAGCTGAAACTGGATCCCTTCCTTACACCTTACGCAAAAATTAATTCAAGATGGAGTAAAGACTTAAATGTTAGACCTGGAACCATAAAAACCCTAGAAGAAAACCTAGGCAATACCATTCAGGACATAGGCATGGGCAAGGACTTCATGTCTAAAACACCAAAAGCAATGGCAACAAAAGCCAAAATTGACAAATGGGATCTAATTAAACTAAAGAGCTTCTGCACAGCAAAATAAACTACCATCAGAGTGAACAGGCAACCTACATAGTGGGAGAAAATTTTTGCAATCTACTTATCTGACAAAGGGCTAATATCCAGAATCTACAAAGAACCCAAACAAATTTACAAGAAAAAACAACCCCATCAACAAGTGGGTGAAGGATATGAACAGACACTTCTCAAAAGAAGACATTTATGCAGTCAACAGACACATGAAAAAATGCTCATCATCACTGGCCATCAGAGAAATGCAAATCAAAACCACAATGAGATACCATCTCACACCAGTTAGAATGGTGATTATTAAAAAGTCAGGAAACAACAGGTGCTGGAGAGGATGTGGAGAAATAGGAACACTTTTACAGTGTTAGTGGGACTGTAAACTAGTTGAACCATTGTGGAAGTCAGTGTGGCGATTCCTCAGGGATCTAGAACTAGAAATATCATTTGACCCAGCCATCCCATTACTGGGTATATACCCAAAGGATTATAAATCATGCTGCTATAAAGACACATGCACACGCATGTTTATTGCAGCACTATTCACAATAGCAAAGACTTGGAGCCAAGCCAAATGTCCAACAATGATAGACTGGATTAAGAAAATGTGGCACATATGCACCATGGAATACTCTGCAGCCGTAAAAAATGATGAGTTTATGTCCTTTGTAGGGACATGGATGAAGCTGGAAAGTATCATTCTCAGCAACTATCGCAAGGACAAAAAACCAAACACTGCATGTTCTCTCTCATAGGTGGGAATTGAACAATGAGAACACTTGGACACAGGAATGGAAACATCACACACTGGGGCCTGTTGTGGGGTGGGGGGAGGGGGAGGGATAGCATTAGGAGATATACCTAATGTAAATGATGAGTTAATGGGTGCAGCACACCAACATGGCACATGTATACATATGTAACAAACCTGCACGTTGTGCACATATACCCTAAAACTTAAAGTATAATAAAAACAAACAAACATGTGTTTATTATTATATCCACCTTAAAGCTGTCTTTGCAAAAGACAAATTGACTCGTTCCCTGGTCAAAATGAAAAACTGGACACCTCCTCTACCTAATAAACACTGTAATGGTTTTTCTGTAGGCAAACCACAGCAATTGATTGAAATTGACAGAAAAATGATTATTTTTCACTGTAATCGCTAGCCTTAGTTAACATCTTTTGAGCACCGCTATGTACCAGGCACTATGCAATGTGTTTTATTCATATTTCAATCCTCGCTCCCCTATGCAAAGTAGGTCCTCATGTTATCCCCATTTTATAGATGGAAATATCAAGGTTGTATAATTAGTAAGTGGTAAGGTGGGGATTTGAAGGCGACCTTTCTGATTCTTTCTGATCTCTTCATTGTGATACATTCTCTACTATGTTGTCTCCAACTGTTTATATGGAGGTAAAATCTTCACTTCAAAAAACATCATATATTCCAGGCAATAGTTATTGATCAACTACTACATTCACTGTGCTGTGCTGGGTAATCACAGGAAATTTCTCAGGACAGTCACCTGAGAAGTATACAAAGTGGCCTCTGACTCCCAGGAATCCATTCTGTTTACAAGGGTGCTTATATAATCAAGTGTCCATGTGTCATCACTAGCAAGTCCACTTCCACAGTTGGAAGACTGACTTCCCAAACAAGCTGCACTCAGCTGATCCTGGTTGGCTTCACTTGCTCCAAGGCCCAGACCCTCTTTTCTCAAGTGTCTTATACTCATCCCCTAAATCTCCCTTGAAGAATTCATGTGCTTCTCCTCCCACTCAGTGCTTTCTAAGGAAGTTAAATGATGATGCAGAAATCAAGCAGCAGGTACCTCCAGCCAGGAGGTCCTTACTGGTTGCACAATTACGTTTAGTTACAGAACCTTTGAGGAGTCTCCTATCAAAATTTTGTGTTGCTGTGTGTGCTGTCAGCTGATTCACCTGAGATAGGTCCAAAATGAGAAATTTCAAGGGCTGTTGAGCACTGTTGTTTTCCAAGCTGATTAGTACAAAAGCATTCAACATTGGAGTCCTGGAATCCTAGATACATTGGAAGAAATTTTTCAGCACTGGATGGTCCTAAAACTTCCCCTTACCCCAAAATTCCAAGGCAAGTCCAAATTCACAAATACCTCACGAACAAATGGCAGAAACTGGGAGGTGGTCCAAGGATTCTGGTTCTCTCTCCCTATTTTCTCTTTCTTCCTGTCTCCACCTACCAAGATAACTTCCTTGCTTCTGCTTCAAACTAGGCCACTAATTACGAGAGAAGTCAGAAATAGTGTTGATATATGTCTGTGATGTAAACAGAAGCTCAGATGAAGCAAGACAGGAAGGTATGCTAAAGATAGAAAAGAGATCCTTCTGTTCATCAGTGGCTGAAAAATAAAGATTCTAGAACATGAAAAAAACATAAATAAGCCAAATAGAAATAAACATGTATGTATGTGTGTGTAACTAAGCAAGTACACTTATAATAGCATTAATTCCTTTTGTCTCCAGAGAAAAAGAGGGAGGGACATTTGCAAACAGGAGTGCCCACTATTTAAATGTCCATGTGGTTGTTTGGAATCATGTAAATATAGGCTGATGCTTGTCTTTGAGTGGTCTATAGCCTACATTTCCAAAAATGGGAAGTAAGTTCTGTTTATGCAAAGTCGTAAGATCACCAAACATGATTGTTTTCCCATTCACCAACATCTTTGTGCCAGGCATGGAGTAAGTGCTCTGAGTACATGATCCCACTCACTCTCCCCATCAACACCTTTAGGAATGTGGTGATCATTTTACATTACAGGATGCTAACGGTGAGATAGCTCAAGTTGTTTGCCCAATGTTATGTACCTGGCACAAGGCAAGGCTGGGATTTGAGCCCAGGTCTGTCTAATTCTGGGCCCTGGGCACTTAGCCTTTCTGCAAGGGCTGAGAAAAGGGCCTGGAGACCACACAGACCTGGATTCAAATTCAAAGCCCCCTCTGTTGCCTCCTATATTACTGTAGTGTAGTGGTGGTGGTAGTTTACTTTCCCTTCTTGAGCCTCACTTTCCTTCACTGAAATAGAAGCAACCTTGTAGTGTATTGTGACAATGGGAAAGAATGTGAGCAAGGAGCTTAAAACAAGACTTGGGCTGGGCTCAGTGGCTCACTTCTGTAATCCCAGCACTTTGGGAGGCTGAGGTGGGCAGATCACGAGGTCAGGAGTTCGAGACCAGCCTGGACAACATGGTGAAACACCGTCTCTACTAAAAATACAAAAATTAGCAGGGCATGGTGGCACATGCCTGTAGTCCTAGCTACTCAGGAGGGTGAAGCAGGAGAATCACTTGAACCCAGGAGGCGGAGGTTGCAGTGAGCCAAGATCATGCCATTGCACTCCGGCCTGCATGACAGACTGAGACTCTGTCTCAAAAACAAACAAAGAAGACCTGGCAGATAGCTAACATTCGGTAACTAGCAATTGTGATTCGTGTAACTAATTCTGCTGTGAAATGGTGCCTGATCTTCAATAGGCAAACTTTACACATAAGTAAAGAGAGAGTTATTTTAAAAAACCCAATTCATCTGACATCCATTTGTTTATTCGTTTGTTTAGCCATTCAACAAATATTCATTAAGCATCCACCCTGGCATGAGTTGTTTTCCTTGGTGCTTTATGTGTTGCTTAAAAAAATAAGACGACAATCACCTGAAAACCACACCATGCAGTAGGTGTGATGTCTGAGCCTTCACCATCTCAACTTCTCACACCTTCTTTTGTATTTCAGGCACTGGGCTAGGCTCAAGGATGGACTGAAGGCACTTCCTGCCATGTCAGGGATGAGGGGCTCATGGTCTGGCCAGAGGCAGCAGGCAGCATTGCAAGGAGTGTGGGCAGAATGTTCGAAGGAGAGGGAGAGATTGCACATACACAAGACTGCACCTCGGAGATAACTTTTGAAGGTGTTTCGGGTGTGAGAGGAGGCGTGACAGGCCTAGGGAGCAGTGAGAAACCCAGCTTAGTTGAAGCATCAGGTGCAAGGCAGCTTGGGGGTGGAGTGTCCATTTACCCTTTGGAATACAGTCTTCCTGTTGGCATGGCAACTGCTGCAAAATAAATTCAAGGTGGTACTTCAAATGATGCCTCTGAGACTGTCCAGGAGTCATTTAAATTGCTTGTTTGTTATGTATGACAATTTGCCTAACCTCCAACCTGCAATTGTAGCTTGGCAATCTTTTGTTTATTGTGCTGATGTGCTTTCTTGCATCATCGTCTTCCTTAAACCTCTTTTTTGGTTTGTTTTTATTTTGCCCATCTAGAAAATATACGCAGGCATTGTGTTGATTTTCCCAGGCTCCCTTGAGATCGTGCAGGCCTTCCATCTCTTCATCTGATGAAAATGCTGCCAGGGTGATGTTTACAATCTCATTTTTCACCCCAGGATCCCTGCACTCAGCTGTGGTGGGAATCACAGTGTGCTCAGCCAGCCGTGTCCCTTCTTCCCATGGAATTTTTGGAATTTGGGCTGCTCATAGGGGCACAGAAGCACCAGCTACATTGCTCCTTCTATGCTGGGGAATGACAGAGTCAGTGCTCACACTATGAATGTCTCCCAGATGTACACAGCTGCCCTACAGGCCGACACCACATGCTTGCCATCCCTGACTGACTCTAAGTACAGAATAAAAAAGAATTCATGAAAAAACAAATAAATAACTTAGGGTGCCTTTTCCCATCTGAGATTCTAAAGCAAACAAAAGTCCTGGCTTCTTAGGTCAGTGGTAGATTTGCCAAAGCAAAATAAATGTCTGAATCTCCTCTGGTTCCTGTTTCTCCTAAGCATGTGTGTGTGTGTGTGTGTGTGTGTGTGTGTGTGTGTGTGTGTGTGTAAGGAAGACAGAGACAGACAGATGGGGGCTGGGGAGGCTGGATGGAGGGAATGTGGCTTCAGCTTGTGCCAGGAGAGTTTATCTGTCTTCCCTTCTAGGGAAACTGAATATAAAATCCTTAGGCATAAAAAGAATCTTTCATATGTAGACTCCTTGGGAATTCAATTCACACTCTTCTGTACTTTCTTTCTCACTGTTTCTTTTGAACTTGACGGAAAAAATTTCTTATGCTGTTCACTTACCTTGCTCTCAGATAAAGAAGAGAGAGAGAGCTAAGGTGCTTAAATGTCAAGGTTTGTAAAATTGGCAAACTGGCCCCATGAGGTTTGTGGTTTGAATGATGGGTCTCCATCAGGTTTGGTGACAATGATAGTGAAGGAGTCTAAGCTGGTAATGTAGCAGATGCTTTTTTGGCCCTTCCTCTGTTTCAGTCACTGTTCTGAGATCTATGTGTGCATTAATTCATTTAATCATCCCAATGACCTTAGGAGGTAATGGTGTTATGATTGATGCTATTGTTAAATTACCTTACTTTTTTGCAGATGAGGAAACTAATGTCTGAGAGGTAAGTGTTGTGCCCGAGTTCTCATGGCTAAGAAGCACAAGAGCTTAAATTTGAATCCCTGCAGTTCGACTATAGACTGTGGTTCTCAACCAAGGGCAATTTGTTCCCCCACCCTACAAGACATTTGGCCATGTCTGGAGAGATTTTAAATTGTCATGACTTGGAGGGGTACTGCTACTGGCTTCTAGTGGGTAGAGGTGAGGGATGCTGCTCGATCGTGAGCCCCGTAATCAAGAATTATCAACCCAAAATGTGACGATTGCCAAGTCTGAGAAGCCCTGCTCTGCAGACAATATGTCTCAGAGTTCTGGTGCTGATCAGACAGCACGTTTCTGGGGCTCAATATAGGCGAGCCAGAGATAATGCCCACAGAAAAGGGAATTGTAATTAGGAGAGGATGATCTTTGGCAGTATGCATTTGTGAGCAGACACTCCTGAAAGGACAGGGCTGAGGGTACCTTATGGTTCTGTTTCTCCCTTAGGATGGCAGCATCTGATAACCAGATACAAAACCTGAGAGGAAATTTTTAAGCTGTGACTAGTCTGATTCCCAGCTGGCCAGCTGAGCCACCCTACTTCTGTGTTTTCTGGTGCAAAGAACAAGGTTCTACCGAGTGACCTTAGACTTGGCTTCTGGATAAAATTGTCAGAGAGCTCCTAGCATTTTGCCTGAGCCATCACAGGGAACCTGGGTTTGGAATCTCAACCACTCATGGCAAAGTTATTTTCATTCCCCTTGCTCTCACCTGCCCCCATGGGAATCTTCCATAGGAGAAATGTTCTAATTGGGCTCATTAGAAAATATAGTTCATGATTTTGTAAGAATCAACCGTAAAAGAAGGGTGACCTTTGAAATCCTTTGCTGGCTCATTTAAAATGCATTGAAGAGGGGAATTTCTTTTGAGCATCATCAATGCAGTTTGGTTTTAAAGTGTTCCAGGAGTCAGGCCCTCTCTCTGGGCTCCCCAGGGACTTACTCCTGCTGACCCAGAAGAGGTTAGCTTTACCATCCCCTCCCAGTTTACTACATTCCACCTAAACTTCCACTGTACTTTTGGAGAATTGCAGTCATGAGACCAGCAGTCTTGGCATCACTTGGGAATTTGCTGTTTATCTCAGGTTGTAACTCAGATCTCCTGAATCAGAATCTGTATTTTAACAAGATTCCCAAGTTATTCATATAAACTAATCTATAAAGTTTTGTTTTTTACTCTAAAAGTTGTTCTCTAGGAACTGTGAGTCCAAGTGGATGGCAGATTTCCTCTCTCAGTCTGATTCTGAATTTTTAGAATGTGGACATTCTGTTAGCTGAGCTCCAAGGCACTGTTGCAGCTCAAAAATGTTGTGATGGCCCAGACTTCTGTAGCCAAAGAGTTCCCAAACAGTCCTACCAATACACCTAGGCAGAGATGTTTGAGCTGCTCTACCAATGATATTTCATACACTCTCAGTTGACCATCAGGCTCTTTGCCTGACCTGTCCCACTGAGAAAGAAGATTTCCTGTTAACCGCCACTCTATTTTGGCTGTGACAGGTTGTCACTTATTTGATCTGACTTCTTCCATCAATCAGCAGTTTCTCAGTCCAGTTGCCATGTCTCTCAGGGCATGTGAGTTAATCTACTTCTCGGTCCTCTACTTTTATTGGGACTGACATCATCTCAATATACTCTTAAAAGTGATCCCAAGTTTCTAGGTTGAGGCCCAGCTTCAAAAACCTCATTCCAGGGTTCATGAATGCCTGGATCTATTCATCTGAATGTTTGCACAAGTTTTAAGATCACCATAGTGTGAGGTTTATTCCCCTAACCTCTCTATTTAGCTAGAAGGCAGTAGGCTGTGCCTGTACCCACCAAGCAGGTGGCATTGTCATACAGACCTCAACCAGAAAGGGCTGGTGCCCTGGTTGATGATGGGCTCATCAAAGAGGTGTAAAGTTTCAGAATGAAGGGGGTTACAAAAGCAAATGTCAACAGAGGCCATAAGCAATGGGGCTGGGGCCTATTGACACAGGACCTGGGAGACTGCTGTGACCACAGGTGAGGGTGGGAGGACAGCAGATGCAGATTCCAGATGGTTTTTCCCAGGAATAAGGGCATGCCCAGGGCCTTTACATGATCGGATCTTTTTCAAAGGGAGTCTGAAATCTGGCTTATGACATCTTCCTGTCTTTAAAATATTGGTGATAATTCAATTTTCTTTCTTAAACACACTAAGCAGGCAAAAAGAAAAACATCTGCAGGGTGGAGATGCTCGGGTAGGGACAAATCAGTCCTCATGTCTTGATTGAGCCTCTTCCAGAGCTCCAGCACCTTGTGTTTTTCAAAGTTCAGTTTCTGGATCTGCAGTGGCAGAATTGTACAGAATGACCATATGCCATTCCTAGTCCCTGCCCAGGACAGCCAGAACCCAAATTCTGTAGATGATTCCTGGGAATTTGTCCTTCATTGTGCTTCTGAGGGTGCAGAAGTGTGATTGTTATAAAGCCAGGTGATACGCAAAATACCAAGAGATGTAAAAGCATAACCTCACCTTAGGGCCCGAGAATCTACTAAAGAAAATATGATTATTATATATGAAGTGGTACATTTAAAAACCAGCATGATGAGAGTACGTGTGTAGAATCTGGCCCAGGACTGGGGATCACTCAGATCAGTTGCCTTAAGCACTAGGCAATGACCAGTTTCCTTGGAATTTTGAAGGGGGCTGACCTTTAGTTTGGAGGTCAGCCTTCAAGGACTAGTCTTGAGCTAATTGAATTTCTAAGCACAGGCATATAGATGTGGTTTGAATACTCAAATACCTCAGGTGGCAGGCAGATACATGAGGGAGGGAAGCAGGCCAATGTGAGATGGAGTAAGACGTGGAGTAGGCTGTGGAAAATTGGAACGTTCCTGGCCCTGCTAGAAGGGGCAACTAATTCTCCAGAGAAAAATAATTACTAGAGACCTAAACTAGGTATATTAAACAAAATACAGCTGTGAACTGCTAATTGACAACTATTTAGATTAATTTTATTAGAGGCTCAGAGATAGAGAGCTACATCTGCTTTTGACTTTGCTGCTATTTGAACAGGTCACTTCCACCTTGCAGGTTCTTAGATTCTTCATATGTCAAATGAAAAAATGGCCCAGATGCACAAAAGCTCTAGCACTCTTGTTCTTTCTGTCCTGCAGGGCACTTGTGTTAGATAGTAGTCCTCCCACTGAGCTTTGGCCAGTAAAGAGCACCAATAACAACAGTAGAATAATGACCAGTGTTCACAGAGTTGTTGCAGTGTGCAAGACATTGGGGTGGGTGGTTTTTCTTCTAGAAAATAAGAGCAAGAGAGGAAGACAGGCAGGCAAGAACAAGCATGGTATGTGCACAGACAAAAGGAAGCCAGAGAAATAGAGCTGAGTTTCTCTTTGGTTAATGCTCAATAAAAGTCAATTGTTTTTTTCTAATGATTATTTAATCTTGCAGTAAATGGGCAAAAGTCATTCATATGTTCATTAAACACATTTATTGAATACGTATTATATGCTAGTGATTGGTAACTGTTAACTTGTCTCAGACCAATACCCATAGGCAGACCTTCCAAAAAGAGGATTGGCCTCTGTGTTTTCTGTTGCTATAATAGAATACCAAAAACTGGGTAATTTAAAAACAATGGATTTTTTTTTTTGGCTCATGATTCTGGAGACTGGGAAGTTCAAGATCAAGGGGTTGCATCTGGTGAGGCCCTTCTTGCTGCATCATATCATGTTGGAAGAGCAAAGAGAGGATGAGAGGCCAAGGGGAACCAAATGCATCCTTTTATAAGGAGCCTGCTTCAGCAGTAACTAACCCACTCCTGTAATAACTAATCTACTCCAGCAATAACTAACCCAACTAACCCACTGCAGCAACAACTAACTGACTCCTGCAATAATGGTATTAATCCATTTATGAGAGCGGAGCCCTCATACCTAATCACCACTTAAAAGTCTGACCTCTCAACATTGAGGCTTTGGGGATTAAGTTTCCAACATGTAAAATTTGGGGAACACATTCAAATCACAGCAGCTGCCAGTACTCTGTAGAAACTGGCCACTGCCGAGTGCTTTAAGAAGCAATCCTGGGGCCAGGTGCGGTGGCTCACGCCTGTAATCCCAGCACTTTGGGAAGCCAAGGCGGGCTGATCACAAGGTCAGAAGATAGAGACCATCCTGGCTAACATGGCTAACACGGTGAAACCCCGTCTCTACTAAAAATACAAAAAATTAGCCGGGCATGGTGGCGGGTGCCTGTAGTCCCAGCTACTTGGGAGGCTGAGGCAGGAGAATGGCATGAACCCTGGAGGCAGAGCTTGCAGTGAGCCGAGATCACGCCACTGCACTCCAGCCTGGGCGACAGAGAGAGACTCTGTTAAAAAAAAAAAAAAAAAAAAAAAAAAAAGCAATCCTGCTGCATTCCAAGTCTTGGATAGCAACCCTTGCTGCCACTGCCACCACCATTGCCACCCATTATGCCAGGTAAGAGATGGTTTCTTCTTCAAGCAGGAACTATGAAGTGACAAATTCGGTCTCAAGCTTTTCTTATTATAGATCCACAACTGTAAGGCTTGAAATTAAGCTTCCAGATCAGGGAAGGAGCTATAAACCCTGAGCCAGTTTTAGGGATTGGCACTGAGACTCCAACTTACCATATTGCTACTGTATTCTGGCCCCAGGTTATGCCAGGGGAGGGGTGAGTGCTTCCCTAACTATTTGGCTTTAAATGAAAAAACTAATTTTTTTTTCTCTCTCCATTTTCACACGTTTCTCAGCACAACACTTCTGATATCACATGTGTGTTTTGCAGGGGGCTTGGGGAGCAGGTTCCCACACACCAGGTAGTTATCCAGTAGACACCAACTATGTGTCCTATAACTCAATTCTGACATTTTCTACTGGGAGATATCATCAGATTCCACAGATTATGGGCTCAGTCCCACAAGACTGTCCCCCACTTCAGATGCCAATAGCAAGTACTAGGTTGTCACCTAAACTTCTGATTGACCAGCTATAAATCAGGGGTTCTCATGACACCCTCCTTCGGTTCATTTAATTTGTTGGGATGGCTTAGTGAACTCAGGGAAACACTTTACTTGGGTTTACTGGCTTATAATTAATGACAGAGTAAAGGATATAGATATGAATAGCCAGATTGAGGGGATATATAGGGCAAAGTATATGGGAAGGGGCCTGGAGCTTCCATACCCACTCTGGATAAGCTGCTCTCCAGGAACTTCCACATGCTCAGCTTTCTGTAAGCTCCCTGTTCTTTTGGGTTTCATGGAGACTTTGTTAAGTAGGCATGATTGATCAAACCACTGGCTATTGGTGATCAACTCAACTTTCAATCCTTTCCCCTCCCCAGATGTCAGGGTTTGGGGCTGAAAATTCCAACCCCTTAATAAACATGGTTGGTTTCCCTAGCAACCAACCCCAATCCTGAGGCTATCCAGGAGCCAACCGAGAGTCACCTCATCAGAACAAAAGATGCTCCTATAACCCAGAAAATTCTAAGGGATTTAGGGGCTCTGTGTTAGATGCTTCCTATCACTCTGAAAATTACAAAGGTGGTCTTAGGATCTCTGCATCAGGAACTGGGGTCAAAGACCCAATACCAGAACAAAAGATTCTCCTGGTATCTCTATATATGAAGGTCTTAGGAGCTGTGTCTTTGGAACTGGGTCAGGAATCAAATACATATTTCTTACTATATCACAAGACCACAGCAGCTTAAAAGCCACATAGCCTGTAAGTCAGGGTCCTCCTACCGGGGTCTGAGCTCTAAATTGCTGTGGCTCTGAGTGCTGCTCCAGAATGCAATGGGCAATGAGTATCTACGTACCTGTTTCTGCTCCCCTGTCCATGAATTTTCCCCAGTGAACACTGCTCAAGCCAGCCTTGTGTATCTGACGTTGACCATCTTGCTTGCATGACTGCCAGGAGCTGGAACCGCAACAGAGAACAAGTCAAAGTCCCTGCCCACCTGAGGTTTACATTCCAGTGGAGAGACTGAAAATACACAAGTGAGCAAAGAAACATGCAGCAGACTGCAGGTGATTGTAGGGTATGAGAGAGACTGATGAAGGCTGGGAGGAAGAGGCTTTCTAAATACCATGGCCAGGAGAGACCTCCTTGCTGAGGGGGTAAATGAGAGCAGAATGCATTTAGGGATGCAAGCCACAGGCACTATGGAGGAAGAGGAATACCGGAGGAGGGGAACAGTGCCTGCAGATATGTGAGAGGCTATCTGTGTGCAGCATATGATGTGTGGTTTCCAACTGGAAATGAGGACTGTGGGTTATTTCTTCATTTCTCAAATACTTTGAACAATTATTGTGTGCAAGGTGCTGGAAACACAGCTATGATAACCCACAGGCCCTGCCCTCAAGGAGGTTACCCTCTAGGTAGGAGTTGATGTATATGTGGGGAGTAGAGGAGTGAGGTAAAGAACTGAAGAGGCAATGACACTGCAAAGTGACCAGTGCTGAGATGGGATAGAGAGGATTGTGGGAACAGGGGATAGCAGGGAGGAGCCACTGAGGAGGCGGGAGCTGCCAGACAGCTTAATTTATCTCGCTCATGATCAGTATAGCTTCAACAAACAGCAATGTTTTTACTGTTTATTTTTAGTTTATCATAAAGCTAAACATGTTTTTTTTAAGTTCATGTCCATCCTACATTTGAGGCTTTCAGTTAGCCTTTATTTTTAGATTAAGATGTTATAGTTGATGGTTCTAGTACCTTTCATATGCAAAACAAAATGCTCAATATGAGAGGGAGGGAACTTTTTAATTTTGTGAGACTGAAATTTGAATATCCAAGAGCCACTGCTCCAGCCAAATGTCCTGCCAATTCTGTCCTTATCAAAGGAAGCTTATATTTATTGAGCACTTACTACATACAAGACACTTGTCTAAGTACTTCCATGTGCTTTGTGGATCTTCAAGCTAACCCTGTGAAGAAGGGTAGATTATCATCCCCATTTTATAGATGAGGAAAATGAGGCACAGAGAGGTAAGGAAACTTGCCCGTGGTTATGCAACTAGTAAGTGTCAGAGCTGGGATTTGATAGGGAAATTCCAGAACTCATGTTCTTATCTTCCTCTTCCCCACAAAAAAAACAACCAGCAACTTTTGGAATATTAGAAGTCAAAGCTTTGATTATCATCTATAGCTCTTTTTCTTTCTCCCCTCCCCAGTACTGGCTTTGGAAACTCTTGGATAAAAATTACCCTAGAACCGAAGAGAAGAAGGAACCCATAGATAGGCAAAGATTCTTGGACATTCCCCTGAGAAATAAAAATGCTTTGCCAGCGAGCTCACTGTGCATATTTGCTGCTCCACGGATGCGTCCCAGTTGGGCCAACTTCTGTTCTTGGCTGTTTGAATATATCCTGGCAGCTCAGAGGTGTAATTTCTCCAAATGCCGCATTCCTGCTGAGCCCATGGGATGAATTGTGCAATTTCGGGTGAGCACTTTTTTAAACTCTAGCAGTGCTTGTAGTTTCCTTCCTCCTACTTTCTCTGCAGGCTCCACATGGAAGATTGAGGGCTGAGTGGTTGCTGGGGCCAGGGGTACAGAAGGTGGAGTGCTGGGATGAAGAGACGGAGAAAGGCAGGAGAGGGAGAGGAGGGTGGCAGCATCAGCTGCCCAGGCAAATGCCAGAGCCCCACTTTGAGAATTGAGATCATCTTTAATTTCCTGGAGTGTTCATTCATTCATGCATCCACTTGTAAAAATATTTTTGCATTATTTGCTTTATGCCAGATACAATTTGGGAGTGGGAAACAGAAATACAGGGACAGGTGGAATCTCAGCTGTTAGGAAGGCAAGTCTATCTTATGATGAGCATACATAATGGGGGACAGGGTTAAAACAATCAAGGAGACCAGGGACATCTTCTTGGGGGGCACACTGAATTGAGCAGAAGTATGAAGGCAGAAAGGGGTTAATTCAGTACAGAGGAGAGGAAAGAGTGTCCGAGGCCGGGGGCGGGGAGGCGGGCAGCCTATGAAAAGTTTCTGGGACAGGCAGGAGGGTACCTGAATATATGAAGAATTCAAAAGCAACCAATCTCCTCCCCACTCCATTTATGAGTGCTGACTGTGTGCTGGCCCAGGCTTTGGACTTTATAACATCATGATAAAGCTTGCCGGGATTTCAGATTTTCAAACAAACAAACAAAAAAACATTTTAAGAAGCTAAATAATTTTTCCACAGCCACATAAGTAATGCATAGTGGCATGGAAATTCAAGTCCAGGTTTGTGTGATTCCAAAGAAGGGCTTCTTGACCACCACTTTATATTGTTTTCCTAGAAATCTCTCATCATTTGCAGAGACCTATGTACCCTATGCATACTTCTGTCCTGGTTCTAACATTGAAAATGTGAGTAGATTGATTTCCTATAGAATAAATAGAAAGTAAAGATAAAAAATAAAGTCACAATATCTAAAACTGTGGAAGTGATGCAGTTGTCCATTGAGGAATAATTGGATAAATTGTGGTGTACACATACAATGGAATATTATTCTGCCTTAAAAAAAATTCTGACACAGGCTACAACATGGATGAACTTTGAGGACATTATGCTGAGTGTAATAAACCAGTCACAGAAAAGATAGTTTATGATTCCCTTTATATGATAAATCTAGAATAGACAAATTCATTAAAAGCAGGTGGTTTCCAGGGCTTGCAGGGAGGTGAAGACAGGGAGTTATCTAATGGGTTTAGAGTTTTAGTTTTGCAAGATGAAAGGAGTTCTGGAGATTGGGAGCACAATAATGTGAAAGTGCTGTCACAAACTACATAATAGTGTTGCAGTCAGCAACGAACTGCATATACAAAGGTGATCTCATAAGACTATAATACCATATACCTTTTCTATATTTAGATATGCCGAGATACACAAATGCCGTTGTGTTACAGTTGCCTACAGTATTCAGTATAGCAACATGCTGTAGAGGTTTGTAGCCTAGGAGCAGTAGACCATCCCATCTAGCATAGGTGTGTTGTAGGCTATACCATCTAGACTTGTGTAAGTGCACTCTGATGTTCCCACAATGATGATATCCCATAACAACACATTTCTCAGAATATATTCCCATGTTATGACACATGACTGGACTTAAGATTGCTGAACTCTGCATTTCAAAATGGTTAATACGATGGGCCAGGTGCAGTGGCTCACACTTGTAATCCCAGCACTTTGGGAAGTCGAGGCAGGTGGATCACTTGAAGCCAGGAGTTCGAGACCAGCCTGGCCAAAACATGGTGAAACCGTATCTCTGCTAAAAATACAAAAATTAGCTGGGCATAGTGGCACACGCCTGTAGTCCCAGCTACTCAGGAGGCTGAGGCAGGAAAATCACTTGAACCCAGGGAGTGGAGGTTTCAGTGAGCCAAGATCGTGCCACTGAACTCCAGCCTGGGTGACAGAGTGAGACCCTGTCTCCAAAAAAACAAAAACAAAAACAAGCTAATATGCTGCGTGTCATGTGTATTTTGTAAGTAAAAATGTTTAAGGAAAAAAAGGAAGAAAAGAAATTTTTTAATCATGCATAATTTCATCTGGAAATAACCACTGTTTAAAAAATCAGCATGTAAAAACTTTTAGACATGTTCTATGTAAATGACACATGGGAATCTTTATATGTTTGCACATAATCGGATCACATGATACATACTTCGGTAGCCCATTTATTTTCCCTTAGTATGTCAGAAACTTATTTCTAGGTGAGTAAATACACATTCACATTATTATTAAAGACAATATAGTAGTTCCCATCAATCAATATCCAGGACGTGCACCATGGTTCACAATTATAAACATCATCATAATCAACACACTTAGGCTCAGTACCCTCATCTGATTATTACCTTGGGATGCAGCCCCAAATTGGAATTGCTCTGTTGATTTTTGCATTTGTGAGCCCCTTAATACTCCCATCAAATGGCCCTTTTTAAAAAGTTGTACCACATTATATTATTTCTAAGAGTTGTCCTTCTGCCTGGACCTTTACCCTTTTGTGTTTGATGTCAGCTTTACAATGTATCAGTGGTATGATCTTGGGCAAAGGGGCCTCATTTGTCCCAGATGAATATGGTGCCTATTCCACAGGCTGAGGAAGGAGTAAATGATGGAATCCTCATACAGGGCTGACAGCATACAGCAGGTGCTCAGTATGCCTTCACTATGCTGTCATTACCTTCTCCTCATTCTCCAGGAATAAGAGCTCCTCAAGAGCAGGAATACCACACCCAGCTCTGGTGCAGCCTGGTATCTGTTGAACCAGTGTGAGCAGATCAGAACAGAGCGAGTGATGTGTGAGTGTTTGTAGAAAGCCTTAGAAAGAGAACTAAGAGAAAAGCTTATTTCCTGGATCCAAGGGAAATGGAAATAAGCAGCATACTGTGAGGACAAATGGACACCTCTGCCTTTCTTGCTTTTACTTCCAGGTGTGTAAGCCTTTCAGTCCTGCTTTTAAATAATTTTTCATTTGCAACAAAAGGTTCCTGGCTGGGCAGGCTGGCAAGCATCCCCAAGCGGGCACAGAGGGTTCATTATTCCCAACTCCCTTATGGAGCCAGCCAGCCTGTGTCACTGCAATAGTGGGACTTTTCTGATCAATCTGAAATAAGGAGCAGGCCCAGCATGGCCATTCATGGGCAAACCCTTTTCCTCTGATAATGAAAGTCAGGATCTGAGCAGACCTGCAGTGTGAGTCCATCTGGGAAAGGCAGCTGGTGGGGTTCACGAGGATCCAGCCAGCTCTTCTAAGGGGCTTTCGCCAGATGCTCTGAGGATCACGCTGCAGGTGGGGTTGGGGATGTGTGGTGCCTTTTAGTCATCTCTCTCTCTCGAAAGATATTTGATTTCATGGAGCTTCTTTTCATCCAGAAATCATCCTGAGTTACTGACTCTGAGATACAGACTTGGCAATGGCAGTCAGAAAGGGACTCATCTGTGCTCATTTAATGGGATTTTTTGTTCTACAGAGATCCAGAAACTTCCAGAGGCAGCGATGGTAGGAGGCAGGTTAGGGCTTGAAGAATTTGGGAGGTCAGTACTTTTCAGAAGTTCTAACATTTGATGAATGGGGATACTGAGGTCCAGAGAGAAGGAGCTTGGTGAAGGACAGATGATAATCAGCCTGGATTTTAAGTCTCTCCCTCCCTCCCTTCTTTCCTTCCCTCCTTTCCTTTCTAACTAGCATTTTGGCTCTCTTTGCATGTCAGGCATTGTGCCAGATGCTTTCCTCCATTAGTCCTTCCAACCACCTGTGCAGTAGGTTTTATTATTAGTTCCCTTTCACAGATGAGGAATGTGAGGCGCAGAGAAGCAAAATTACATGCCCAAGATCTCACAACTAATACACTGTAAAATCATTTCCTTTCTCTCCCTAGAGGTTCTATAGCCTTGATGGCAGGGGAGCAGGTTCTTATTCTCATGAAGAATCCTGAGGAAACAATCCTCTACAAGAAAGCAAAGTCAGCAGCCAGTCAGCCTGGGCACAGCAGTGCCAAGCTCAGGTCAGGAGGTCCTGCTTCATGGGCATCAGCCAGCCGTGGGCAGACCAGCTTGGCTACATAGCACAGTCCTCCTTGCAGCCCCAGCAGGAGTCTAACATATAATTATTGAAGGGCTCATGGGAACCCACAGAGCAGGGAGCAGAGCATGGGATTGAGACCAGGGTCTCTGGAATCAAATCAAATCCCAGCTGAGCCACTCTGGAGCAATATCTTGGCATATGTTTTATAATATCTCTGAATTTCATTTTCTTTATCTCCCAAGGAGAATCATAACAGAACTTAGCTCATAGGTTCATGAGAGAATTTAAATAAAGTGATCAGTACAAAATAACACGCATGGTGGACCTAGAAAGGATTCTACAAGGCCGAGCGCAGTGGCTCACGCCTGTAATCCCAGCACTTTGGGAGGCCGAGGCGGGTGGATCATGGGGTCAAGAAAGCGAGACCATCCTAGCTAACACGGTGAAACCCCATCTCTACCAAAAATGACAAAAAATTAGCCAGGTGTGGTGGTGGGCACCTGTAGTCCCAGCTACTCAGGAGGCTGAGGCAGGAGAATGGTGTGAACCTGGGAGGCGGAGCTTGCAGTCAGCCGAGATCATGCCACTGTACTCCAGCCTGGGGGACAGAGCGAGACTCCATCTCAAAAAAAAAAAAAAAAAAAAAAAAAAAAAAAAAAAAAAGGATTCTACAAATAGTAGAATCCTTCTAATAGTATCATCATTATCATCATCATCATCAACAACAACATCATCACCATGACATCATAAAAGACCATGTGGCAATGAGCCTTTGATATATTATTACCATTAGGAAATCATAGCAGGCTAGGATGACATCTCTGCAATGTTGGTGGCCTTTATTGGTGGCAGACCCTTGTAGCAACAGAGAAGACCTCACAGGAAATTTGTCTTACATACTTATTTATCCTTTTCAGCTAGAACAATTTCTGAGTCATTGTAGCTACTTATTAAATATTTTCTGATTAATTGGATGAATGAGCAAATAAATAAATGAAAGAATTAACTACTCTCTGGCCTGGTTCAAAGGTCATTTTGCTCTAGCAAATACTCTTGGATCAGGAGATGGAAATGACAAACTACTCAAGAACAACCTGAGATTTACATCTGCAAACCCAAATACTCAAATAATATGAATACTTAATAAATGGTAATCATTGCAATTTGTTGCAAGCTATGCCTATGTATTGATGGTGTACTAAGCACTTAATGTGAATTATCTCACGATACTCAACACCTTTGAGGTAGGCATTATTATTATCCCCATTTTACAGATGGGGAAAATAAGGTTTGGTGAGGGTAAGCAGCAGTTCAAGATGATGCAGCCAAAGTAGCAGCAGATCCTGGATTGGTTCCTGGGTCTGTCTGATTCCAGGGCCTGTGCTTTAAAGCACTACCCTCTTTAACCTCCCCCGGTCTTCACTGAGGGTCAAATGAAACCCTAAACTCAGCTTCCCTCTTTTCAGAGCAGAAGGATAGATTTTGGGAAAGATAACCATGTAATATTGGGTATCCATGGACAAATGGAGGGTCAGACAAAGATAACTTTTCAGTCCTCTAGCATCTATAGTACCTCCTCCCTGGCCAATTACAGGCCACCCCTGGCATGCCCAGAACACCACTACCTTTGCTGCCTGTACCAGCTCACTTATCAATGTTTGTTCAGTGTCCCATTTCCTCCAATTTCCTCTGTACTCTAGTTCTCCCTAGCAACCAGTTTGAGCTAAGACATCAAAAGTGTGTTTTCCAGACAATTCCTCCAATCTCTGGTGCTCATTGTGAGAAGGAAGACCAGACCTGAGGCCCAGGGCTCCCATCTTCCCACCCCGACTTTTAACGGAAGAGCTCAGCCTCTAACTGACCTTGGTCTACCAGTCTGGTTCCTGCACTAGATTTGAACAAAGGGTTTTTGTGAAGCAAACAAACAAGTAAATAAATAAACTTAACTACTGGCTTAATGTAATCCACAACTTAGTCATTGAAAAATACTTTTTGGGCCGGGCACGGTGGCTCACGCCTGTAATCCCAGCACTTTGGGAGGCCGAGGCGGGCAGATCACGAGGTCAGGAGAACGGGACCGTCCTGGCTAACACGGTGAAACCCTGTCTCTACTAAAAAATACAAAAAGTTAACTGGGCATGGTGGCGGGTGCCTGTAGTCCCAGCTACTTGGGAAGCTGAGGCAGGAGAAGGGCATAACCTGGGAGGTGGAGCTTGCAGTGAGCCAAGATCGCGCCACTGCACTCTAGCCTGGGCGACAGAGTGAGACTCCATCTCAAAAAAAAAAAAAAAAAGAAAAAAGAAAAATACTTTTTGGTGCCTGCTCTATGCTTATTCTCAATATCAGGGATTTCAAGGCAAGGAAAGTCCTTGCCTTCATGGCTGTTATATTCAAGTGGAGAGACAGGAATTAAACTAACAAGTTGACATAGAGATAAATGAGAACAATAATGGTATGTGTTAAAGAGAGCTAAAAGCAGGCAATATGTCCTGCATGGTAAAGCTGAATGATGATCTCCAAAAGGATATCTAAGTCCTGACCCCTGGAATCTGTGCATATTACCTTATATGGCAACAAGATGTAATTAAGAATCTTGGAGGAAGGAGATTATCCCAGATTGTACTGGCGGCCCTAAATGCAATCACATGCATCCTTTCAAGACGGGCAGATCTGGGAGCTCACATTGGCAAGATGGCTAACTAGAGTTGCCTGGCATTCGTCCCCCCCACAGAAAGGGACCAAAACAATAAATAAACAACTATAGTTTGACTACAGTGACTGAGGAAGTATGTTGGAGAGCCCTAAAGGAGTGGCAAAATCCTAGTGGAGCACGGACGCCCAAAATAGCACCATAAAAGAAGGAGAAAATCATCTTGCATCTACCACATTGTCTCCCCTGCTGGGATCAGCATGGAGACATGGTGGATTTCTTCTTCCAGGGAAAAGATAAGCTGGAGACCTATAGCAGTTCCTATAGCCACTACAGATGCCAGTGGTCTTTGCTATAGGAGCATCCCGCAGTCTTCACGGGCTCTGAATCCAATTAAGAAAGTTGCTAGGAGTTCATGCAGCTGCATTGCCCCAGAGTAGGAGCCCAGGTCATGCATCACCCCCTACCAATCCTATGACCTAAGCTGCTACAGCATGGTGCCATCTTGAAACCAGACCCACTGCTACAATGTGTCCTGACCTGGGGGCCAGTACCACTGCTCTCTCCATTCTTGAGGCTCTGCCATCATTTCATCATATTCACACCAGTGCCTACATCACCATGATCCTGGTTATGTGAAGCCTAGGCCCAGTGGAATGACCAAGATCCTGGTGTCCAAACTGATGTAGCATAATTCCCACCAGAAAACTGGCAGATCTGCACAGTGGGGAAGCCACTGAACAGCGGGCCATCCTACCCTGCTCATGTGTTCCTGTGCCAAGCCTGACAGCCATCTCAGTGGTGATCCCACCTCCCCAGAGACATTGCTGCACAGCCAGCCTGCCTGCCATGCCTGAACATGCCTGACTTGAAAACCAAACCAGTGCCCTTGCCCTCAGTAAGACCATGCCACTGCCATCACAAACTCCCACAGCCTTTGGCACTGAGGCAATCACAGACATTGCTGATGAAGATTACAGCTGAAGAAATGATGCAAAGACCATGCTACTGAGCCACCCAGAACCAAAGCCCATGTTCCATACCCAACTGTCATCAAGAATCTGTCTACAGAGAAAAAGTCTCTCCCTACAAAACTACTCCATCTAATTGTAAAAAGCAAGTTTTCCACAAGATGTGCAGACATCAATGTAGGGATAAAAGAAACATGAAAAAGCAAGGAAACATGCCACCTCCAAAGGAACACAATAAATCTCCAGTAGCAGACTCCAGAGAAAATATTTGCAAAATGCTTCATAAGAAACTCAATGATCTTAAGAAAAATCAATGAGATACAAAAGAATGTAGATAAATTCAATGAAATAAAAATTATGATCTGAATGAGAAATGCAACAAAGAGATATTATAAGAAAGAACCAAACAGAAATCTTGGAGCTGAAGAATTCAGTGAATGAAATAAAAAATACAATTGAGAACTTCGACAAAAGACTAGATCCATCAGAAGAAAGACTTTCTGAACTTAAAGACAGGTCTTTTGAAGCAAACTAGTTAGAGTGGAATAAGGAAATAAGAATAAAAAAATAAAGTATACAGGACTTGTGGGACACTATCAAGCAAACAAATACTTACATTATAAGGGTGTCAGAGGGAGATGGGATCAAGAAAAGCGAAAACCCTATTTAACAAAATAATAGCTGAAAATTTACCAGTCTTGAGAGAGACATGAACATCCAGATCCAGCAGGATCAGAAGTCCTCAATTAGATTCAGTTAAAAAAAAACTCTCTGAGGCATATTATAATTAATTTATCAAAAGTCAAAGAGAGAATTCTAAAAGCTACAAAAGGAAAGCATCAAGCCACACACAAGGGAATCCCTATTAGATTAACAGCAGCTTTTTCAGCAGAAACTTTGCAGCCCAGGAGAGAATAGGATGATATATTCAAAATGCTGAAAGAGTGTGGCACTGCTGACACTTTGGGATCTCATTTCTGGTCTCTAGAATTGTGAAAGAATAAATTTCTTTGTTTAAGCCACCCATCTTGTGGTAATTTGTTATAGCAGCACCAGAAAACTAATACATATGGCTACTTTAGACTAAACGGTCAGGAAAACGTTCTCAGATGCAGTAATGCTGAAGCTGATGCATGAATGATAAGAGGGAACCTCCTTATGAAGATCCAGGGGAAGAATACTGCAGGCAGAGGGGACAGACAGTGCAAAGACCCTGAAGCAGGAACAAACTTGGCTTGTCTAAGAAGGAAAATTAGTGTGGTAAGAATATAATGTTGAAAGGAAGAGACTTATATGGGAGGTTGAAGTCAAAGGTACAGGAAAGAAAAATACATAAAATTTCAAAAAGCCAGGGCAAGGAGTTTAGATTTTATTCTAAGTGTGAAGGGGTTCCATTGCAGGATTTATAGAAGGGGTTGATGTGTACACTGTACATTTTTTTTTTTTTTTTTGAGACAAAGTCTCACTCTGTCGCCCAGGCTGGAGTGCAGTGGCGCAATCTTGGCTCACTGCAACTTCCGCCTCCTGGATTCAAGTGACTCTCCTGCCTCAGCCTCCTGAGTAGCTGGGACTACAGGCTCCTGCTACCACACCCAGCTAATTTTTGTATTTTTAGTAGGGACGGGGTTTCATCATGTTGATCAGGCTGATCTCGAACTCCTGACCTCGTGATCCGCCCACCTTGGCCTCCCAAAGCGCTGAGATTACAGGCATGAGCCACCACGCCCAGCCTACACTTTACATTTTTAAAAGTTTACTCTGGCAGCTGTATGGAGTTTGGAATCAGAGGGGCAAGAATTCCAGTAGGGAGGTCAGTTAGGATGTTATTATAGGGTCCAGGTAGAAGATGTTCCTGATTTGCACTAATGTAGTGGTTGAAGAGAAAGAGAAGAGACAGTAGATGGATTTGTAATAGATCATGGAGTAAACTAAATGGGAATTGTTTCTGGATTTGATGTGGTTGTGTGGGTAAGTGAAAGAAAATTTGGCTTGAACCACTGGAAAGATAATAGTGCTTTTCACTGAAATGAGGAAGGCATAAGTTGGGAAAGAAAACCAAGAAGGCTTTTCTTACATTAAGATTGAGATATATATAGACTTCCAAATCTGGGCTTAAGGAGTAAATCTAGATTTGGAGACACAGAATATGAGAGCTATTGACATAGATATTTAAAGTACAGGACTTGGTGAGATCCCTGGGGGGATGGGAGGAATTTATATAGAGAGGCAAAAGGAGCCCAAAGCTTCATCCTGAGGTACCAACACTGCAAAAAGGAAGAACCAGCAGGGGAATATGAGACAGACAGTGAGAGGAAAATATTGCAAATGTGATGTCTCAGAAGCCAAGAGAAGGAAGGATGCCTAAAGAGGGAGTCATTAACCATATCAAAATAAGTTCTTCTTGCCAGGTAACTTATGTGCATTTTCACTGGGCAGTCAGTGTCTTAGCTCTTGGCCAACAGGTTTCTTCTCAACTGCCATCTCATATCATTGGCAGTGGCCCCCTAGAGTACTCTGATGAAAAGGATCCCTGTGCCTTGCCTGAGCTTGGCAGGAAAGCCAGCTGTGATCAGCTGGTGATGGCTGTGTGAAAAGTTGGGCAAGAGTTCTTTGTGTTTTATGATCCTGCATAACCCAATGGAAAGACATGAGTTACGGTCATTTCAGGGGCTTTTGTAGTTTACAAGGAGCTAAACTGTGGCTAGGGCAGCCCATCAAATCAATCCCCAGAGCCAAATCCATCTTCATGTAAGGCCTACCCTGTAGTGGATACGAGATTAGTTGTAGGACTGCTTAAGGAAGAAGTAGATATAAAGAGACAGAGACAAAATGTAGGGGCTATAATTTAAACACCAAAAAGCCATCAAGGTTTTGAAGTCTAACATCTAGATTCAACTCTCAACTCTACCACTTACTATGAGGATGTGGGTAAGTTCATCCAACTGTCCTTAGTCTCTTTTCTTTACATGCTGAGTGATACTAATGGAATTGTGAAGCAATAAAAACATATGAGGCTAAGACTCCTGGGAACTCTAAAGATCTATTTCTTGAGGGTTCAGGATAACTCTTGGAATCTGTTTCTTGAGGGTCCAGGGTGACACCTTTAATTTAGTTTTCTATGACATAGAAGTCTATACCTCTAAGGCTATAGCATCCTCTTTATAGAGTGTCTGACCCATGATAAGTTATTAATAAATGATCAAATAAACTTGGAGAACAATGATACTGATTTTGTGCTATTGAGACACTGTATAATCAGATTTGGTTAGATGGCAATCCCTTATTAAAGTTTTAACCAGTTACAACAACAAAATATATGTAACTATTTTTCCATGCTCCCAGCTTTTGAGGAGAATACCATGTGGTCACAGCTCAGCTACTGGATCTCTGTTGGACAGATCAGGGTAATGAGTAGGAAGGCTGAGTTGAAGAAGGTAAGGGAAGGAAAAGTAGATTCCTCTGCACAACTAAGCATGTGAGTCAATCGACTTGGGGATAAAATTATTTAGGAAGGTGGAGGAAGAGATTAAAGAGAAGAAGAAAGTGAAAGATGTGATAAGTATGGGCTGAACTCCTTGAAGATAGGAGAGAGAATTGAATAAGTACCATGAAGAAAGGGACCTTGGGAAAAGGGAGATGTGTCTATAAAGCTCTTTAAGGAAATTGCCATTTTTGGGTTGTTTTGGTTTTTGGGTTTTTTTTTTTTTTTTTTTTTTTTTTTTTTGGTGACAGGGTCTTGCTCTATCACCCAGGCCGGAGTGCAGTGGCATGATCATAACTCACTGTAGCCTCAAACTCCAGGGCCCAAGCCATCCTCCCACCTCAGCCTCTGGAGTAGCTGAGACTACCATGTGGTGGTGCACACACCACCATGCCCAGCTAATTATTATTATTATTATTATTATCATTATTGTAGAGATAGGGTCTTGCTTTGTTGCCCAAGCTGATCTTGAACTCCTGACCTCAAGCCGTCTTCCCACCTTGGCCTCCCAAAGTGTTGGGGTTACAGGCATGAGCCAGGGCGCCTATTCGTACATTGCTATTCAAGACACTTTGGAGAGTGTACATGTGGTTGAATAGCTTTATGCTTAGGCTAGCCTCAAGGTGGCCCTGTTTTATTTGGGTTACACTGGCAACAAAGCGCCTTCATACTCATCTTCTAATTTGACCTCATGTTAACACATCTGTGATAAAACCTTATCAGATTTTTAAATTATTATCCATCCAAAAAAAGGAGAGTCTTGACCTGTGTTACTGAGGTTAACAATGAGCAGAGCTGTAAGTAAAATCTAAGTCTTCTGACTCTCAGACTAGTGTGTTTTCTCTTCCTTCCCTCCGTCACTCCCTCCCATTCTTTCTTCCCTTCTCTCTTTCCCTTTCTCTTGCTCCTCCTGCTCTCTCACCACCCTATTCTCTTTCTCAATATATTGATGTTAGCAATGAACCACAAGCATAAGACATTCCTGAACCGACTTCAAGATTTTAGTTGAAAAGTTTTTAGTCCCAAAGAGTCCAAAGCAGTGTCTGCCAGGAAACAAGAAGGCCTGTGTGTGGTGTTCAAAAATGTGAAGACCCCAGAGGACTTACATTTTCAGCTTTTAGAGCAAAGGCTCATGAGTAGCAGCCCGTATGGTGGTATATGGATCTCGGCACTTTGCCTCCCGCATGCCAAAGATCCAGACTGCATAGGGATTTGAGAACTCGCCTGGGCAAAGCAGAGTTTTTAATAACTAGGAGACAGGATGCCGTCTGACAGGTTTCTGTGCTGCCGCTTCACGTTGGATCACACACACAAGCGTGAGTGAGTGGCCAGCTGAAGTCCCGTAGGGCTGCATTCCTACTTGCTTCCTCCTTCCTTGGGCTGCTGAAAGAACCCATTTGTGTACAGTTTGGCTAAGAAAAATCCTGTTGCTTTCCAAGTGATGCTTTGTTTGTTTCTGTTACAAAACATCTGAAAAATCAGCATTTCCCACTCAGCATCGAGCCAAAATTGACTGCTGTCTCTATATAATAAAGCGGCATATTTTGCCTCTATCTTCTAATTGGAAGACAGAAAGTCTCAACAAACAGAACATGTTTATTGATTCAGCTTCATCCCAGAAACTGGACGGCACCACAGGGAACGAGCAGAGAGAAAGACAGAGCGGGCTGACTTCAAATACTTTGCAAATGCTCCTTAGCAGTATTAATGAGCAGGAGACCGTGTGGTATGTTACAACCTCATGTGATGGAGTAAATGAAGGCAGGGCATACTGTTTTGTAATGAAGTGAAGATTCAGTGGTAAGTGGAAGTGCTCATTTCCTGAGTTGCTCATCGTCTTCTCTCGCTGATCTGGAAATATACGCGTTCCCAAAATGCAGAGATAATAAGGCTCTTATGAATGCAGGAACAAGTCTTGTGCACTTGCAGGGGAAAACAGAAATTCTTCAATGCAGTCTCAAAAGAAGCAGTAGAGAGGTAGAATTTAAGGTGGCACAGCTGGGCAGAAGGCAAGAAGAGACTTGCTCTTGGCCCTTGGCATGGGTCTGAATCACCTCTACTTTTCCTTATCTCATCCTGCTCCCTACTCTCCTCAACCTCTCTGCTCATTGTAGCAAAAAAGGCCTGCAATTGGATGGGCCTGGTCTGCAGGGTCCCTCTGTGGTCCCTTGATCATTTCGCAGCCCAGAAGGAGCTTGCAGAGGTTCAGGAATGTGCTGCTAATGAATACACAGAGCCAACCCTTTGGCAGAACCTACTGCTGTCTTGTCTGGCAACCTGTGGAAAGCGGAGGGCACACCTGCTGCTTGCTTGGATCCTGGCCTTGGGGGCCTGCAGCTCCCCTTGCCTGTTACAGATGCTTTTTTATTTGCTCTGCCTGACACCAACAATTTGTAATTCTTGCACACAAACCCCCCACGGTAGGTCAGGGGGCTCCTCCAGCTGCAGTGCAATCACTGCCAGATCTGATCCTCACTCTCACCCAGAACACAGGCAACCTTGATCGACCCTGAACTTCAGAGCCATCAGCAAGGGGCTTCTTTTCCTTTCGGAAGCTATCTGTGGTTCCTAACAACAATGGGGAGAGCCAAGAATCCATGGAAATTTGAGAGAAAGAGAAAGAGTAAAAACAGCATGAGGCATGGAAAACTTTGATTCTGGCAGATCTAGGCTCCAATCCCAATTCTGCTACTTGCTAGAGGCACCGTGGGCAAGTCCACTTAACCTGCCTTAGCCTCGGGTCCTCAGTCCTAAAATGGGGATGATCATGATTCATAACATTGAAGGAAAGCTTAACTCATACAGCCCATAAAAAGCCTTTGGGGACAGAACCGGACATAGATAGACCACATGTTGACATCTGTTCCTTCCATTCACCCCTCACCACCAGTTTTTGATCACTGAGCACTTACTAGGCATTCTATAAATGTCTGAAGAATGAAAAAAATGATTTGCATGAATCAATGAATATGTAATTTAAGGTCACAGAAATGAGGCTAACTGTTGTAATGGATTTAGCACTGAACTAAAAGTTAGATGATCTGGTTTTGAATTCTGTTATTTAGCTGAAGGAACTGCAGAGGATGTTTAATTGTGAAAATATTTGCTTAGCTCTGTTTTGTCTTATTTTTTTCTCATGATGTTTTTCATTAGAGAAAAATATATATAACAAAATTTCCCATTTTAATTTTTTTTTTTTTTTGAGATGGAGTCTCGCTGTGTAGCCAGGCTGGAGTGCAGTGGCACAATCTCGGATCACTGCAGCCTCCACTTCCCAGGTTCAAACAATTCTCCTGCCTCAGCCTCCTGAGTACCTGGGGCTACAGGTGCATGCCACCATGCCCAGCTAATTTTTATATTTTCAGTAGAGACGGGGTTTCACTATATTGGCTAGGATGGTCTTGATCTCTTCACTTTGTGATCCACCCACCTCTGCCTCCCAAAATGCTGAGATTACAGGTGTGAGCCACCACACACAGCCCATTTTAATCATTTTTAAGCATACAATTCAGTGGTATTAGGTACATTCACAATGTTGTACTACCATCAGCACTTTCTATTTCCAAAACTTTCTCATCCACCCAAACAGAATCTCTGAATCCATTAAGCAATAACTCACCATTTCTTCCTCTCCGCTGTCCCTGATAACCTCTATTTTATTTTATGTCTCTATTAATTTACCATTCTAGATATTTCTTATAAATATCTAGGAGTCATCTAATATTTGTTCTTTTGTGTCTAGTGTATTTCACTTAGCATAATGTTTTCAAGGTTCATCCTTGTTTTAGCATGTTTCAAAACTTTGTTTCTTTTTACACCTGAATAATATTCCATCGTATAGACATGCCACATTTTGTTTATCCACTCATCTGTTGATGGACACTTGGGTTGTTTTCACCTTTTGGCAATTGTGTATAATGCTGCAATGCACATTGGCATACAAATATCTGAGTCCCTACTTTTAGTTATTTTGAATATATACCCAGTAATAAAATGTCTGTTTCATAATGTAATTCTTTGTTTAGCTTTTTGAAGAATCATCAAACTCTTTTCCACAGTGGCTGCACTATTTTACATTCCCACCAGTAATGTACAGTGGTTCCAATTTTTCCACATTCTAGTCAACATCTCTTAATTTTTTTTTAATTTTAGCCACCCCTAGTAGGTGTAAAGTGGTATCTCATTGGAGTTTTGATTTGCATTTCCCTAATGAGTAATAATGATGTTATACTATCTGGTGTGTTTATTGGCCATATGTCTGTGTTCTTTGAGGAAATACCTGTACAAGTCTTTTGCCCATTTTTTAGTTAGATTGTCTTCTTATTGTTGAGTTACAGGAGTTCTTTATCTATTCGGGATGTTAAACTCTTAAGCAGGCATTAGACATATGTTCTAATTTAGTTTCCAATTGCACATATTTTTTTCCATTCTATAGGTTGTCTTTTCACTTTATTTAGCTTTATTTTTAATTAAAAGTTACAAACATACATAGATAAGCATGACTTAAAGTTATGAATGTGATTCCTTAGTTCAAGTGCCAGAATCAGCTTTGTAACTATTTATCTGTACCCTCCAGTGTAATGTCTACCCCTTGGCATTAAAGGGCAGGAAACTTGTCAGCAAAAGAAGTGTGTGACTTGATAGAATCTTATTTCTGTACTCCACTAGCTTCCAGGGAGCAAGAGGTATTGCTCTTGCAAATATTTTGTTATACTAAGTATTAACCTAAACTGATTAGATCCAGCATTAAACTCACCACAGCGCCATGCAATGTCTTCCAAGGTCTGCCTTATTCCCTTGGTTCAGCAGTGGAAGGAGAGAGTAAAGCGACCCAATTACATAGATTTCTAACATGGCTGAAGACCAAATAACCAGACAGCAGGGAGGATATCCCGACCCCAAAATATGGCCTATATTTGGACAGAGCTTCATGTTTACTTGAATACACGCTTCAGAATCCCAAGGGAGCATCTCTTAAAATTTGTATAATCTCTGAGTTAACTATCAAGCAGGAATTCTCCCCTCCTCACTTTGATAAGAGGCAATGGGCTCAGCCCCCTCTGGGAAATTTTTAGGGAAGAATAGGGAGACTCAGAAGCCTAGAAGGGGGAGAAAAAGGACATTGGAACAGTTTTTTCCTTGCCAGTACCCCTCATCCCCACTCTTAACCCCTTTGTACCTAGAGAAGAAATGGTCAGAAATGGGAGGAAAAGAAAAACAAGGAATTTTTTAAAAGTCAACTTTATCCATTTTAAGATGATGTAGTCTTACCACCAAAGTAGAAAGCATCCGCACTTCTGAATATCATCAGATCAGCAGGCATGAGAAACAAAGCTGAGGCTTTGAGGTCCCCAGTGACAGCCCTGGCCAAAGGAAGGGGTGAGGGCCCCTGCTCTAACATGCAGCAGAGAAAAACACCATAACTCACCACGTTTTTAGCCCAGGCAGGGGCTTCGGGGTGCAAAGGAAAAGACAAACTCTTCTCACCAGGGAGCTTCATAGAAACAGGCCAAGGGCAGTTAGATGTTCCAAGGTCCAAAAGGCAAGTTCAAGAATGTTTCTGTTAAGTGCTGAAAAGGAGGCTCGGCCTAGCATGAGACTCTGGGCCAGCTGCTTTGAGGTGTCTATAGCTGGAGGAAGCTTCCTACCAGAAAAGGCCAGAGGCCACTTGCATAGAAAAATATTTATTTCTTATCTGCAGAAACAAAAGAAGAAATTTAAGCACCGGTCTGAGAGTCCAGCTGGTGGTCTACTGGTACCAAAAAAAAAAAAAAAAAAAAAAAAAAAGAAAGGAGAGAGATAGAAGAGGAAGGAGAATGAGTGAGATGGTGATGGAAGAGAGGCATTGGCTTCCAGCACTCTAGCCAATGGGATGCCAGTCTCTTTGCCAAAATGTGATGCCAGGGGCTGCCTACATGATAGGTTCTGAGTGCCAGATGACAGCAGAAGTAGCATGCTCTAATTTTTGTTTGTTTGTTTGTTTGTTACCCCTCTACCTTGCCAGATGCCCATGAAGGGAGCTCTCCCTTAGCCAATAAACAACCAAGACTAATAGAATATCTTTGGCAAAGGTGGTTGGCAGAAGTCACTGCCATCTCAAGCATCAGACTCTAAGCAGGGACCCAGTTTCCTTGTTATACAAGCAAAATGTTGGCAGGCCACATGGTGAAAAAAGACTTGGGAAAAACATATACTTCTTGAGGGAAAAAAAGTCCCTAGTTGAGCCATATTGTTTATGTTCGGAAGAATCTTTCTGTTTGAATTTGGTTTCCAATTGGAAAACATCCGAGATATTGATCTTTCTACCAGAAAAATAGGGATAATGAGAACTGCTCCATGCACACAAGTAACTTGCCAAGGACCAGGGAAAGACACAGTCACTCTGTTCATGTCTGATTGATCTTCCTCTGACATTGGCATCAGGGTCAGAGGGTGGGCAGAGTGTGTAAAGATGTCTGAAGTCATTTATTCTCCAGGCACTGTGTCAGCAGCAAGTCTTTCGTGTCTTTCGAGCCCTGATGAGGGCATGGCTCCCTTAGCCAAGTCAGTACATCCTCTTCCCAGTGAAGAGCAACACTTTCCTGTATGGCACCTAGAATTAGCCGTGAGGCAACATAGGACTGTGATTAGTGGTCCAGGCTCTGAAGACAAACTTCTGCGGTGTCTTGAGTTCCTTGTGTCTTGGCAGTGTAGCCTGGTTGTCAATAGTGGAGGCTCAGAGCTAGAGTATCTGGGTTTGAATCCTTCATTTACTGGCTGTGTGAGCATAGACAAAATTGAAATCCTCACTCTAGATGACATGTTTCTTCTCTGAAAGAAAAAAAAAAGCATAATAGTACCTGCCTTGAAGGGTAGTTGGAAGCCTCAGATGAGCTACTCCAGGGAAAGTGCTGGGACTGGCATTCTGGCTGCCCGTCTTCTTCCCAGCCTTGCCTTGCTGGGAGACTTGACCTGTCCCCCTGCACTCTGGCCACTCCTACTTTCCTTCAGATTTTGCAACAGGCTGGGATTTCTCCTGCTCAAGGACCTTTCCTGGGGCTGTTCCCTTCCCCAACCCTCAACTCCACCTTTGCCTTCAGCTCTTAGCTCCCCTGTCATCTGCAGGGAGGTTTTTCATGCCCCCTAAAACAGGACCAGGAATCCCCTAGTACCATGCATTTCCCTTTATGCCTTTTATTACCATCTTAATATTTTAATTTGTCGATGGGTTAGCACATACTAGATGTTAAAATGTAAACTCGCTTCATACCTTTATATCTTCAGCATTTAGTAAATTATACGTATTAGGGTTTTGTGGACTGAACAAACAAATGAATAACTAAATGGAGAAGTGCACCATGCCTTTGAGCTGACTGTCATTTCATGGGCCTTCTGCTTTCCTGCCTAAGAATGAGAATTATATCATCATAAACCTAAGCTTTAGCCTGCTCTGAATTTTTGCAAAGACAAGTGTTAATAATGATGTTGCTTTAGCATTAGGAACAAGGCACTATTAACAATCTGAGACACAGAGTATGCAGGTGTTTGTGAACCTGCAAGTAACAAAAGGTAGTCTAGGATTTGAAGAGGCAGTGGGGTGGAGTAACTAAGAATGTGGGCTCGTGAGTCAGACTGCCTGGGCTGGAATCAGTTCCAGCCTCACTAGCTGTGTGATCTTGGGTGAAATCTGTGCCTTGACTCTGTCTTTATTTATAAAACCCTTCATAGGGTTATTGTGAAGATAAAACAACATTATGTATACAAAATGCTTTGTGTATAGTAAGTCATCTCCTCCATAAGCACTAGTAATTACTTTTAAAATTCAGATATTATTTTTCAGACATTGTAACCAAATTCTTGGACATAGAGAAAAAATCTTGCTTTTCTGAATTCTAGTCTCCTTTAATATGTCAGGTTCCCAACTCTAAGTGGAAATGTAATCAACAGAGCCATTTAAATTTATATGTGCTCAAGATATCTTGACTGATGTTAATCCAAGCGTTTATGATCACTTAAGGTGTGTTTACATTAGCCACTAGAAAAAATGTAAAGTGCACACAGTACATTTGAAAAGGCAGGCCTTTTTTTTTTTTTTTTAACAGCCACGCAGCAGAGTATGCACATAAAAATTCACCAAGGTGCATGCATGCGGTGCCTCAAGTGCATTGTTGAAATGCATACGCATATTTTCATACAGTGCATTTCCCTCCGGGGGTTGCACAACCATGTCCATATAAATCATAATCTGCCTGGACATTTGGCTAAAGACTGAATGTTTCAAACTATAAAAAAGTATTGTTTTCTTTCTGCCAGTATCAACAGTTCTTCAGTCTATTATCAGCAAAATTATCCTCCATTGCCCCTTCACCACCGTCTCTGTTTTCTACAGGGAACATCCTCATTTACCCATTTTTCTAATGATCAGTATGCAGTCCAAAGAGCAGGCTCTTTGCCAGCCTCTGCCCTCCCAGGAACCCCGCCAGCACTGTGCTTGTTTGTAAGTGGAGACTGTAGGGTAGCTGGTGCTGTTCTTGCCGACTAATTGCACCCCAGAATCACCTGTGCCAAAAGAGTGCCTGGACGGCACCTGGGAAGACTAATGTTCATTAGAGTTGTGAACATTCCATATTGGCCTGCCATTGGTGGTGCATGATAAGCAAAGTTTTGGATTAATTGCTTCATATGCCACATTTATGTATGGATTTGATGCTGTGGCTTGGGAAGGCCCTTTGATGGAGAAATTACTCAGTGTTTGCAAATCATTTACTCAAAAAATATGTACCATGTGTCAACTATGTCCAGGGACTTTTCTAGGCTCTGATTATACAGTAATGACCAAGTCTGATTTCTGCTCTCAAGGTGCTTACACTCTGAAGGGGGCTGGGAATAATAAATAACTGAAATAAATAAGCCAACAGATAATTTCAAGTTGCATGCTAAGCATTCAAACAAACTGGACCATGCATGGAGAATGACTAAGGCTAGGAGTAACTACATTGGGTGATGAGCCCCATTTGGCAGGAAGAAGCCAGTAATAGAAGAATCTGGAGGAAGAGGGTTCCAAGCAGAAGAGCAAGTTCAAACGCCCTGAAGACAAAAGTCAACTTGGCCCTGTGAGAGAAACCAGGAAGCTACCATAGTGGCTAATGTGTGATGAGCAGGAGGGAGGTCGCTCTGGCTCAGATCATGCAGACCCTCACTGGCCTCATTCAAGACTGGCTTTGACCATAAGTGTAGAGGTCTGAGTCACCGGGTTTTGAAACTTTTAACAGACCACTCTGGCTGCTGTAGTATCCTGACAATGGAAACTCACACTTAGACCCATTTCTTCATCATGGATCCTCTTCTAAAAGAATGACATAAAAATGTGCTTCTTTTCCCCTTATTTTGGAGTACTTGGTGCCCTAATATTACTCAGTCACTATAAAGACCCTGTGCTTATGCTTTCAAAGCTGCTGGGCTTTCCTGGCTTGGCTTTAGAAATATATTTGACTTCCTTTATCATTTGAAAGGCCCCCTGAAGGTGGTAAGCCCTCTAATTCCAATGGGAATTTGAGGAGTTTTGAGCAAAGTATCAAGTATAGAAAACTGCTACAAGCAAAGAAAAGAAGATCTACCTAAAATAGATGGTGCCTGCAAAGTCATTTCTTAGCTAGTTCATCCTAGTGGTTCTTAGTAGAAAAGAATCAAACAATTATGGAATTGTAATAGGATGGACCCTGATTTTTCTCTTTGGGGCCTGGGGAGAATTGGCCAAGAAGATTAAGCTTCTAAAAACTTTTAAGAACAGTTTCTTATTAGTGTTTTCAGAGATGACCTCCAGACAATGGATTCAGATGTGTAGTCACCAGCAGGCTGTAAAAGTGACTACAGTTGCCGTGCCTGCCCACTCCACCACTGTGCCAGGCACTTAGCAGGTGCTCTATAAACATCAACAAAGACTGGATAAATTTCTACTGAACACCTACTACATTAAGCACTTTGACAGGAAATGGTGGCAAAGTCTTTTGCCTTTGAGTATTTGGGAAGGCAGAATACACCCAACTTCTGCTCAAGGGGTCAGCAGTCCCTGGGAAGTCAATAAAGAGTCTTAGAGAATATAGTTAAAGAAAATAGTAGGAGAGGAGTCCATAGTCAGAACCTAAGGCTAAAATTCAGGCTTATGGCCATGGAGAAATGTTGAGTGATCACAGGGTCTAGGGTGTAACTTCCCAGGAGGTGATAGAGAGCAAATAGAAGAGGGGCTTATTGGAGATGAGGATGTCAGAACCTGAGAGGCAGGGATGCAGATAGATTGCCACATAAAAAGCATTGTCTCGGTTGAAGAGGCAGTCCATGAGTCAGATGCCCACATCTCTGATGGATGGGAAGGAATGACCAGAAGACTAGTACATGGCAGTGACAAGGTCAGCATGGAGTGGGAGGGTGTCATGGTTCTGTGGCACAAGTCTAAAAAGATCACAGCTTTCTAAAGCTTCTTTTGGATTGATCTGTTTGCTAGTCTTTCCACTAGACTATAATCTCCTTGAGAGCAAGGACATTTGTCATACCCACTGTCATATCCTCCATGCCTGAAATGTGGTAGGCATTCAATACATATTGCTGTAATTTAAAAAGGACCCCTTTCTTGGTATTTGTGCATGGAATAACCCTTCTTCATGATTCACATCCTCTTGGTCAACCCTAGCAGTGATGTTTCCCCATTCCTGTGTTTTCTTGTGTGTGTTTATCCCTGTAAGTTCCACTTTCCTCAGCCTTTGCAATTGTTTATTTATTTATTTTTTATCTGGGCTCCAAAGCAGGGGCACCTGGGAGCAGGGATACTATCACAGTTGTCTCTGTAGTCCTTGTGCTGAGCCGACTTACAGGTATTATAGTAGACACCAAGTATCTTTGGTAAAACATAAAATGAAAGATTTATTTTAATGATATCCTGCATGGTTCTCATCTTCTGAATTTGAAAAAAAATAAACTGACTTAAGAGTTTTGCTCCAGGAGAAAGTATGGTGCACCCGTACTAGAAAAGTGCAATTAACATAATGGGTAAAAAGACATTTGATAAGTCACAACGCACTCTACAAGTGCACAACGTTCTGACTTATTGGTGTTGTCCTTATTTAGAGTGTGACCTGACCAAAGGGCATGCATTGCTTGGCTGTTAAGAGACAGGGATCGTGAGGCTGAAGCAGGAGAATGGCGTGAACCCGGGAGGCGGAGCTTGCAGTGAGCCGAGATTGCGCCACAGCACTCCAGCCTGGGCGACAGAGCGAGACTCCGTCTCAAAAAAAAAAAAAAAAAAAAAAAAAAGACAGGGAGATCTGAGGGAGCGTATAGGAGCAATAAATGCAACGAAAAGATGGTGGTGGTAGTCTTGAGCGGGCTTTGATGAGGACAAGTAGGGAAAGGGGGCAGGAATGTGAGTGAGGACTGAGCTATCCCCGCTGTTCATTGAGAGTGAATTGAAGGATGTCCTCCAATAGCAGTTGAAAGCCAGGGCTCATCTTGAGTAAATAAGGTTTTTCAAGGGGCTACCAAGAGGTGAAAGAGCCACTGAGATAAAATCTGACTGGTGTCAGTCTCAGTAAGTTCAACTGCTTGCCACAGAGAGGACATACTCATTCTTCCTCTGCTAGAGTAAACTCTGCTATGTAAACATCCAACTAAGTATATCAGGCAGCCAGAAGTAAGGCCAAGAAATTGTGAAATACCCAGGGTGGAAGGGCCTCTTCACCCTGGAAGCAGTGTGATTTCACACTAAAATGACTCCCACACAATTCCCATCCCCATTTTGGGACTGGCAGGTCCAGTTAAGACAGAGCCCAACTGGCTTTTACTGGCTACCTCCAAAATTGTGTACAAAAGCTCAGCAGAGATCATCACAAGCCCATTCTTACTCTTGAAAATATGCCACCTTCCTTCATTTAGTTAAAAAACATGCCCTAAACACCTGGTACTAACCAAACATTGGAACTATAGAGACACTTCCTTGCCCTCAAGGAGGAGATGGGGAGCTAGAGACACCAATAAATCTAACACAGTGTTATGGGGCAGCATCATGCTGTGATCACACCAAATGCTGCTAGTGGGTAAATAGTGTGGGGTATTAGAATGACCACTGCACTCTAGCCTGAGTGACAGGGTAAGACTTTGAAAAAAAAAAAGTTGCGAGTGATCATCCACACCAAATGCTGGTGGTTTTGCATTTTGACTCTGGACAGAGTTAGGCCTGGGTTTCACAGCTCACTTCCACACTTTAGCTGGATGATCTCAGGTAATTCAAACACCCGCTTAAAGCCTCAGGTGTGTCCTCTATAAAGTGATGCTAATAACTGCCCTTGTAAGGATTCGGTAAAATAATGAATATGAAAGAATTAGCCCAGTGTCTAGTAATAGTAAATGTTCACTAAATCTATCTGCTTCTCTTCCTCCCCATTTTATTACGCCTATTACTGTTCCCATCCCTCCTATAATCGCTTGGATCACTCCTGTTATCAGTGCTACTACATAGAGGCAGAAACCAAGTAGAGGAGAGAGATTGGAGGATAGGAAGAGAATTCCTAAAAGGCTTTGGGATGAGGAACTAGTAATTTCGGGTCTCAAAGCATGAATGGAGTTTCACTAGGAAGAAAGGAATGTGGAGATCACTCTGGGCAGAATAATCAGTAGAAGCAAAGGCACCACAGTTGGGAATGGCAAAGAATGTCTGGGGACAGTGAGGAGTCTAATGTGGCTGGAGTGAAAGCACATGCCTCTGTTGATGGGGGCTCCTGGAAGCAAACTTGCTCATGAAACCATGACAATTGAGACTTCTGGAAGCCAAGGGAGGACAATGTATCAAGAAGGTGCAGCCGGGCACGATGGCTCATGCCTATAATCCCAGCACTTTGGGAGGCTGGGGCAGGCAGATTGCTTAAACCCGGGAGTTAGAGACCAGCCTGGGCAACATGGCAAAGCCCATCTCTACAAAATATACAAAAATTAGCCTGGTGTAATGGCATGCACCTGTAGTCCCAGCTACTTGGGAGGCTGAAATGGGAGGATCACCAGAGCCCAGGAGGTCAAGGCTGCAGTGAGCTGTGATCATGCTACTGGACTTCAGCCTGAGTGATAGAGCAAGAGACCTCATCTCAAAAAAAAAAAAAATAAAAAAATAAGGTGCAAGTTGTCATCCACCCTAAATGCTGCTGCTGGGTAAATGGTGTGGGGTGTCAGAATGACCACAGAATTTAACAATGTGGGAAGGATCAACAATAACTTTGGCTTAGGTAATTTTGATGGATGTCACTTTTTAATTTAATATAGTCTGAAATAAATATGTAAATTTGTTACCTTGACAGTCATCGTCTCTTTTTCTTTTCACCCCAGGTACACTGACATTTGAAAAATATTTATTTGATTCCATATTCATGCTTGCATTTTGGAATGCCACAGACTGGGCAAGGGCGTGACTTAGGCATGAATGAACTGGTAGCTAGTAAACATCCCCTTTCCCTTCTGACAATTCAGAAAATCTTCCAAAACTCTAATTCATTTATTTCATTTGCTAACTCATTCATTGATTCATCTGTCTTCTCACCTACCCATCCAACCATCCACTTGTTTTTTCATTCATCCTATCATCCAAAATGTATTTATCAGATATCTTCCCTACACAATATAACCTCCTCAAACTCCTGCCCTGGCACACTCCACACAGGCAAACTTTATTTGAAAAAAATCAGGATCCCTAAGGTTTGATACTTTATAAAATAAATATATCCTCAAAAAGTAACCTGTGAATTGATTTTCCATAAATCGAATCACATTTCAAATGCTCCAGGAAAGCTCGCTACAGGAATCCTGTGACAGATCTTCTGACAAAGTAGAAAGTACTCACATAATGTAAAACATCATTAGTCTTAAATTTACTTATTGATAAATCTAAATATTGGGTCCTCTTCTCTCTGCTTACCCTAGGTATGCCAGATGGCTAGCTATGTTATTAAAATCACCTTAGGAAAAACAATTTCTACAAGAAAAACATCATTCAGATGGGGCTTTGACATTTATGTCATGCATTTTTGAATGGGCCGGCAACACTGGTGTTAGCTTCTTAGAGCAAGCCAATGAAGGAAACGAATATGGCTTTCATAGTTTTATAAACCTGGAAGCCAAAGGCCAAGAGATGCAATTTAGTTCCAGTGGTGCCACCGACAGCATGAATGGACTCTTAATCACAACCTCTGGGTCCTGGCAGCAGCCAGAACCATGGTGGATGCTGCTAGACTGAACATTTGGGTATATGAAACTTAACTCCCTCTGTTTGTAAGGACGGCAGTGTGTGCTGCTAATTGTAACTCAGGAGTTCAAAGTTTAATACTGAAGAAAGAGACTAGCCAAAAGAAGGATCAATTAAAGGATTTTTGAGAAATTAAAGAAATTTCTAAAATATTTATTCTGGGCTCAGATGTCAGACCATCACATAAATAAAATATTAATATAGTCTAAAGATAAATGTTGTATTTTGTGTATTTTAGACTTCTCATTGCTGATATGTAGTGGAATGTAATCAGAATTTCCATATGAGAATATTTAGAGGCAAAAACTCTTTGCTGTGCTTCCATGGATACCCACAGAAAAATCATGAGAAAGACAAAGTTACATCCCTAGGAGTCTTTGGAGAATTTATTGTTTGGTTAATAATCACAAAATGGTGTTATCACTTGGACAATAATAGCACATGGCTTATGTATTTTTAAATGTTAGGTATCAAAATATTATACTCCAGGTTTTCTGCCCATTAGGGATAGAAAGCAATCCAGCCTGGGGAAGGACTTGGCATCTTTAATAAATAATTAGGATGCTTCACAGTTAAGTGGCCCTTCATGGTTTATAAAGACTTAGAAGCATATTATTGTATTTAACCCTTATAGCAACCTGTGGTTGGTTAGTTATTACCATTGTCATTTCATAAATAAGTCTAAAGCACGTGGAACTAGATAATCCCCTCAAGGTCACAGAATAATAAGCAGAGAGCTGCCAGGTGAAATGTCCTCTTTCCCAGTATCTAAATGGAGCTAATTTCTGGGAGGCTGGGGAGGGGAGAATGTCACAATGCATTCTTCTTTCTTTCTTTCTTTCTTTTTTTTTTTTTTTTTGTAAGTTATTGAATCTTGTTTGGTCACCCAGGCTGGAGTGCCGTTGTGCAATCATAGCTTACTGCAGCTTTGAACTCCTAGGCTCAAGCAACCCTCCCACCTCAGCATCCAGAATAGCTGGGACTGCAGGGGCCTACCATCAAATCTAGTTAATTTTTAAATTTTTTGTAGAGATGGAGTCTCACTATGTTGCCCAGGCTGGTTCCGCACTCCTGGCCTCAAGCGATCCTCCCACCTCAGCCTCCCAAAGTGTCCGAATTACAGGCATGAGCCACCATGCCTGACTCATTCTGTCTTTTAAAGGCAGTCACATGGGCTGCAGTCCTGGAACTCCAGCCCAACCTGGAATAGCACTTCTTCTGGGAACTACTGAGATCTGTTTGTGTTTTAGAGGGTGAGCGCTACTTCATTTAGACACAGAACCTTTCCACCAAATTTAAAAGTCAATTGGAAAGAGCAAAACTACAGGACTGACAAATCTGGAAATCTGCTTTTGCTTCTCTGAGTATTGAACCTGGTGATTGAAGCCTTGTCTGCATCCTCTCTTGGCCATTACCTCAACTGTTAGTTGCTTTACTTCATTTGTGCTCATTTACTACTGAAGATTGGAGTGAGCAGTAGATGTGTTTTAAATGAGAATAGAGTGAGGCTGGGTTTTCATTTTTATTTGAAGTCCAAGCCAAGTTGAGAATAGTGAAATTACAATTGACACAGACCTCTTGCCAACTGAAGCAAGCACATTTTTCCCAAATGCAAAAAGGCACTAGCTATCTAGAAGGAGCAAGACAGTACTTCAACGGCAGGCTCACCATGATTAGCCACACTGGCCTCCTTCCTGTATCTTGAATGCACTAAGTTCTTTCCCACTCAGGGCCTTTGCTCTAGTTGTTCTATCTTTCTGGAGCGCTCCACCCCTGGAACTTAAACTGGCTCCTTGTCAGGCAAATCTGGACTGAAATGTCACTTTTTCTAAGAAAACTTCACTGTCCAAGTAATCGAAAGCAGCAGCCAGTCATATTTATAAGTCATATCATGCTTCTCTATGTTGTCTTCTCTTTACTCGGATCAGGTCTATAAAAGCAAAGACCTGGTCTGTCTTGTTCTTCACTGTATCCCCAGAACCTAGCTTAGTGCCTTCACATAGTGGGTACTTAATAAATATGTGTTGAATGAAGGGAGGACCTTGAAAGCTTGGGCCAAACCCATCCTTTTTGATTGTCTGATACATTAATGAGCTGTTATTATGTAACAAACTGCCCCAAAACTCAGTGGCTTGAAACAACAATCATTTCTCATTGTTCATGCAGTCTGCAGGTTGGCTGAAAGTTGACTCCTCTAGGTTGGGCTCAGCTGGGGTGGCTCTGCTAATCTTGGCTGGGCTAGCTCACACATCTGCAGGGCAGCTGGGGGTTGGCTGATTTAGCCTGGGCTCAGATGATATGGCTCCAGGTTCCCTTCATGAGTCTGTCATCTTCCTTGGACCAGAAGGGTACTCAGGGGCACGTTTTTCTCAAAGTGATGGTAGGGGCACAAGAGAACAAATAGACCATATGAGGACCCTCACGGCCTAAGCTTAGAACTGGCCCAATGGTACCTGTGCATGCATGCCGTTGGCTAAAGCAAGTCATATGGCCAATCCCAAGTCAAGGGACACGGAAGTAGACTCTGCCCATGATAAGGCTATGTGAAAGGTACAGCTGAAGAGAGAGTTGACGAATTAGGTCCAATATGGCAACCTGCCACACCTGAGGATACAAAACAGCACAAATGCATAATTCACAAAAGGCCCAGAAAGTGAGTGTTCTTGGTAGAAAAACCAGTCTCCTCATTTTCACTGAGATTTACTGGTGTCAAACTCATTGTATGACATCTTTCTATAGATCTCTTTCCTTTTTCTCTCTCCCTCTTTTACTATATATGCTTTTTCTTCTTTCTTAACATTTTGATATCTTCCCTTAAATGAGAGGGTTTTTTTATGTTTAATGATATTTATTATATAGTTTTAAATTCCTTATTACAAAATTTAACAGATGAGTGCAATAGTTACACTAAATTTAGCCTCTTTTTATTTAATGTAGCCTTGCAGGATTTTTCTACAGGTTATTTATGCTTTATATAAAACTATCTCTTCATCTGGCACAAATACATGTACCTTAAATAAAATCCCTTTCTTCTTCCATACATTGAGGAGAACACAAATTGTAAGCCCTCTCTTGCGGGCATTTTGGCAATATGTGGCAAAATTGAAAGCACATGCACCATTTAACTCAAGTACTCCTATTCCAGAAAGGTATCCAACATGCGTGTTCATGTGTTCAAAGGTGTTCATTGCAGCACTGTTTATATTGAAAAAAAACGTCTGTAAAGAGTTTAAATATCCTTTAATATGGTGCTGGTTAAATAAAGTATGGTACATATATGCAGTGAGAGATCATGTAGTTATTTAAAAGAATGAGACAGCTCTGCAGCTCAGATCAATCAGCTGGAGTCCAGGAGAGAGATCATGTAGCATAAGCTTAGCTTCCAGGGACCCAAGCCAGGGGTGGTATGTGTGTGTGTGTGTGTGTGTGTGTGTGTGTGTGTGTGTGTGTGTGTGTGTGTGTGTGTGTTTATAATTTTAGTCTACTTCATCCTTTAGCTAGATAGGAATAGAAATTGGGCAACTCACTTGTCAAAACTTGCCAATCTTTAGAAGGTCAGATTAATATCAATAGGCCTTCATGAATGCATGCTTGAATTCCATTTAATTACATACACTCTTTAGTATGGACTTGGTGAAGTAAGAGGTCATTGGAACAATCTATCCCTGCCTCTATCCAAGTCACATGACAATAAAAAAGAGTGACTTCTTCCTGTCTTTAAAAAAGTTATTCAAACACAATTTTAAAAGAATGTTTTGTGACTTTATTACTGTTTTTGATTTGGGAGACTATGCGTTACATGGCAATTCCTGAGTACCTTCTAGATATCACACAGACATCTGTGGTCTGAACTTGATGTTTTAGAATACTTTTACCTAGAATAGGTTTTTAGACATTTGAAGAGCTCTATTACTTTGCAGGTTTGGGGACAGTGGAGAAGACTGACATTTTTAATTCATTATATGCATGATGGCCTAATTCCTCTTCTTGATTGTGAACTCTTTGGGGTCAAGAGTCAATCCATCGAGTACTACATCCAGAATATATTAAACACTCAACTGATCAAATGTTAAATTAAGTGATCCCTTTAAAACTCCACCTTTTATCCACAGTTGCAAGTTATGGCTATGTTCTGAAAATAGATAGGTTTCCCCTTAAGAAAATTGGCTTGAGAAAAATCCAAGGTTATAAAACTAATTATTTTCAATGCTGTCCAAATATGTTGCAAACTACACATAAAATTTTAAATATTCTAGTAGCTACCTAAACAGGATAAAAAGAAACTGAAAATTAACTTTAGTAATATATTTTAATCTAGTTTATCCAAAATATCATTATTCAACGTGTAATCATCATAAAAAATATTAATGACATATTTTGAAAACTTTTTGGTGCATATTTTATTCTAAAACATCTCAGTTGGGATAAGCTGTACTCAAGCACTCTATGGGCACCTGTGGCTAGTGGGTACCATATTGGACAGTGTATATGTAATAGCTGATTGATTGCATTTAAAACATTACTCATAAGAAGATCCTTCTAAATCAAGTATTCACATTACTCATAAGAAGATCCTTCTAAATCAAGTATTCTATCAGAGCATTCAAAATCTGGCTGGGTATGGTGGCTCACGCCTGTAATCCCAGCACTTTGGCAGGCCGAGGCAGGTGGATCACCTGAGGTCAGGAGTTCGAGACCAGCCTGACCAACATGGTGAAACCCTGTCTTTACTGAAGATACAAAAATTACCTGGGCATGGTGGCAAGTGCCTGTAATCCCAGCTACTTGGGATGCTGAGGCAGGAGAATCGCTTGAACCTGGGAGGTGGAGGTTGCCATGAACCGAGATGGCACCATTGCACTACAGCCTGGGCAACAGAGCAAGACTCTATCTCAAAAAATAATAAACAAATTAATTAATTAAAATAAAATAAAATCCAATTCATGACCAGACACAGTGGATCACACCTGTAATCCCAGAGCTTTGGGAGACTAAGGCAGGAGGATTCTTTGAGCAAGGAGTATGAGGCTGCAGTGAGCTAGGACTGTGCCACTGCCTTCTGCCTGGGCAACAGAGCAAGACCTTGTTTCAAGGCAAACAAATACATAAAGAAATAAAATACAATTCAAGTTAAAAAGATGAAATTTCCATGCTCTTTAGGAATCTGTTTTCACAGAGAGAGGTAAACTTAAAGTAGAGTTATTGTGAGACAGACATAAAAGCTCATATGCAGCATGCATTATTGCTAAGTCAACTCACAAAGAAAAATAGCTTAAGTAAAGTTTAGTAACTACAAAGCATGTGCATTGAACACCTTGATTATGGAAAAATAGTGCATTTAAGAAAAAAGTGGGGGCAGGCACAGTGGCTTAGGCCTGTAATCCCAGCACTTTGGGAAGCTGAAGAAGGAGGATCACTTGAGTTTAGGAGTTAGAGACCAGCTTAGGCAACGTGGCAAGACCCTATCTCTACTAAAAATTAAAAAAAAAAAAATTAGCTGGGTGTGGTGGCATGTGTCTATAGTCTCAGCTACTCAAGAGGCTGGGACAGGAGGATCACTTGAACTCAGGAGATGGAGGCTTCAATAAGTGGGGATCGTGCCACTGCACTCCAGCCTGGGTGACAGAATGAGACACTGTCTAAAAAAAAAAAAAAAAAAAAAAAAAAAAAAATTTGGAGACGTGAAGGGAGTCCTTAAAATCTTTGCAGCATATGGACTTGAGAAGAGTCTAGAACCGTGTCCCCTGGTCCTGTAATGGGTAGCTTCTCTGCCACATTTCACTCACTTCAAGACAAAAATGAGAAACTTCAAGGGCTGTTGAACACGGGCAGGATTTTCACAGCTGTTCAGAGTGAGTTAGCACAGGCGTTGTGGGAATCATGATGCATTGGGAAAAGTCTTTGCTCCTAACAGCCTCAGATTCCACCTGCTCAGTGGATGGTAGTGGGCAGCACTGGTGCAGGTGAAAGGCAGTTGGTGAGACCATTAGCAGCCTCTGGGGTCTCATCCTGCAATGGACTTTCCCTTGCCATGGAGTACCATGGGAAGAACTTGGACTTGGTGCCAAAGAGCCAGCTCCTAGTTCCTACCCTGACAGTTCTTTTGCTGTGAGATCATAAGCAAGCCATTGAAACTCTCCATGCATTATCTCTAAAAGGAGAGAAATGGGTTACATCATCCCCAAGGCCTTTGCTGTTTCTCAGATTCTGTGATGCCAAGTGAATTGTGTTAGCGTGTGCAGACATCTGAAAGTGTGCCAGGGGCATCCAGGTATTAGCTTGCGATAGAGTGAAAAAGCAATTAAATAAAAGGCAAAAAATCCACAAACGCATCTCAGTTTAGGGGATGATGTAGGTTCAGGAGGGCTCAGAGAAATTGAAATTCTTTCTTTTTCTGTTATTTTAAAAATGTATATTAGTAATACATGAATACATTCTGATTCTGGCCATGCATAAACATATAAAGCAAACCATGAAAGTTTTCCTTCAACTTTTCCTGCTCCAATTCTGTTCCCCAGAGGTAATCTCTGTCATTATTTTGGGGTACATATTTCCAAGCCCCCTTTTCTGTGCATGTATACCACATATTTAGATATTACATAGGTATCTTATTTTTAACATAAATGGCATCATATTATATATGCTATTCTGTAACCTGCTTTTTTTTCACCAATAATGTATCTTGGAGATCTTTATTTCAGTGTGTATAGGTCCACTTCATTCTTTTGAACAGACTTCATAGAATGAATGTACCACGATTCGTTCAAGCGTTCTTCTAAATGATAAGTATTTAAGCTGGTTCCAGTTTTTCACTATTATAATGTTGCTATGAATGCCCGTAGGATCCCATTTATATCCACCTGTGCAAGTGTTTCCAAAGATAAGAGTCCAAGAAAAAGGACTGCTGAGTCAAAAGCCCTGTCCACTTTTAATTTTGACAAATACTGCTAAATTAACTTTTATGAAAGCTCCATCCATTTATGCTCTCACCAACTGTATATTCAAAGGCCATAATAACCAATAGACTACTATCAATATTTTAAGCATTTTTTTGCCAATCTTGTTTTAATTTACAATTTCCCAACTTCTAGAGAGCTTGAGATCTCTTCAAATATTTACTGGACTTTTGCATTCTTTTCTGTGCAAATCTGTTTAAATTCTCTTCAATATTTTGAATACTTCATTTGTCTATTCCTTATTGATTCATGAGAACACTATATATATCCTGGATATTAATGCTGTCGTTTGTCTTTTGAATAGCTTACATAAATTTTTCTCAGTTTTATTTTTTTAACTCCATGACATATTTTGTTATATAGAAATCTTTAATCTTTATATATTTCTTTTTTCAGTTTTTGCTTAGAACAAGATTATTTTTCAATGATAGTTCCCAACTTTCGATTCTATAATATTAGAAGGTAAGCTTATATATACTGATGTATATATTATTTTGGTGTCAAAATTGTTTTCAAAGATAATTGGACAAATATGCATTATTATCGATCTTCTCTGTTGATTTCCTATCAGTGAAAATTTACTGTTCTTTGCATCCCTTTCTTCTAATTCCTCTATGGGACACTCCTGATGGTTTAGCTACTCTAGCACAGAACAAGCCGGTGTACCGATGAACCAACCTGTCAGTGGTTAAAAGAGGTTCTCTTGTTTGTTCCTCAGCAGTGATGGCAGCTCCTGACCTCCAAGCAATGAGTCTGGTTCTCTGACATTTTGTTTTCATAGGTAGAAAACACAAACTTTCATCTTGCCAAAGACTGTTTTCTCCCTTCCTTCCTCCCATTCATCCATCCTACCGTCCTTCTCTTCCTTTCTTTTGGATTTTTCCCTTCCCTTTTTGCCTTCTTTTCTCTCTCTCATGTACACATTTACTGAGCATCCACAGCATGTTAGGAGCTGTCCCAAATGCTCTGGGGACACAACAATGAACAGAGCAGCCAAGCCCCGACTTCCATGCAGCTCATTTTCCATATTCGTGCTGTTCATTTCAACAGACGCTGCAGAGCTCACACTTACATACAACCCAGGGGCGGTAAAGGGCATGGATTTGAGAATTGGGAGACATAGATATAGATCCTAGCTCTTCCTCTTACCTGTGTGACTTGGTCAAGTTGCTTCTTCTCTTCCTGAGTCTCAGTTTCCTCCTCTATAAAACAGATTAACTGCATCTACCACATAAGATTGCCATAAGGATTGACTGGATAAAGTGTATCAAGAGTTTAACTCCATGCTAAAATTTAATAAATACAATTAGTAAGTGGCAGGCACTGCTCATATTATTTCCCTGTATCCTCACAACAATCTGCAGCTGGTGGCTGATTGAAAATGATCCACTCCCATTTTGCAGATAAAGGAACTAAGGCTTGGTGCAATCGCAGCCACGAGACCAGGTCTCCCAGGTCCTGGGGAGAGAGCTGTGTTTGCCTTTTCTGGTTTGCCCAGACCAAACTTGGAGTTCTGTTGTATCTGTGCACCACCTGTGCTTCTGTGTACTCAGTACTTTCTTTAAGTTGACTTATCTTTAAACTTTAATATGAGTAAATAACCATAATATCTGTGTAAAATATGATTTTGAAATACTGGTTATGGTTTACCTCATACACATCAAAAGAAATACTCAACTGTGAACATTTTAGAACAGGAACATGAGCCCCACCTAGAAACATCTCGTGTGATAATGATGATCTCTGGCCTCCATGTGGAGAAAGACGTCTCTGAACCACTCAGCCCTTATACTATATAATGATGTCTCAAGATCCACACCTAAACCAAAATGCCGTGACTGGGGTGGAATTTCTTTTAGCTCATGAAGAACTGATGCTTCAGTCCTGCAGTTTCAGTGGAAGCAGCCTATTGGCCATCCCAACTCCAATTTTGTGAAGTGGCAGGGCAACCCGAGTTATCCAGTGGTCCCTGACATCAACAAATACAATGAAGCTAGTTCAGTTTAATTTAAATTGCAGTTTACACATAAATATCTCGACCAAGTGTGAAAGAGAGAGAAGCCGCGTGTAGACTCTAATAGGGTTGGCACTGAGAACCCCTGGAACTATTGGCGTCATTGGTTGTAGCCAATGAGTCTGAAGGAATTAGTGCTGGTCAGGCCACAGTGGGAATATTTTGTCCAGTTCTAAATAGCACAGTCATAGGGACACTGCTCTCCTTAGGAGATGAGAGGGGAGTAATGAATGTGGCTAAGGAAGGGGAGGAAAAAAAAACCTGTGTCCTGTGAGGCAGGGGTGTCCAATCTTTTGGCTTCCCCAGGCCACATTGGAAGAATTGTTTTGAGCCACACATAAAGTACACTAACATTGATGATAGCTGATGAGCTAAAAAAAAAATGGCAAGAAGAATCTCATAATGTTTTAAGAAAGTTTACAAATTTGTGTTGGGCCACATTCAAAGCTGCCCTGGGGCTGCATGCAGCCTGTGGGCTGCAGGTTGGACAAGCTTGCTGTAAGGAATGCCTTGAGGCAATATTGGAAGGGGTCTTAGACCTGATACTCTGGGATGTTCCAGGTGGCCGGCAAGGACTTAATTCAGCTCTCAATTAGGGATGGTTAGAAGCAGGGCTCCTCTTTCTTCCCACAGCACTCTGGGCTTCCCTCTATCACTGTATTTTCCATGCTCGATTACATCTCCCAAAGTGCTTATTCATATTTTTCAATGACTATTTATTGAGGACCTACTGTGTGCTATTCCTCATGTTATGCTCTAGAAATACAGAGGTAAACAGGAAAAAAGGAGACATGGTCCCTGTGGACTGTAAAGAAGATGGTCTCGTAGGCCTTCTAGTATGCCTCATCCACAGTGAATAGATCACTATTATATAACATATGGTATATAATTTCCCATAATATATAATATATCCCATAATATATAGTATGTTATATCCCATAATACATAGTATATTATATCCTATATATCATATATGATATACAATGAAGCATGTTTAAAATGTCACAAAGCCCTATATCAAGATCTTAAATCATATTATCTTTCTTCATAATAACCCAAAGACGTAAGTACCATTATTAATCCCTGTTTTACAGATGAGAAAATTGAGGTTCAGAGAAATTAACCTACTTGCTGATCACACAGCTAGCAAGCGACAGAGGTAGGATTTAAACCTCCTTCTGAAGCAATTGTTTAATAAATGGATTGTTGAAATTAAAAGAGCCTACTGTGGAAAACATGGACTAAGCAGTGTATGGGCTACCATGGAAGGCTGTGAGCCCTTCACCCACCCTGAGAAGCAGAGGCTGGATGAGATGTTTCAGACATGCTAGAATTGTAAGTCATTGGCTAGAAGAATTCGAAGACTCTTCCCTTTTCACATCCCTCAAATTTAGGGTTAATTTCCAGAAGATGTGGCCTTCTGCTCTCTCAGGGTGCTGCTGCTGGGTATGTAGACCATCCCTGAGAAAGAAACTTCCAGGGCTGCTGCATGGCATAGAATCAGCCCCCAAGAGGCATTTTCTTCTAACTTCAGGGAGAAGCAGCAGATGCTGGAGGAAAGAAAAGAAATTTAAGCCCAAGAGAACTTGAAAGGCCAGGATTGAATTTTTCTTTTACTTATCACATTCAAAGTCCCCTTTCTCTTCCTGCCTCTGCTCCAATGGGCTTTTGAGGGAAGGACGTTCTGCCTTTTCATGCCCAACTGGACTGATTAGAAAGCTTTGCAAACCTGGAATGCGAACGTGGCTGCAGACAGTGGGAAGAGAAATCTTTTAATTCCCCCTCTTGCTTTCCCCCTGGCAGCATGACAGGCCCTGTAAGAGTCCTTGCTGAGGTAATGACATGGAGCATAATTAAAGAATAATTAAAACACTGGGGATCATTTTGTCACCTCTGCCTGTTAATTCCCTGGAGCCGAGTCGGGGTCCTGCCCTGCCTTGTGAGCGAGCAGCGCTGCTTCTGAGCGTGTAGCTGGGGAGACAGGAGGTCACCTGAGCACACAGGGCCTGTCCAGCTGCACACTCTGCAGCTTCATGCAGGCCCCGACAGGCCCTTCTGGTGGCCTGGGAGGTGGCAGACCTCAGAGAAAGAAATGCAACTCCACCGGGCCAGGCTCTTCAAATGAACCTATCTTCTTATTCAGATTAACTCATTTCTCCATCCACTTATGTAAAACCCAGTTACTGCGCCAGGTATGTGTACAAAATGAGCCCATCAAATATTTGTTTAAAAAATAACAAGAACAACTTGTGTTTCCATGGAGAAGGCTTCTATGCTTTGAAACTTGATCCTTGACTTAAATCTGACTTGAGACCTTCATTCAATGCTTCTCCTACCCATTCCCCCTGCCATCACCACTTTCAGCTGTGTTTGAGCTTCCTCATTCTTTATCAAGGAGCTATGTTCCTGAATACATATAGCAAAAAAAAAAAAAAAAAAAAAAAAAAAAAACTCAAAGTGTGAGCTGGAGCTGCTGCTGTGTGTCATTGGGCACATTAGGAAAATGTGTCTCTGCCTTTATTTGCAGGAAGCCCTGTGCCAAGATGGATGGCTTGGCATACAGAGGAGGTGTGGGACTTCAGCCTTAACCCCCTTTTAGCTGACACCCTTGTCCAGGGGTGGCCAGCCATTGAGCCTGGGAGTTGAATCATCAAAAGCCCTGATTCTACAACAAATGTGTGCAAGAAAACTGAATGAGGATAAGGCCTGAGGCCCCATATTCTCCATTAAGAACTAGACTGGGTTCTCACATTGGTGATATAAGCTTAGAGATTCCTACGAAGGTAATTCAATGCAATGTTTTTCAAACTAGGCTTTGAGGACCCTTTATATTGCAAAGAGGAATCTCAGAGGCTGGTATAAGGATGAGATAGGAGGTCAAGAACATATCTTTTTAATCGGACAGCTCAATCTTTATATTCAGCACGACATTGGACTCTGGCATGAAATTGTGTTTAAAAAGTGACAGAGGCATGGGATCCTGAGGCTAGAGAAATGGATTGAAAGCAATTAGTCTGTGCTTCAGATCAAGGGCTCAAGTCAACGGGAATGTTGTGCATGTGAGTTATTCGTGTTTGGGGAAGGCTTGTCTGTCCTTATTGCTTCTATTGAATCAGGCACAGAGCAGGAGATTGTTCACTATTGCACTTGCTGGTCATAATAGTCAGCCCTAGGTTTCCAGGTGTTTCTAGGTGTTTCCAGATAGGAAAGAAGGGAGGTTTCTGGATGCCCCAAGTGTTTTATCCAGCCCAAGGTGGTCTTAGGATTTTGATTTTATGTAGCAGCTGGCCCCTCATCTGGTGTTCATCCAGTGGACCTCGTCATGAGTAAGAAGGAGGAGGGTGGGAGGGTCACACTAATACCATCCTCTGAATCAGGGATGGACTGACTCTACTGCTTGTTACTGCTGTGTGAGATGTACTGCCCATTCCAGCCAATAAAAGTTAATCAACGTTAACTATCCCAATGGCTGGAAAGTGGCACTCCCTGCATATTTGCTTGTCTTCAGATGGCAAGTGTCCCAGAACAAATGGATTGCTGAAGGCAGTCAAAAGTAAAGGAAGGGTCCTGGGTCACTCCTGGGGTGATGAAGCTTCCCATGGAGCCAGCAGGGCAACTCAATTGGGCTCTGTTTTCATAGACAATTGAATTGCACTCCCAGTTCTGAGCACCCAATCTAATTGCCTATGACATGTGACTGTCTTGAAAGAAGACCTAGGGTCTGGTAGGGTGACCTCCCTGCCCCTGCTGCCCCTGCTGAGCCTCAGGACATCCATCTTAGCCTTAATCATTTAGCCTATGAATAGTCTCTTGGGGAAAAGTCTGATGAGAGTCTGGGAGATGAAAGCTGACTTGTGGCTCAAGCCATGTGCCTCTGTACAGATTGTCCTGTGCTGAAGCCATCTTGGAGCTTAACCCAGGTGTATCCAGTGCTATCTGATTTGCACCTGAGAAAAATCACAATAATGTCTTACTTATTTAATGATTGCTCAGGTGTCTATGACACCTTTAGACTTATTTTCTTATGAAATCTTGAATATGGAGAAGCTTATTTTGCATAGTTTGAGGTTATCATAGGCCAGGACAAAAACATAGAAAAGGGAGAAAAAGAAGGGAAGAAGAAGGCAATGAGTCAGCGGACATGACTTTGTGACCCCTAAGTATATGTTTCCTGGTCTCTACTATAAATAATAATAATAATATTAGTAAACTAATGTCACAACTATTATTTATTGAGTGTTTACTGTTAAGATATTTTGCAGGATGCTTTAAAAACATTCTCTTGATTAATCTCATTTATTCATTCAACAAGCTTTGAATCTATCACATTCTGACTACTATGCTAGAGTCTGGGTTTAATAGTGTGTAACAATAGCCACAGTTCTACCTTCATGAAGGTCACACTCCTGTGAGGGAAAATGATGATCAAATGATTCCTAAAAAAAACAAGTAAAATTGCAAATAATGAAAAATTTCTTAAAAGGGGGGACAAGATAGAAGTGGTACCTCAAGAGGGGATTTCACCCAATCATGAGATTTTAGAAAGTTTCCCCAAGGAGTATAATTGAGCTGGGATTCAAATGATGAAATGGACGATAACTAGAGAAGATGGTAAGCACTTACTGGTTTGTGAACACACGGCTTAGTAAGCAACAGCTGGGTAGATACAGAGGTACTGAAAAAGGCATGGGGTGAGACACACTGAATATGCTGAGGATTCAGAAGAGGGGGCATCCTCTTCCAGATGGAAGGACTAGGGAGTTCTCTTGCTGAAGGAGGCATTGAAAAGGGCCTTGATTGCAGTAAGAGGGAGGGTCTGCCCTTGCTTGAAGCTGAGGTCTGGCCCTGGACGCTACAGTGTGTTGGTGGGTGAGAAAGTCTATGTGGTGACTTCAGGGGGCTGTAAGAACACTGAGTTTCTGAGCACGGCAGATGTGGCTGTCCATCACCGATAGCAAGGATACCAGAGCAGTCGGTGCCTACTTGGCAGTCTTGGCACATGTCACCCGAAGACATCTGTCTGCTTCTGTTCCCATCCCAAATGTCACTCTGCTCGAGGTGGCCTTACCTTCTGCCAGGGAACACTGAGGAGGGAGCAGGGGCCAGCTTCCCTTTGACTTCAGCCTAGAACACTGTCCATATTAATTTAATTAGCATTTGTGTAATCATAACTTTATAATTTCCAAGTCTAATTTATTTTAATTTTATGTATGCTGATTTAATGATCAAAGGATTTGTTGATACTTTTGTTTTCATTCAAAACATGATGTATTTATCATCCATTTAAACCTATAATTCCCACCCCTCTCCAAAAAGACCTCCTTGGAGTGTAAAGAGATGTGGCAGATTGGGATGGTTCATCTCATTTATAATTTCCCTGATAGGTTTTTCTTTTGTTTTGTTTGTAAGTTATCAAAGAGAATCCATTGTCATCAGGGCAGTTGTAAAAATGGATGAGTTTGCTGTGAGCTTTTCTACCTCACTCAGTTTTGAAGTGAGTTTCAGAATAGATTTCAGATATTAAGGTTTTAGGCTCCTAATGTAGTCAGAGACATGGAAGCAGGATAATGTCATTATTAAGAGCACAGTCTTTGAAATCAAGCAGCCCAAGTTTAACAATGGAGACAGGGAATGGTGGAAAGGTGGGTGGGTGGGAGGAGGGCGAGGGATAAAAAGTTATTTAATGGATACAAGGCACATTATTTGGGTGATGGTTACACTAAATCCCAGACTTCACCACTAGGCAATATATCCATGTAACAAAACTGCACTTGGACTCCTTAACCCATTTCCCATTTACAAAGCGTAGCTCACATCAGTGCACTTTTCTCCAGGCAAACAATAAATGGATTAAATTTATACAAATATATATTTGTTCCTTAATTGTACGACCTTCGGCAGGTTAAAGAATCTCAGTGAATCCTGTTTTTTTTTTTTTTTCACCCATTGTTTTCTTCATCCATAGAATGTGGACAATCATGGGACCTAACTGACTTGTTTGGCATTTGCCGATGCATTTGTTATGCCTTGAATGCTCTAGGGAAAGAAATAAAATAGAGGTAAATAAAGATTCAGTCAACATTCACTCAACATTAATGAGTGGCTACTGTCTTTCTATTCAGTTTTATACATCCTTACTTTGCAGTAAATTTGTGGCAGGCATGAAACCAGATGCAAGAGATACTACAAATAAGTAGGACACACACATTGCTCTCACTCTCAGTCCAGAGGGAAGACCAATACACACACACGTAGTAGCCACACGATGAGCCAAGTGCAGTGATGGAGTCCAAGGTTTGCACTGTGTCCTAAAGGAGTTCAAGGAAGCTGTAACACTGAGTGGGATGAGGCATTGAGGAAGGCTTTGGGGTAGCATTTACCCCAAAATGCTAGAGAGTAGGAATTGCTATTCCATATAGAACAGAGAGCAAGTGCAAAGATTAGCTCAGCACTGGTGTGCTTCTGGAAAGGAAAGTGCTCAGAAACCTTCGGCCTCCCAGATCCTTAGCAACTGCCAAAGGGCAGACTGTGCCAAATCTGCCTATTGGAGGTGTTTGCTCTTGGCTTAGAGAGTTGGTTCAAGATTCCCCATGACAATAGATGTCACACTCAATTCCTAAAGTCCTTGTCCTTATTGATTTCCCATCCATCCAGAGGCAAGTATACTCATAGAGATTTACAGTGAACAATAGTGACAGCCTGGGGAAGCTTCCCACAGGAGCTGGACCATTTCCAAAATGTCGCTTGTTCCTTCCTTCACAAGATGGTTTTTCTGAGACATCTTGGACTAGTCTCTAAGAGTCTCATATCAGTCAGGGTATGAGCAGTTTATATTAGGTAAATTAAAATATTTTGATTCTCTGCATGATTTTAACAATTACCTATGTTTTTCTTGATAATCAGTGTATATTTATTAGCAGGTTCAGTCACATCATAGAATTCCAGCCTTGACCAGGGACCCAGAGAAGTACAAGTGGACTGTTCCTTCCTGCACTGCGTGCACTATTCTTCCTCTCTCAGGTGCTTCTTCACCCAACTCTTCCATCCCCAGTGCTTTCCTTGCCATGCTATACGGTCATCCTTTTGATGATGCCAGGATCAAGAGATTGCCAACAAATTCTAAAGAATGACAACATAAAGTATTGTTAGCGATATGGGGTAACATGTACCCTCCTATAATGCCAATGGAAGTAAAATTGGTAAAACCCCAGGGGGAATGATTTAGCTGTATGTATCAAATGCCATAATCTGTAATTCCATGTGACAAGGTAGTACCACTTCTAGGAGTGTCTCTTAAATAAAACTTTAGCTGCAAGATTTAAACTTTATCTTAATTTTAACTTAAGTATTTATCTTAGGCAGGGTGTGGTGTCTCACACCAGTAATCTCAGCACTTTGGGAGGCTGAGGCAGGTAGATCACTTGAGCTCAGGAGTTTGAGACCAGCTTGGGCAACATGGTGAAAGCCCATCTCTACAAAATAATATACAAATTATCCAGGTGTGGTGGCATGCACCTGTAGTCCTAGCTGCTTACAGGGGCTGAGGTGGCAGGATTGTTTGAACCTGGGAGGTCAAGGCTGCAGTGAGCCAAGATCACACCACTGCACTCCAGCCTGGGCAACAGAGCAAGACCCTGTGTCAAAAATAGATAGATAGATAGATAGATAGATAGATAGATAGATAGATAGATAGATAATTTAAAGATTTGCATATCTATTTAACTACAGATAGGATCTGGCCTCATTGATTATAATAAAAAAATTAAAGAAGAGGCTCCCATCTGTTAGCATGGATTATAAATTATGATATAGCAAAAAGGAAAATATTGGCCTATATTACTGAATAATTTTTTCATTACATTGAAAAAAAGTGCATGTCATACTGGTAAGTAACAAAAGCAGGTAATAAAACTCTATGCCAAATGTGATATTATTCCAATTTTTAAAAAAGAAATAGAACTTTCTTACTCTTTATAATAGATTTAGATAAAATATACAGAAGATATGTTAGTACTTTTTTCTTTCTTCTCTATGATTTTTGAGATGTCTTTTTTGACAAGCAAATATAAATTTTAATACCAGAAGAAAATAAGATGATTTCCTCTGAAAAAAAGTGCGTGCTCACCTCTGGTCAAATTTGGCATTGCTCTTCCTGAGTGCTCTAGAAACCATCTTTATCATTACTTGTTGTCAGCACAGAGTCGGGACTTCAGATACATCTTCAGAATTCTAAGTGGATGGCCTCCTCTGGGGAGTGACCAGGCTTTTCCCCAGGAAATGTGGAAATAATTCCCTTCTCTCTACTATTGGGGAGGCAGGTACTTAGTAGACCCTTGAGAAACTGGACTTGGGAGCTAGGAGTAATGGTTTTTATTCCTCCATTTGTTCTAGGCATATTTTTCAAGTCTAAAAGATGACCTTATATTCTGATCATTCGACATCAATTTTTAACATATGCATATATTGTCTGATAACTGGCATGTGGCTTCTTGAGATTTAAATAAATTATTGTTCTGCTATAATTCCTTTGCAGTTGCCCAAATCTAGATTTTAATATCTTCAACACGCAGGTAGAATGAGAAAATCTCTTTAAAGAGGCAGCCACTGCTTCTTCCTGCTGCAATTCATTTTGTAGCCCAGAGCTTAATCTAATCTTCCTTCCACATGATCCATTGAACTTTCAAAACTTCAGATCTGAATTAGAAAAGGAATTATAAGAACAGTCATATGTTCAGCTCTTATTAGGCTTTGTTGTAATCTCTTTATGCTGGAAGAAAGAAGAGGCAAGGCTTTTCTTATGTAGCTGTTGTTCCTCTGTAATATCCTCTCTTGTGGGTTCATAATTAAGGCAAAAACATGCATTAATAAGCATTTTTCTACCAATTTATAACTCACCAGGTGCTTTTGCACTCATTACCTCATCTGATCCTTATAATCACTGTGAGTATGATATCATCATTACTGCCTTTCTATAGTCAAAGAAATTAAAGCAGAGAAAGGTTATCTGCTCAAGTATAGTAACAGGGTTCATTTGGTTGCAAAGCCAGAAGCACAAATCCAACTACATTAAGGAAAAATGGGAATTTATTAACTTGTATAACTATAATGTCCAATGATAGTACCAACTTCAGGCACAGATGGATCCAGGTGCTCCAATGATATTGTCACACTCACCACTACCTCTGGACTCTGGTCTGTGTTGGCTTTTTCCCTAGTAGATTCTTCCCAAATAGTGTCTAGATGGCCCCTATAGCTCCAGGCTATGTCCTACCGGTTTAACAACCCCAAAAGAAAAACATCTTCTATTTCCCAATTATTTTACCCAAATTCCCAAGACTGGCCATTAGTTGGTCCTGTCTGCTTCTTTTGCCCACTGCGCCTGTCACTAGGGAATGGAATGTTCTGATTAGCAGGCTTTGGGATAGAGTGAGGTCAGCCCTACCACATGATCTGAACTGAGAGTAGGGGAATGGGGTTATTTAAAGTGAAACATGGTGCTGTTTGCAGAAGGAAACACAAACAGGAGACAGATGGGAGTGCCAGCTCTCTGCTGTACCAAGTCAGGTGGCTAATAAGCAGGAGGCAAGGCGGCAACCCATTTGCTGATGCTCCCCATGGAATGCTGGAATATGACATCCAAACTCTAGGAGTCTTTGCAGGAAATCCGAAGAAAGACTAGAAACCACAGGTTCCGCAGAGATTCTCAAACCATGCTCTCTGATCCCCAACGCTTAGCGTTTTGACACTAGACTATTTGGATTAAACATTACCCTCAGGATTAATATATACATATACACACATATATATAATGACTTATTTACATGATCACTTTCCAAATACATATGTATAGCTATGATTAGTAAAATATAAATTCATTTTGAAACATCACTAAATTCACAGTGATTTTTGGTCCTTATGTACATGTTTAATATGTATTAAAAGGTTATTATGCTCTGTGCAGTGTTTTCAGAAAGTTTTCCACATTAAAAGGGTGTTCTTAAACACAAATTACTTAGGAAGTCTTGGAATATTGAAAGACCTCCAGGACAAGGGTTCGAAGCCCATCTCTGCCACGACTTCTAGTGACCAAATCTTTCTTGGACTTCAGTTTCCTGACCTGTGCTATGTGGATAGACTGTCGTGCCCACAAAGCTTGTAGTGAGGTTCATGTGTGGGAATGTCATTGGAACTCTTAAGAAATATATTTTTAAACTTATAAAATATCATTGATATTTTATTTTTTCTTTACTCTGGGCTCAAGGACGTTGCTCTTAATGTGTTCTATAAACCACTAATGGCCCATGATGCAAAATGTGCTTGTCTATTTCTAATATAATTGTGCAGATCAATGAAGGTCTGTCCTTCTCTACGATGAGCAGCAGGCTTATAGATTTTTTTTAAAGATATCCTTCTTCAAGGGTATATATTCCAGAAAGCATATTTTTATCTTTCTTATGCCTCAAATACACTAGAGACTGTAGAAAATACTCAACCATTCAAAATTTGTTTAATTTTCTACTGAAGTCTAACATAGAGAAAAGTACATGTATTCAAAATACACTTTAGATAAATCTTTTAAAACTTAACATACTGGTGGCCAGGCGCAGTGGCTCATGCCTGTAATCCCAGCACTTTGGGAGGCTGAGGCGAGCGGATCACGAGGTCAGGAGTTCAAGACCAGCCTGGGCAACAGGGTGAAACCCCGTCTCTACTAAAAATACAAAAATTAGCTAGGTGTGGTGGTGTGTGCCTGTAATCCCAGCTACTCAGGAGGTGGAGGCAGGAGAATTCTTCGAACCCGGGAGGTGGAGGGTGTGGTGAGCCAAGATCACGCCACTGCATTCCAGCCTGGGCAACAGAGCAAGACTCCGTCTCAAAAAAAAAAAAACAAAAAACTTAACATACTGGTACAACCGCACCCAGATCAATAAAGAGAACATTAACAGTTCTCCATAAGCATACTTTAGGGCCCCTTTTCAGTTCCTACCCTCACCCAAAGACAACCATTACCCTGACCTCTAACAGCATAATTATGTTTTACCTGTTTTTTAAAAAATACACATTAATGAACTCATCTTGTATCTGGTGTCTCTCTATATATATTGCATTTGAAAGATTCATCCATTTTGTTGTGTAGAGTGACAGATTATTCATTGTAATTTAGTATTCCAATGTATGTGTGTACGTATATATCACAATGTATTTATCCTATTCATGGGTATTCATCTGGGGCTGTTCCAAATAGTGCTACTATTGACATTCTCTATAGGTCTTCGGGTGAACCCATGTGTGGAATTCTATTGAGTCCCAGAGAATAGAGGAGTTCAGCTTTAGTAGATACTGCTAAAAGTTTTCCAATGCAGTTGCACTGATTTACACTCCACCAGTAGTGTAAGAAAATTTCTTTCTCCATGGGCTTGCTGATATATGGTATGTTCTGCCTTTTAAGTTTCAGCCCTTCTAGTGTATTTGTATTGTTTTAATTTACAATGTGCATTGCTTTAATTTGCATTTCCATGATAAAAAATGAAGTTGCAGCAACTTTTCATATGTTTATTGGCTATTTGGACATCCTCTTTGGTAGGCACTTACCTGTTCAAGTAATTTGCTTATTTTTTTGAGTTTCTATGTTCTTTTTTTTTTTTTTGAGATGGAGTCTCACGTTGTTGCCCAGGCTGGAGTGCAGTGGTGCAACCTTGGCTCACTGCAACCTCCACCTTGCGAATTCAAGCGATTCTCCTGCCTCAGCCTCCCAAGTAGCTTGGATTACAGGTGCATGCCACCACACCCGGCTAATTTTTTGTATTTTAGTGGAGACGGGGTTTCACCATGTTGCCCAGGCTGGTCTCAAACTCCTGAGCTCAGGCAATCCACCCACCTTGGCCTCCCAAAATGTTAGGATTACAGGCATGAGCCACTGTGCCCAGCCTATCTTCTTCTTAGTAGTTTATGAGAAGCAGTCAACCATTTGCTGTGACTATTTTATTGATGAAGAAATTATTTTAAGTTTCTGTATTTTAAAAATATATAAAATCCATTAAATGTCTTCCAACAACCATGTAATTTTATCAATTTTCAATTCCTTGAACAGAGCATCTATTTAGCACCTTATCTTTAAAGGACCTTAACTATTAGATATACAATGATGAATAAAACAAACATGGCCCCTATCCACATGGCAGTTACCATTAGACAATAAACAAATATATACATAATTGAAAACTACGGCCAATTACAAAAGTTCCATGAAGGATTCAAACAGAGTGGAAAGATTGAACAGACGGCATCTTTTCAGTTCCAAAGACTTGTCTGCCCTTTAATCTGAGACCTGAAGGCCAAGAAAGATTCAATGCAAAAGGGAGGATGGATGCTTCAGGAAGATAGAATATCATGTGCTATTCCCCAAGGTGGGAAAACATTTTTTATCCTCTAAAACTTGAAAGGAGGTGGTGTATTTAGAGCAGGGGTTGGCAAACTTTTTCTGTAAAGGGCCAAATAAGAAATATTTTAAGCCTTGCAGGCCAGATGGTCTCTGTTGCAGCCCAACTACTTAACTCCGCTGTCATAGCATGAAAGCAGCTATAGACAATATGTAAACAAATAGGCATGGCTGTGTTCCAGTAAAACTTTATTTACAAAACAGGCTGTGGGCCAAATTTGGTCCATGTATCATAATTTGCCAATACCCAGTCTGGATCATAGAGAATAATGTCAGCCTTCTGACTGAACCACCTCAATAGGCTCCCTTCCAGCTTCCACTCTTACTCCTCTGTATAGTTCCCAGAGCAAACGTTTTAAAGTCCTCACTAAGATAATGATGCCTTCTCTGATTAAAGTTTTCCAGAAGCTTCCTGTTGAACATAGACTAAAATCTAAAGCTGAGATGACTCAGGCTAGGTGATGCAAAATTTCTGAGCCATTGGGAATAGCCTGGATTTCAGAGCGAGACAACGAACTTTCCTTTCTATCTTTATGCTTGAGACCTGGTGATGGCTGTGGGCAGGGAAGAAAAGGAGGGAATATGAGAATGGTCACCAGCTGCTCTTCAGCTAAAAATAATCTCTTCCTTTTCTGAAAACTCATACCTGCCTTACTTTGTGCACTTATCATCTACCCTCGGTTATATACTAATACACAAAACTCTCTACTTGCTCTTTTGTTTGATCTATCCTAGCATCCATGGTCTAGTAGCAGATGTGTGAGATTTGATGAATGGATAAATATTAATTATACTCTACTGCTTGACTCATAGTAAATAGGTGAATAAGTTAATTAATAAATTAGATTTTAGAGAAGAAAGCACTACCAAAGAAGATTCTGGAGTTTTAGTTTAGGAATAGATGTGTCATAACCGGAAATTGGGGAAGTTAGTGGAAGGTCCTGATTTGTCAGGTCACAGACAGGATGAGTCTCTAGTATGGAGCATCAGCAGTGCCCAGGAGATGGGTAAAATGAGTTCTGGAGCTTGGAGGAGAGAGCTGGGTTGGACCTAGAGATAATGAATAAGGGTAAAGAGTTAAAGGTAAAATGGATTAGATGCTTAGATAGAGAGATAAACATGGTCCAAGGACAAAAAGTATGTTGAGAGGAAGGACAGGAAAAATAGAAAGCTTTCTATGAATGGCAAAATTGTATTTTTAGTAGAGATGGGGTTTCACCATGTTGGCCAGGCTGGTCTTGAACTCCTGACCTCAGGTGATCCACCCACCTCGGCCTCCCAAGGTGCTGGGATTACAGGTGTGAGCCACTGTGCCCAGCTGCAAAATTGAATACGTACAAGATTTCTAGATTTCCAAATAATAACATTACTCAATAGGAATGAAGGTCTGAAGAGCCCTCAAGGTCAATGCTATAGTTATGCATTGACTTTGGTATAAAGTTGTAATAGGGAGAAGGCATTAATCTAGACTCCTAGCAAGATATTTATTTTTTTAAATTGAAAATTAACCATCTCTTTTTCTCGCAATGTTATATTCTGAAAGAGCAAAAAATAACATATCCTTAAAAAACTAGATTTGGAATCAGATACAGCTTGGGTTCAAGTGCTGACCCTACCACTCACCAGCTATTTGACCTTGGGCAACTATCTTAACTGCTGTAAGTTTCAGTTTCTATATCCTTAAAGTGAAATGATAATAGTACTTTCTTCAGAAAATGGTTGTAAGGACTAAATTAGATGATGTATATAAAAGACCCTGTCACCTGCAGGACACAAAGAAATAGATGTTAGCAATTATGACTTTAAAAACATCTTCATCATCATGGCAGTGAGCTCTGTCTCTGGAAGTTCTTGATTACAGCAGACAAAACAGCATAAAGGTGTGTGCTATGCATTGAGCTGGGTAGCCTGGGCACTTAATCTAATCTCTCAATTTACCCACATGCAGATGGGGGAAATAATAGCACTTCCTTCCCTAGAATTAAAGAGTTAACACATTCAAGACTTTTAACATAGTGCTTCTCACACAAATAAGTTACCAATAAATATCATTTTGTAATTTCATCATTATCATTATTACTCTCATCGGGTATGTAGTGATTTTAAAGCAAGACATAATGCAAATTGTATTTAGTTTCTACTTGAGGTCACCTTGGAAATATATCAAAAGGATAATCATAAAATTCAGTATCCCAAGGTCAACAAATTTGCTTCTCATATCTGTTCTTAGAAGTCCATATTCTGTCCAAATCAAGGTAGCATTTGTAGGAAATGGTAGTGGATCTTTTGCCCCATGAAGGAGCTCCCTTGTCTCTGCCTCAGTTATCATCTCCTCCAACTGTGAAACCCGTTCTTATTCTCTTGCTCTCATCTCCTCCCCTCTCCTCCACCTCCAGCCTCATTCAGTGGAGAGAGCTGCCTTAGACTCTGTGGAAAGATTTGGACAATGACCCACAGGGCGAATGACCCACATAAAAAGCAGCAGGGAGCTTGCAGGGCATCAGAGGAGCAGAGCAGGACTCAAAGGCCCAGATGTAACACTGATTATTGAGGGGGCCACAGAAATGAGCCCCCAGCATTGACAGCATTATTATAAAAAATATATGTATCCTGGAGTGGGGAGGGCTTGAAAAAGATGATCTTAACAGAGGTGTAGACGAAGAATAGCAGAGGAGCAACCTGGAAAGATGTCATGAAAGAGAAATTCTCACATTCTGCCTGGGAGTGAACTGTGAAGCCAGTTCAGTAAATTGTACCACTGAGCCATCTCGACTGCAATGGCAAAGCTCACTAACAGCCCGGGCTCCCATCTGCCTCTGCTGCTTTCTGGCTGTGAGGCTTCTCTGTGCCTCAGTTTTCTCACATGCAAAATGGAAATCATAATAGGACCTGTGTCCTAGGATTATTAGTGGACTACATATATGTAAAGCACGTAGCAGAGAGCCTGGCACATGTGTTTGCTATCACTGTCATTGCCACCACTGCATCATTATTACAAGGTCCATGTCTGAAGTCAGTGGTGGCTTCAATTCCAGAAGAGGCAAATGGCAGTATGAAGAAGACTTGGGGAGACAGAACAGTATTGGCTTAAAGCAGGGGTGTTGGAGTCAGGAAGAGCTGTGCCCATACCCCACTTCTCAAACTTAGTTGGATGACCTTGGGCAAGTTATTTGCCACTCAAGGGTATGGTTTCCTCATCTAAAAACTGGGAACAGTAATCATACCCACCTCATGCTATTGAGAGGATTAAATGACATGAAGCATGAAAAGCACTTAGCGTAGTGCCTGTGCATACCAACTGATCCATAAATAATATACATTACTAAAATAGTGACCCAAAACATTATTCACAGCTGTAACTCAAGCTCTACATGGAGAGGCAGAGGTCTGGGGTTGAGCAGGATTCCTGGGAATCTAAGCCTGCAGAGTCAGATCCATAAGAGGCAAAACTTCAAAATGGCTGGTCCCACACTTGCCTGTCCTGCAAAAGGGTCTTGGCCTCCACTTTCTGGACTGTCAGAAAATCAGTAGATAAAATGAATGTCACTCTGATGGCTAATTATGAGGGCTACGTGGTTGCAAATTATTGCTAGACCAAGGGAGGGAGAGGAGAGGAGAGGAGAGAGCTGGGAACACACACTGAGCTTTCAGGGTCATGATAGTCCCTAGAGCCACCCAGGAGGAAGTGGTATTATTTAAGGAACATCTTAGTCACTATCTTTGGGGTAACTGTACCCACATACCCTAGTGACTCTCAGAAAATACTTTGCCTTCATTGCCGAACAAAAAAAGATTCATAAGGGAATTAATAAATAAGCCAAATAAAATTTTCGTCTGCCTTTTAATTATAGAAGAGTGATTGCTATGCTAATCATAATCAGCATCAAGGTCAAAAGTTTCCACCTCTCTGGAATGAACATTTAGAAAACAGATTAATTGGAATACCAATGCTATTTCTGAACTTCCAGCTCACATGGATTTGAAACAGAATGCTGTATCTTTTAAGTGTCTTTCAAGAGGAGCCATATAATGCTAATACATTAATTAAATAAATGTCACTCCATGAACCTGCTAATGCCCAGGGCAGAGGGGAACAATTAGGAGGCCCATGAATCGGTGTGATTGCTTAGATGGCTAAAGTAAAGGCTGGTAATTCATTGTTTAAGTAATATCTTGCTTTATCTCTGCCAACTGTCACTACAGGATGTGTTGAAAGTGTTTAGGTCTCTGGTTAATGTGGGTGATGAAATATAAATGCATTTGGAGAATACTAATTCATTTTGATTTCCTCTTGGGCATTGATGTCTACAATAAAAATAAAATATCCCTTTAATGTCTATCACTTTACCAAATTAAAGCCCTACCTCACACCATTTACAAAAATAGATTCCAATTCTAAAACAACAAAGTCTGTGTTATCCATACAATGGAATATGATTCAGACATAAAAAGAAATGAAGTAGTGATACATGCTACAACTTGAATTGACCTTGAAAGCATTATGATAGTGAAAAAAGACACAAAATGACACACCTATTGTATAATTTGATTGATATGTAATATCCAGTGTAAATAAATCCATAGAGATAAAAGATTAGTGGATGCCAAGGGCTGGGGTGAGGAAGGAATGAGGAATGACTGCTAATGGACACTGGGTCTCCTTTATATTGTAGCATTGCTGATAGTAGTAAAATAACTAGAAACAGCATGAATGCCCATCAGTTGGAGAATAGTTACATAAATCATCCTATCTGTACCTTGTAATATTATGTAACTATTAAAAAGAATATGTTAGAAACTTAGTTACTGGCCGGGTGCGATGGCTCATGCCTTTCCCAACACTTTGGGAGGCCAAGACTGGCAGATTACCTGAGGTCAGCAGTTTGAGAATAGCCTGGCCAACAGGGTGAAACCCCGTCTCTACTAAAAATACAAAAAAAATTAGCTGGGTGTGGTGGCATATGCCTGTAGTCCCAGCTACTCAGAAGGCTGAGGCAGGAGAATCACTTGAGCTCAGGAGGTGGAAGTTGCAGTGAGCTGAGATCATGCTACTGCATACCAGCCTGGGCAACAGAGTGAGACTCTATCTCAAAAAAAAAAAAAAAAAAAAAAAAAAGCCGGATGTAGTGGCACATACCTATAATCCTAACTACTTGGGAAGCTGAGGTGGAAGGATCACTTGAGCCCAGAAGATCAATGTTACAGTGAGCTATGATCACATTACTGCATTCCAGTCTGGGTGACAGTGTAAGACCCTGTCTCAAAAAAAAAAAAGAATTAAAATTAAAAATTAAATAAATAATAAAATTATATATGTGTGTGTGTGTATGTATGAAAGAAACATAGTTACCGATATGGAAACGTGACCATGTTACATTAAATTCAAAAGATGAAGAAAACACACCCAGTGGTTGATATTGTTTATTTCAAGGGGTTAGAATTGGTGTGTATCAGAGGGTGGCGGGGGGGTGTTGATTAATTTTTATTATACTTCTCTACTCTTTAAATTCATTTGGTGAATATCTATATCTCTCTCTATATATATATATATATATAGATTATTTTTTTCCCCAAGACGGAGTCTTGCTCTGTTGCCCAGGCTGGAGTGCCGTGGTGTGATCTCAGCTCACTGCAACCTCCACCTCCCGCGTTCAAGCAATTTTCTTGCCTCAGCATCCTGAATAGCTGAGATTTTAGGCACGGGCCACCACGCCCACCTAATTTTTGTATTTTTAGTAGAAATGAGGTTTCACCATGTTGTCCAGGCTGATTTTAAACTCCTGACCTTGTGATCCTCCTGCCTCAGCCTCCCAAAGTGCTGGGATTACAGGCGTGAGACACCACGCCTGGCCATATATTATTTTTGTAATTTAAAAAGGTTACTTCAAATTTAAATATATAAACAATAAGTCATTTATACATTCCATAATTATTTACATATTCTAGACACTGTTTAAGGGCCAATATCCACCTGTGATTACTTAGGATTTCTTTATAAAGTATAAAAATGGAAAATATTACATTTTACCTGGAATTTCTTCCTAGGCCATGAGAAAGAAAGGCTCAAATGTAAATGAAGAAACCGACTCTGAGAGATTTTCTGAGGTTTCAGAGATCACCTTGCCCCACACCTGAGCAGATGTTGAAGTCTCCACTTCCATATCCAGGATCTACTTGGATGCATTCCATCCAGGGGAGCTTCTTCCTTCTGTAGACAGCCTGTTTTGTATCCACATAGCTCTACTCTTCTGAAAATTCTTTCTTCCTATTGAGTCAGACCTCCCTGCCCAGGGGTCCCCATTGCAGAAGCAGCTTAGAACACAGGCTTTGCATTCAGGGAGACCTGGGCTTGTGCCCTGGTTCCATTACTTACCACATTGTGACCTTCTGCAGGTCCTTCACTGCTTTGTGCCTCCATGTCCTCATAGATAGAAGAGGGTCATATGTCTTCACGAGGTAGTCATGGGGATTAAAGTAGATCACATCTGCAAAATGCCTGGTAGACAGCTTGGCACATTGTAAGAATGCAGTCAATGGTGGCTGCTATGATTAGCTCTAAGGCCACAAGCAGAAGATTTCTTCTGTTTTTCCTAACACGTGGCACAAGACTAGTACTTTTCTATCCATTCGATAATTCACTCATTCATTTATTTATTCATCCATTCATCTATTCAATAAATATCCAAAGGCCTTACCATGGCCTATGAAGCCGTGCATAATCAGGCTACCCCCTCCACCCTCCATTTCCCCTAATCTCCCCAGTAACTCTATTACCTTGCCTTCTACCCTTGTCCCCTTCTTACTCATGCCCTTTTCTTCACAGCCTCCTCTGTGCCCACTGACTGGTATAAGTCAGTGATTGAATATTACTGACTTTACAAATGCACACTGTCTTCCTGGGTGTTCCTCAAACACATGGAGCACTTACCTGCCAGAGGGCCTTTGCTATTACTGTGTGTTCTTTCTGGAATATTCTTCTCACCATTCTCTCACATCATTCGGCTATCTGCTCACATGTTGCCCAACAAGAGAAGCTGTGCTAGACCACAGTGCTGGCTCTTACCATTCCCAATCCTCCCTGCTCTGCTTTATTTTTACTCAAAGCACTGCTGTTAATCTATTTCTTTATTGTCTGTTTCCTCCAATTAGAATGTCAGCCTCAAAGTAACAGAAACTCTTTTCTCTCCTTTGTATCCCCATTGTCTAGAGAATAACCTGACACATAGTAGGCTCTCCATAAGTAACTGGTGAATGTTTTAACCAACATATGCGAGCACTTACCATGAGCCAGGTGTGCTGATACAGAGGTGAACAAAAGCAGCACAGTGCTTTCTGCTTCAGTTATAACAGTCTTGTCCCAACACAGCATGGCTTTAACAAGCCAGCTAGCAGACTGTCATAGTAAATGTTGTTTATGTACAAGGTGTCTTTATGCTGAGGGTAATAAAACAGCCCTACGGCGCCAAAATCATCAAGTTGAGTGACTGATTAACTGTTAGACCATAAATAATTCGCATTGGCAAGAAATATTCTCACTTCAGTGTGTGGCAGTATATTGTCACTTCTCTGGATTCTGTCTGATACATTAGAATATTATAGACTAAAAAGCAATCCTAAAGGGACTGTGCCCTGGCAGTGTAAGTCTGAGACAAAGGAAGGAGGACCCTAAAACATAGGGGGCGTGGGGATGTGGCCATGGCCAAGTTCATGAGCTGCTTTCACTGTGCATTTGTAAAGGCAATAGCATTTGATCACTGTCGTACCTAACAGTGTCTGTATGAGTCCATTCTCGCATTGCTATAAGGAAATACCTGAGACTGGATAATTTATAAAGGAAAGAGCTTTAATTGGCTCGTGGTTCTGCAGGCTGTATAGGAAGCATAATGCAGGCATCTGCTCAGCTTCTTGGGAGGCCTCAGGAAACTTACAGTCATGGGAGAGGGTGAAGTGGGAGCTAGGCATCTCACAGGGTGGGAGCAGAAGAAAGAGAGAGAATGGGAGGCACTAAACACTTTTAAACAACTGTATCTGGTGAGAACTCACTCACTATCACCAGGCAACTGCCAAGGGGGATGGTGTTAAACCATTCAAGAGAAACTACTCCCATGATCCAATCATCCCCCACCAAGCCCTTTTTCCAACATTGGGAATTACAGTTGAACATGAGATTTGGGTGGGAACACAGACCTAAACTATGTCAGTGTGCACTGAGGAGGCTGTGGAGAAAAGGGCACTCACTGTGCCTGTCCTCAAGAACTAGAAAGTGGCTCTATGTTCTGACCTGCTGACACTTGTGGTTATATCTTGACATCAAGACTAATGGCCCAGCCAATGACTATTTGGTACAGTCAGCATTTTCAGGAGTTTGGAGTTGGGGGACAAGAGAAATCTGGATTTGAATCCAGGTTCTCCTGGTTTTTAGCTGTGTGACCTTGGGCAAGTTAGTTGACCTGAGACTCAGTTTCTACAACTCTAAAATGGGATTTTAAAAAGTTATGATTTCATTAATAAATATTAAACACAACATTGCATATAAACCATTTGGCAAAATCCCTGTCACATGGCAAGGGCCTAGTTATCACAGTTGTGTTTGTTCAAATGAGTCTTAACATCTAATTTAAGAATCCCCTCCAGATCCTAAATTGATGGTAGCTCAGATGTCATGTAAGACAAATACAAGACAAACACAAGACATACATGAGAATGTTTCCCTGACTTCCTAAAACAAGAAAAAAAAAGTGTTATTGAGATAGTTTCCAGGAATATACTTATGGGGTGAAGAATCCCTATGGAATAAATATGGTTCAGTGATATTACCAGTCATTATATACCAACCAATTAAATTATAGTTTCAACCATGCCAGTAGAGTAATTCACGGTAATGGATGGATATGCTACAGCAAGAGACCCAGCCTAGGAGTGGGGAAATTGGGCTCTAGCCCCATTCTGCCACTGTATAGCTTTGGGAGGTCCCTTACCCTCTGGAGCCTTGGTTTCTCAATTGTACATTAAAAACATATCATCCAGATGTTTCCATTTTAAGTATCCTTAGAACACTAAGCACCCAGACCCCATTTTATTAGATACGGCTCTGCCATCTAAATCCTTGTAACAAATACATCTACAGCATATAGTGTAATCATTGAGGATTTATATTAAAATCAGATGTAGCAAATGGCAGCAAGCGAGAAAGCTAGAATTTTCTAGTTCATCTCTTATCCACCTCTGGGGAATTGATAGTTATCTTAAAGGTACAATCATTTGAAAACTCCCGCATCTGTGTATGGGCACTGATTATGTTCCTATGTTTATACATAGAGTAAACAACGTAGGAACTACATAGATGATTCTTAAACTATATAGTATAAGATTTGCTTTTTATAGTTGATGATATAAATATGCATTTTGTCGCTCATGGGTATTTAAGGAATTTGGAATAGTATTTTGGCAATCTAAAATGTTTCTTTTATTTGAGAAACTAACCTCCCCATCCCTGCCTGGAAAGTAAAGGTGACAATAATGGCTATTTAAGACACTGAAAATCAAATTAGGTCACATCCCTGAAACCACCTGGCAAGCTGTGTCACAGGAACGTTCGTTGCTGAAATGGCCTGGGGGCAGATAGTAACACAGATATTTTGAAGTATCAGAACTGCACCCTGGATCTGCAGCTAGGATAGGAGAGTGGCCTGGATGGCTCTGACTATGAAACCCTGATGGAGGAGAGCTGTGAAGGGAGGGGCTGGTGTCCTGAACAGTAGAACTGGGAAAGGGAGGTGATGTGTGAACCCTGCTCTCAAGAACCTGCAGGGCTGGCCAAGCGGAAGGGGATTCTGTTTCTAGAGCTAGGTATTTGGAGATTGGGGGAGAGTGCTGTGGTTTGGGAGAACCTTCAAGAATCCAGTCCAAAACCTGGATGTGTGGCTCCAGGAATCTTGTACAAATGTCTCCCCATGATAACTTTATTTCCCCCTACCATGCAGAAACCCCATTTCGAATCACAGATCCGGGTCACATGCCAAGACGGCATCTTAGCCAGGGCCTCTATAGGTGGCTGTACCTCAGAGGGCCACTGAGGGCATTACCTGTCCATGCAGCAAAGACAGCCAGGCACTCAGGACCTGGACACATGGACACCACTCTGATGGGGTCAGTCCCCAGAGGGCTCTAGACAATGTCTTGGCAGCTTTTCTACTATGAGTTCAAATCCTGGCTCTACTTCTTTCTCACCCTGTTACATGGAGACGTGAGTCATAACATACAACAATGGTGGGAAAATGAGTTTTTCTGCATTTTGGAGAAAGCTAGAGGCAGAGATATCATTCAGCAACGAGGGTGAGGCTTCTCTGAGACTGTCTTCTTTTCAAGATCAAGCAGAGTCTGATATCTATAAACATTCCTGTAAACGGAGATTGTTATATGCTTTCTGAAATGGTATAAAAGTAATATAAGATACTTTAGGAAAGTGTATAAGAAAGTAATGTTATATTCTTCTGAAATGGTAAGCAAACTTCAGAGGGTCATAGCATAGCAAGAATTGAGCTCCTGAGATTAAGCAAGTCCTCATCATCTCTGGACAATATTATTGGCAGCTACATGTCGCTTTGGGCTTTGGGGTACACCTACTTCTCCTCCTTCCTAACGTATGTGTGTGTGTGTGTGCATGTGTGTGTGTGTGTGTGTATCTCTTCCTGTCTATCTACAGCCCAACAGAAACTCTGTACTGACTCCATGGGTTGGCGTGAAAATCAAATGAAGTCATGAATATAAAGCATTTAGCACAATCTCTGGAATATATTAAGTGTTTAATTAATGGAAGTTGTTGTCATTGTGGGTTTATCTGGTGATATTTGCCAGGAGGGGAGAATGAGTTGAAGGAGGACTGAGCAGCTCTATTAGGAGTCTGATTCCTCCCTCATTATCGAAAGCCTCTAAGTCAGGGAACACTGATACTTTGATGTCCACTTTGTCTAGAGTGAGGCTCAAGTTTCAAGGTTTTCTTCCTTTCCCTAACTTTATGGCCACTCTCAGGCCATAAAGATATCCAGCAGACCCTGGGTTTGTGGAAGACCTGAGCAGAGGCCCTCCCACCCCATCACACACATATATAGTCTCAAATAGAAAACCTCCTCTTCACGCTAGTACTGGCTCTACCCCACGTGCTTTACCACTTGTCACCTGTTTTCCAGAAATGGACATGTCTTTCCCCTCATCACGTGACTTCAGAGATTCCTTTTATACTTTTCAGTGTCTGCATGCTTGACACCAAATGTTGTCACCTCCTGCCATTATCTTTTAGTTGTACTGAAAAAGAAAAACCAGATCCAAGGCCCATGAGTTTCTTGCTAGCCTATCAGGATGCTCCCTCTTCTCCAACTGAACTGACAGTATCAAAGGTTTTGCCCTCGTCCATTTCCCGGGTAGGTCTCTGACAATAGTATCTTGTTCCCTGGCTACCACAATGAGAAGTGACAAGGACATTTTCCTGGCATTGCAGGTCATAGCTCAGCAGGAGCTGACATGGAGAACACACAGACCCCAGACAGGTCTCCCCGCTGGGTGACAGATACCAGGCCCATCAAACTCAGAAAATCTCTTCCTTTACTTCTCTTCTACATCAGTCAAGTCAAATTTAGTTATAAGCAACAGATTCCAAATCTGGCTGGCCTATGAAAAAGAGAAGTACTGCCTGGAAGAAGACAAAGACAGCTCACAGTATTGAGAAGGATGAAGAGCCTGGCCTCAGAAGGGACAGAATGGGACAGGTAGAGAGGTGTGTTAGCAGAAGGGCCACCACTGGGGTGTATCTGGCCCACACTGTACATGTTAAGATTCCCTGAAGATAGGCTGATGGGCCCAGTGAGGTCACAGGCCCACTGGAAAGTGGAATAATTCCCCAAAAGAAATCTAGGTATTGCCGCCAAAGAGGCAGTGAAGGTATAGGCAGAAAAGACGATGATGCTCACTGATAGGACAGCACCCAGCCCTCTCTGACATTCTCTGGAGCAGCTCAACCCACCCTCCAGATTGGGTTAACTGAGACTGGGGAAGGAACACTGTTCAGTGCTGCCATCCCCCACAGAAGGCAGAGGTGGTCCATGGGGGCCCTACCTGCCCATCCAGAACAATCTTTTGAGAGCTGTGTTCAAATGGCCATCTAATCAATTTCTTTTTTTTCTTTTTCTTTTTTTCCTTTTTTTTTTTTTTTTTGGGATGGAGTTTCGCTGTTGTTGCCCAGGCTGGAGTGCAGTGGCACGATTTCAGCTCACTGCAACCTCCGCCTCCTGGGTTCAAGCGATTCTCCTGCTTCAGCCTCCTGTGTAGCTGGGACTACAGGCACGCACCACCATGCCCGGCTAATTTTTGTATTTTCAGTAGAGACGGTTTCGCCATGTTGGTCAGGCTGGTCTTGCCGTCCTGACCTCAGGTGACCCACCCACCTCAGCCTCCGAAAGTGCTGGGATTATAGGCGTAAGCCACCGCGCCCGGCCCCCCATCTGATCAATTTCTGCCTGTTTCACCATCACTCGCACGAGCCCAGTTTTAGATATCTTGCCGTTTTTCATTTATTTCTATTTAACCTCAATCTCTTCAGCTGCAGAATTAAAACCTCCATATAAAGCATGATTTTCAGCGCAGGGTGGGTTAAGTGAAAGGAATCCCATGTTTAGGGTCCTACCTCGCACCTGAGCCCCAGTTTTCTGGTTTGTGAAGTGGTAATGGTCATTTCCTATAGCCCACCTACGACCTCACAGGGAAGGGGAGAGAATGAGTGTTCTTGAAGGTTCTCTACAAACTGTTGACTGGGATGTGTCTGTGCAGAGAAAATCTGATCCATCTCTAAGAACAACAGTAAACATGGTGGTGTTTCATCAAATGACAGGCCATCAGGGAAAGAGTGAGGGGACAAAGCAGTATTCAGGGTAAGTCACACATGCCTGAAAATTAAATTTCAAGAATGCTTGAGAGATGCAAGCAAAGGCTGGATAACAGAGGAGTAGAGGGCCACAGAAGAAGAAATTAATGTGACTAAAGAGCTATAGATATCAGATGTCTTCCATTTATTCATTTATTCACTGAATAAACTAAGCACCTGTTACTTAGCAGACATAGTGCTGAATACCGGGGACACAGAGATGAATAAAACATATCTCCCACGTTACAAGTCCTAATGGTTTAGGAGGAAATTTGGGCATTATGTCCAAAGCAAATATTTTTAGGGTTGTTAAAATAAAGGCAGTCATCTCAACGACTTTTTTAAGAAACTAGGGGAACAAAAAGAGGTGATGCATAGTATTGAGTTGCCTGCTGTCTTAGTCCACATGCCTTTCTGTCTGTAGACTGCAGAAGCAGGACCTGAGCTTGCTCTCTAGAGAAGGATCCCAGAGGGAATCTCATTCACTAGAAATTACCAAGTTCCTACAAAGTCAGAGGGAAGTCATTCCAACTATAGAAGCAGAATGAAAATTTGCATTTTCTTCTCTGTGACATGAAACAAAATCACCCTAACCTTTGGAATCTAGTGTAAAGTGAACACCTACATGCAGCATCTAGTTACAGTGCAGTAGATGATGTATAATGTATGAGCTAATGGCCTTTAATTAAACCAGTATTTTCTAGGTTTGGACTTTTTATTTATATATGTATGTATTTATTAATCTATTGAATGAAAGCAAATGGAAGCCCAAGCTAATCTTCTGCAAATCCCACCCTATTTTTAGTGGAGAGGACTCAAGTAAGAGTGATGATTTTAGTTTCCATGTTGTTAGGGAAACACTTGGGGTCATTACATATTTATCCACAGTTAACAACTGACAATCACTGTAATTGTTCAGCTATTTCATTTCAGTCATTTCATTTCTGAAAATGACTCGAGTTGCCTCTATAATTCTTTTGATTATGCCATTCTCTAAGAATGGAGATGATTGATTATTCTATTCTTTGACCAACTAAAACCATGACAAGCTCTGTCATATATGTGCCCTTATAATCTCAGGCCTAATGAAAAGTGTAATTAATCCAAGAGGGAATTTTCACAAGTGACTGTCTCAAGATTGATTTAGAAAACTGTTAAGAAGTTCGTATGTGTGTATGCATGTATCTATGCATGTATCTGTGTATGTGTATTTGTTTAATCAGAGAGATTTGGACCAGGTAAAGAATCTCTTGACAGTGTTAAACCATCCAATAAATTATAGCAAGCTGTCTTCTGCAGCTTCATGAGCGTGATATCAGCACATTGACAGTAGAATTGAGCCTATGGGATATGAATGTGATAACAGGACTACTAACAGTCAGATGCTTGTGATTGCAACATTTTAAATATTAATAGAATGTTTAATTACCTTTGGCTCTGTTCCTTTCTTAATCTCCCCTCTCCTAACCTTCAGTGTGGGAATATTATGACAAAATGAAGACTATTCCAGAGAAAATTTAAAAAAAAATAAAAATAAAAGCTGTTTTTTAAAAAAAACAACAAAGTAACACATTGATAGTCCAAGTTCAGTAATGACTTCTCTTTTTTTTATTTAAAGTTAGTTCACCTTGTTATATTTGACTATGATTTCATCACAAATAATCACCCCAGTTGGTGCTTTCTGTGTTCTCCAATCTATTGCAGCTGAAATCTCACTTAAAAATTTAAGCAAATGTGAAATTCCATCAACTTGAAGAGAGTGTAGTCTCATTTCACATTAATAAAATTTGGTTTTAATCAGCATCACAGAGGCCCTGATTTGCTAGTTTAGTCACTTTAAGTAGGCAGTGGAAGCCCAAGGATGCTTACCTAAAGCAAATCCAATCTGACAGTTTTTACTGCACTTTACATTCATGTTTAAAGCCCCAAATAATATCCTTTAGTGGTTTCAGCAAAAACAATTCTCATGTGAAACTTTGCTATGTATGGATAAAGACAGTTGACCTTTCTGGGATATTCACTCTCAATATTTGAGCAACCAACATATAACACACAAATATCCTCAGCTAGCCGACTGTCATCCCCTGAAATTTCCCTCAAGAGATTCCCCAGGTCATAAAGGGAGACGCACTGCTGAAATTCAGCAAAGGGAAAGCTCCATGGGCCTCTTAGGCTCAGCAACTTACAAACATGTCTATTTCCTCCCATTTCAGGTGAGCAAGGCCCAGCAGTTCTCCATCTTGATCAGGATAGGATGGTGATATGAATCAAGCATTGTTACTAGCTAGGCATATTTACAGCCTTTCAACATTCCATCATGTGTAAGGAAGCCACCTGTTCCCAAATCCATCAGCCATGTGGCCAGTGCGTCCCACAAATGGAGGTGAAATAAAAGTTTTTAGTAGGAAAATAAAAGCCAGCTCCTAGACTGTTTCAGAGAAGTCATAAGGGGCATGAACCTTTGTGATGTACCCTGCAGTGTCTTAGCCTGACTTTCCTATGACAGTAACAGTCTATTTCTCAGAGGTCTCTCAGCTGCTTTGACTTTTCTAGATAAATTAATAGAAATGAAGCCATTTCACATGCTTATTTGTCCAGATTCCAGGCCAAAGTGTGGGATTCAAACCAGAATTTTAAAGGCTCTTCTTGTTTCTGAGGTTGCCTTCGGTCTGATTTGAAGAGAGGTAACATGCTATATAGCCTGGCCCCAAACTGCTACCAAGGAATGTAAGATAGATTTTTACATGCGATTTGTGTTCTCATAATGGGATATTTCTGTAAAAGATGTGATAAAGTGGAAGAGTCTTAAGAGTGACCATGGGGCTGAAACTAAGCTTTGCCACTTTCTAATTGCAGGACTTTGGGTCTTGGCTTCCTTTCCATAAAGTAATTCAGCGAGATGCTATGGAAAGAATGGGGTAAGACATATGAGGTGGCTGTTGACATGGTGTGAGGAGGAAGAGCAGCTGCTGTGCTGGGCTAGGAGCCAGAAGACCTAGACTCTACTTAGGCTCCAGAAAACTTGTTCTGGGTCTCCGACACCACTTCTCTCTGTACTTTTTCTTCATTTTCAAAATGAGAGGCTGGGACCAGGCAACCCCGTGCATCTGGTGGCTGGTGACTCAGGTACTCTGTATATTCATCCTGCATGAATAGTTTAAAAGTTTCCAAATCTAGGATGTTTTACAGAGGGATGGGATGGTCGTGGAGCACAGGTTTTGGAATCAGTCACATCTGAGTTTAAGTTCAGGTCTCACTATTTTTAGCAATGTGGAATGGAGGTAATGATGATGCCTTCTCGTAAGGCTGATGTGGGGTAAAAATTAAGTTAATAATGGCAGAAAGCTTAGCTTAGAATGCTTGTATTCGTTTCCCATGGCTGACGTAAATTACCACACACGTAGTGGCTTAAAACAACACACGTTTGTCACCTCACAGTTCTGTAGGTTAGAAGTCTGACAGGTTCTCATTGAGCTAGAATGAAGGTGTCGGCAGGGCTATATTCCCATTTGGAAGCTGATAGGGGCTGACTTCTCTTCCTCACAGTTCATGTATTGAAGACCTAACCCCTAGTACCACCAAATATGGCTGTATTTGGAGATAATATCTTTAAAGGGGTGATTAAATTAAAAGGAGGTCTTTAAGGTGGGCCCCAATGCAATCTGACTGGCACCTGTATAAGAAGAAAAAGTGTGGACATTCAGAGGCACCAGGAATGTTCCTACACAGAGGAAGAACATGTGAGGACACAGGGAGAAGGCGGCCGTCTGCAAGCCAAAAAGCAACCCTGCTGATGTTTTGATGTTGGACTTCTGGCCCCCATTACTGTGAGTGAATAAGTTTCTGCTGGTTAAGCCACCATTGGTGGGCATTTCTAATGGCAGTGTTAGTAAAGCAATGTAGAACCTTTGGGAGGGAATGGTTTCCTTGCCTTTCCAAGCCTCTAGAGGCTGCTTATGCTCCTTGATTTATGGCCCTCTTCCTTTACTTTCAAAGCCAGCAACAGAAGGTCCTGTCCTTCACACAGAACATCACCCTGGCCACCTCTTCGGACTCTTCTTCCACTTTTAAGAACACTTGAGATTACACTGGGCCCACTGGATCATCCAGGCTCCTCTCCCCACTTTCCTACTTTAGGATTGGCTGATTAGCAACTTCAATTCCATCTGTGACCATAATTCTCTCCTGCCAAGTAATATTACATATGCATGGGTTGGGGGTTAGAATGTGGATATCTTTGTTTGGGGTGGGGGAGGATTGTGCCTACCACAACGTGTAGTGAATTTTAGCTGGTATGTGGAATAGGATTTTTATACTGTCTTAGTTTATTTTCCTGGCTCCAACGCTGGGATGCAAATTAACAAACAAAAAAGTAAATCTCACTGAGTGGAAGCTGGGGAACTGTGCTCATTCTGTAGTTTGTCTTTGCTTCCTCCAATACAGCACAAGCTCCTGTTGACACAGGCTTACGCTGGTGCACAGAATAAGTGATGGTCCATTGAGTTGAAGCTTCAGCATTTTGATTTAACTGATATTTCTAGCAAATTTTTGACCTTGCACTGTTTATGTAGGGGTTTTCTGGTCTTCTTAGAATGGTAATTCAGGGCAAGATTAGCCATGCCATTTCTAACAGATCTGCTGCTTTCCCCTTTAGAAAGGAAGGTTTCAGTGTTTATTGGAGAACAAAGACTGTGTGGTTTCCACGGCATGTTTGGCCTCAATATGTTCAGAGATACAAAAAGCTTGGAGTATAGAAACCCTGTAATTGTGTCCTTCAAATGTATCTTTTTGGCGTAAATGATAGAAACCCGATTAAAAGTTGCTTCAACTGAAATGGGAAGGTATTAGTTCATGCAACTACAAAGTCTTGGAGTGGATCTAGCTCCGAACTTGGTCAGATCGAGGATTCCATGAAATCCTAAGGATCCGGGGTCTCTATCCCCCTTTCCCTATTCTTTGCTTTTCTCCACATTGGCCTCATTCCAAGGAAGGCCCTGTCAATACAGTGGGCCTGGCAAATCAGGGCTTAGATTAGGCTTACAGCCAGCATGCCACAGGCAAAGAGAACTCTTCCTTCCCACAAATCCAAGCAAAAGTCTCAGGATGTCTTTCCTGGATCAGCTTAGGTCATGGGTCTATCCCCCAACCAATCACTCTAGCCAGAGAGGCACAAGGCAATGATTGACCAGGCTGAGGTCAAGGCCACCCCAGAGCTGTAGGCACTGGAGGAGGCATCAGCTCCACCTCACACACGTGGATGAAGAATGAGGAGAAGTAGTTCCTGAGGCAAATCAAGGTAGCATTTCTAGAAGAGGGGGCAATGGATACATGGAATGGAAATATAACCAACATCTATACTCAGGTGAGGTGCTTGGCTTTTTTAAAATGTTACTCTGGAGAATGGAGCTTCTTT